>NC_000023.11:72462542-72765572 GCF_000001405.40 Homo sapiens | reverse complement strand
CATTTGACAAAATTCAACTCCGCTTCATGATAAAAAAAAAAAAAAAACTCTCAACAAAGTAGGCATAGAAGGACCACACCTTAAAATAATAAAGCCCATATGTGACAAACTCATAGCTAACATTATACTAAGTGGGGAAAAATTAAATGCCCTTCCACTAAGAATTAGAACAAGACAAGGATCCCCACTTTCACCACTTCTATTCAACACAGTACTGGAAGTCCTAGCCAGAGCCATCAGGCAAGAAAATGAAATAAAAGTCTTTCAAACTGGAAAAAAGGAAGTCAAAATATCCTTCCTTCCAGACAACATAATCTTATATCTAGAAAAAACAGAAGAACCCCACCAGAAAACCGTTGGAACTGATCCAACACATTCAGTAAAGTTGCAGATACAAAATTGACATACAGAAATCAGTAGCAATTTCAGACACCAATTATGAAATAGCTGAAACAGAAATCAAAAAGGCAACGCACAAAGCAATGGGGTTACAAGCATGAGCCACTGTGCCCAGCAGAGAATTCTTTATATATTCTTAACACAAATGCTTTATCAAATATAAGCTTTGCAAATATTTTTTTCTCAGTCTGTGGTTTGTCTTTTCACACTCTTAACTTGGGTCTTTGCAAGAGCAAAAGTTTTTAATTTTGACAAAGTCCAATTTACCAGTTTTTTTCTTTATGGTGTTTTTTCTTTCTTTATCCTTTTAGTGTCAGATATAAGAATTTTTTGCCTAATCTATTATCACAAAGATTGTCTCCTATATTTTCTTTTTCTTCCCCTTTTACTGACATGGAATAATTTACATACATGTGGGTACATGTGAGTGTTTTTTACATGCAAAGAATGTATAATGATCAAGTCAGGGTAACTGGAGTACCCATCACCTTGCGTGTTTATCGTTTTATGTGTTGGTATCATTTGAACCCCTCTCTTCTAGTTACTTGGAAATGTAAACAGTATTGGTTTTAAGAATAGTTGCCCTAATCCACTACCCAAACATTAGAACTTAATTCTTCTAACTGTGTGATGGTATCCATAACCAACCTCTCTTCACACCCCCTTCCACCCTACCCAATCTCCCCAGTCTCTGGGATCTATCAGTCTATCCTCTATGTCCTTAAAATCAACTTTTTTCGCTCCCATGTGCAAGTGAGAACATGTGAAATTTGTCTTTCAGCACCTGGCTTATTTCACTTAACATGATGACTTCCAGTTCCATTCATGTTGCTGCAAATGACGTGATTTTATTTTTTTCTGTGGTCAGATAGTATTCTATTGTGTGTATATACCACATTTTCTCCATACGTTCATCCACTGATGGGCACTTAGATTGATTCCATATCTTGGCTATTGTGAATAGTGCTGCTATAAACATGTGAGTGCAGGTATTCCTTTGATGTACTGATTTCTTTTCCTTTGGATAGATACCCAGCAGTGGGATTGCTGGGTTGTATGGTAGTTCTATTTTTCATATTTTGATCAGATCCTGCTGGTCGTTGCCTGGAAGTTATTTACACAAACGGGGTTTCCAGCCAGGATTCAGCTGAACTTGTCACTGTATTGGATCTGAATCGTCAACTCAATAAGAGTGTGCATATCTGAGACCTCTTGTTGTCTCTACCTGTTCAAGGTGTCATCTTACCCATGGCTGGTAGAAAGTTCATGCTGAATTAAGCTTTGAATCTCTTCATCGTTGGGTTTATTGAATCACTCCATCATTGGGTTTGTTTCAGTTTCCTAGGAATACAGTCTCTTGGGATTTGTTTGATTCACTGGTCAGATTTGTGTTGTTCCTTGGTGCAGTTGCTTTCTGGCCTTCTAAATCTGCTCTTATGGTCTGTCTGCTTGTTTAGTATCTTAAGTGCCATTTGTCTGTAAAATGATTACTGAGTGGGGGAGGATAGGCATAAACTCAGTAAGTCTGTCTGCAAGCCAGTCCCTTGGACTGAGAAGCTCAGACGATCTCCCAAGACCGTTTTTCTTCAGACGTATGTTGTCTCAGGTCACCATATCGAAACACTTTAAGGACCTTTTCCTTAGTCTTGTGTTTGTGTCAGTTTGCCAAAACTGCTTTGTTCAGTTTCACTTGCCCAGAAACAGCTGGTATTGTCTGGCCCCTGATGGGGGACAACTGGCCTTGCACCAAATTCCACAGACACTAAGTTACAAAAGCGCCATGCTTGTAGACTGCTGTTTCTTATGGGGTCATTCTATCTAAAACTGCATTTCTTCCAGGACAAACACCTGTTTCCTTCATGTTTTCTCATTATAATGTTAGCGTATGTACTTGTCCCTAACGGACACAATTTCACTAGGGCCAATTTGAAAATTGCTATGGCCTTTTTTGGGACATCTTGACACGAATCAGATTTTTCATTTGACAGGTACCCTAAAAACAAAACAAAATGTGAATCAATCTTCATGAGGAGATTGTTTTTCCTGGCTGCCTAAATGAGAGATCATTTTGTTTAATATAGGAGTCAGTCCCATCTTCATTTCCATCACTTGGATTAATACATCCCAGCTCTTTATTCGCGTGGCTTGATAATATTGTCTAGGGCTTAAGTCCTCAAATCAGCCACACTGTCACTCTCTTTAGTGTGTATGTTTATCAAAATGTTTCTCTATATCTAAACTTTGTTTTCTCTCCTTACAGGAAGCCCTATAAAATGGACATAAATCTTAAAACCTTGACATCTTTTACTTGCATCCAGAGGTATGGCCATAATAAAAGTGGAGTTTAAACAAAAAATGCTTCCTGATATTTCTCACAATTGCAGAGATAAGTTGGCCATGATATTGAAGCATTCAATATTAGTTGAGTAATTTTAAGAATATTGCCAAGAAAATTTCCAATACATATCTACCAGCTGAAGACACAATCCTGGCAAGACTATGCAGGCAAGACATGGGACAGAGCCACAAGCTCAAGGCCTCTTTGAACACCTCCAAATGGATTTTCCACAAGTGCCTTCAGCAGCGGTCCATAAATATGTTCTGGTTATTGGTTTTCGTTCTTAGGGTGGGTGCACTCTCTTAGTTGAACAGCTATGGCCGTCATGATTTTTAAAATTACTTTATATTCAAAAACTGGAGAATTCCAACTTATCTCTTCAGTAACATGGACACATATTTCACTAGAAGTATTATTAAAGAATAATTTAACACCTTTTATTCAGAACTCCACTGTCCTTATCATCCGCAGACTGCAGAGAAAATAAAGAGAGCTAATGGAATTCTCAACTTAGAATTTTCAAAGCTCTCAGGTATCCTTAAACTTCCAAGCACCGAACTATTTCCACTGGCCTTGATGACAATAAGATCAATCCCCCTCAGGACCTGCAAGTTCTCTACTCTGGAGTTAATTATCAGACTGCCCCACACATTTGGAAATTGCTTCCAGTCGTACTTTCTGCCACACTACAGTCAATGTGTCTGAATACAAGAGATCATATGATGCTTCCAGGTGTTTCACCAAGTACAAGCTTCATTTCCAAAACCCCAGCTAAGAAGCTTCTGTAAGATCTGTAACTGGGAGATTTAGTCTTCTGGAAGTGACATAAAAGGAAAACTGCCCTTGAACCTCAATTAAAAAGACCTCATCAGACACTGCTAATAACTGACACAACAATAAAACAACACGGAATAGATCCGGGAATCATACTTCCCAATTAGAAAAAAAATACATCATTTTGTCCCGACTACTGGAAGCCCATTCCATTAGGGAACCTCAAACTGAGGATTCTTAGAAATTCTTCAGAAACAGCTGATTTCAAAAATGGACAGATTCCGTCCAAGACTATAGAATGAACCACCTACTTCGGAAGTGGACAACTTCTGCCCAAAACTGCAGAACGAGGTTAATTTTCTGATTTTTTTTCCCAGCACTTTTTTCACCTGTCCTATGGCCTATCATGTTGTGTCACCCTCTGGAACATTAACATGATCTTTTTATCTTTTTTCTGCCCCCGCTATGGTTTTCTTCTACCACTTAAGAAAAAAGCAAAACTCTTTTGTACTTTTTCCCAGACTCTAGCTATTGCTCTGAAGTTCACTGGTTCTAGGATTTATAGTCCCTTGTTCTCCTTTCTGGCCAAAATTTAATAGCCATCCCTTTAAACAGTTCAAAAGGTAGGGCTGGGCACGGTGGCTCACGCCTGTAATCCGAGCACTTTAGGAGGCTGAGTCAGGCAGATCTCTTGAGCTCAGCAGTTTGAGACCAGTCTGGCCAACATGGTGAAACCCTGTCTCTACCAAAAGTACAAAAATAAGCCCGGTGTGGTGGCACCTGCCTGTATTCCCAGCTACTCATGAGGCACAAGAATTGCTTAAATCCGGGAGACGGAGGTTGCAGTGAGCCGGGATCATGCCACTGCACACCAGCCTGTGACAGAGTGAAACTCTGACTTAGAAAATAAATAAACAGATGCTGACTTAGGAAGATGGCCTAATAGGAACAGCTCCAGTCTGCAGCTCCCAGCAAGATCGATGCAGAAGATGGGTGATTTCTGCATTTCCAACTGAGGTGCCTGGTTCATCTCATTGGGACTGGTTGAACAGTGGGTATAGCCCACTGGGGGTGAACTGAAGCAGGGCAGGGCGTTGCCTCACCCAGGAAGCACAAGGGGTCGGGGGATTTCCCTTTCCTAGCCAAAGGAAGCCATGACAGACCGTACATGGAGAAACGGTGCACTCCTGACCAAATACTGCACTTTTCCCACGGTCTCAGCAACCGGCAGATCAGGAGATACCCTCCCATGCCTGGCTCGGTGGGTCCCATGCCCACGGAGCCTTGCTCACTGCTAGCGCCAGCAGTCTAAGATCAACCTGCTATGCTGCAGCTTGACGGGGGGAGAGGCGTCCACCACTGCTGAGCCTTGAGTAGCTTACCGTGTAAACAAAGCAGCTGGGAATCACAAACTGTGTGGAGCCCACTGCAGCTCAGCAAGGCCTACTGTCTTTATAGATTCCACCTCTGGGGGCAGGGCATATCTGAACAAAAGGCAGCAGACAGCTTCTGCGGACTTAAACATCCCTGTCAGACAGCTCTGAAGAGAGGAGTGGTTATCTCAGCATGGCATTCAAGCTCCAAGAATGGACAGACTGCCTCCTCAAGCTGGTCCCTGACCCCTGTGTAGCCTGACTGGGAAACACCTCCCAGTAGGGGCCAACAGACACCTCAAGCAGGCAGGTGCTCTTCTAGGACGAAGCTTCCAGAGGAAGGATCAGGCAGCAATATTTGCTGTTCTGCAGTCTCCCCTGGTGATACCTAGGCAAACAGGGTCTGGAGTGGACCTCCAGCAAACTCCAGTAGACCTGCAGCTGAGGAGTCTGACTGTTCAAAGGAAAGGTAACAAACAGAAAGGAATAGCAACAACATCAACAAAAAGGACATCCACACCAAGATCCCATCTGTAGGTCACCAACATCAAAGACCAAAGGTAGATAAAACCACAAAGATGGGGAGAAACCAGAACGGAAAAGCTGAAAATTCCAAACACCAGAGTGCCTCTTCTCCTCTAAAGGATTGCAGCTCCTCGCCAGCAGCAGAACAAAACTGGATGGAGAATGAGTTTAACAAGTTGACAGAAGTAGGCTTCAGAAGGTCAGTAACAACAAACTTCTCTGAGCTAAAGGAGCATGTTCTAGCCTATCACAAGGAAGCTAAAAACCTTGAAAAAAGGTTAGTCGGATGGCTAAACTAGAATAAACAGTGTAGAGAAGAGCTTAGATGACCTGATGGAGCTGAAAACCATGGCACGAGAACTTTGTGATGCATTTACAAGCTTCAATAACCGATTCAATCAAGTGGAAGAAAGGATATCAGTGATTGAACATCAAATTATTGAAATAAAGAGAGAAGACAAGATTAGAGAAGAAAGAGTGAAAACAAAAGAACAAAGCCTCCAAGAAATAATGAGACTATGTGAAAAGACCAAATCTACATTTGATTCGTGTACCGGAAAGGGATGGGGAGAATGAAACCAAGTTAGAAAACACTCTTCAGGATATTATCCAGGAGAGCTTCCCTAACCTAGCAAGGCAGGCCAACATTCAAATTCAGGAAATACAGAGAACACCACAGAGATACTCCTTGAGAAGAGCAACCCCAAGACACATGATTGTCAGACTCACCCAGGTTGAAATGAAGGAAAATATGTTAAGGGCAACCAGAGAGAAAGGTCAGGTTACCCACAAAGGGAAGCTGGTCAGACTAACAGTGGCTCTCTTGGCAGAAACCCTACAAGCCAGAAGAGAGTGGGGGCCAATGTTCAACTTTTTTAAAGAAAAGAATTTTCAACCCAGAATCTCACATCCAGCCAAATTAAGCTTCATACGTGAAGGAAAAATAAAATCTCTTACAGACAAGCAAATGCTGGGAGATTCTGTCACCACCAGGCCTGCCTTACAAGAGCTCCGGAAGGAAGCACTAAACATGGAAAGGAACAACCGGTATCAGCCACTGCAAAAACATGCCAAATTGTAGAGACCATCAAAGCTATGAAGAAACTGCATCAATTAACGGGCAACATAACCAGCTAACATCATAATGACAGGATCAAATCCACACATAACAATATTTAGCTTAAATGTAAATGGGCTAAATGCCCCAATTAACAGATACAGACTGGCAAATTGGATAAAGAGTCAAGATCCATTGGTGTGCTCTATTCAGGAGACCCATCTCATGTGCAAAGACACATAAAGGCTCAAAATAAAGGGATGGAGGAAGATCTACCAAGCAAATGCAAAGCAAAAAAAAGTAGGGGTTGCAATCCTAGTCTCTGATAAAACAGACTTTAAAGCAACAAAGATCAAAAAAGACAAAGAAGGCCATTCCATAATGGTAAAGGGATCAATTAAACAAGAAGAGCTAACTATCCTAAATATATAAGCACCCAGTACAGGAGCACCCAGATTCATAGAGCAAGTGAGACCTACAAAGAGACTTAGACTCCCACACAATAATAATGGGAAACTTTAACACCCCCCTGTCAATATTAGACAGAACAACAAGACTGAAGGTTAACAAGGATATCCAGGACTTGAACTCACTTCTGGACCAAGTGGACTTAATAGACATCTACTGAAGTCTCCACACCAAATCAACAGAATATACATTCTTCTCAGCACCACATCGCACTTATTCCAGAATTGACCCACATAATTGGAAGTAAAGCACTCCTCAGCAAATGTAAAAGAACAGAAATCACCACAAACAGTCTCTCAGACCACAGTGCAATCAAATTAGAACTCGGGATTAACAAACTCACTTAAGTCAGGTAGCGTGATGCCTCCAGCTTTGTTCTTTTGGCTTAGGATTGTCTTGGAAATGCGGGCTCTTTTTTGGTTCCACATGAATTTTAAAGTAGTTTTTTCCAATTCTGTGAAGAAAGTCATTGGTAGCTTGATGGGGATGACATTGAATCTATAAATTACCTTGGGCAGTATGGCCATTTTCACGATATTGATTCTTCCTATCCATGAGCATGGAATGCTCTTCCATTTGCTTGTGTCCTCTCATATTTCCTTGAGCAGTGGTATGTAGTTGTCCTTGAAGAGGTCCTTCACATCCCTTGTTAAGTTGGATTCCTAGGTATTTTATTCTCTTTGAAGCAATTGTGAACGGGAGTTCACTCATGATTTGGCTCTCTGTTTGTCTGTTATTGGTGTATAAGACTGCTAAAACAATTAGGAGATATACCTAATGCTAAATGACGAGTTAATGGGTGCAGCACACCAGCATTGCACAGGTATACATATGTAACTAACCGGTACATTGTGCACATGTGCCCTAAAACTTAAAGTATAATAATAAAAAAAAGCATTCCTGCTGGTTAACAAACCATGGAGGGAAGGACAAAGCAGAGAGGGCTTGGCAATACACCCTGCTAGGAAAGAACTCTTCTCTATGAGATGGTAAAGTACTTTTAGGCCCACTCTTCAGAATGCACAGTGCTGAGTGTAAAAGTATCATTATTGTAAACTCGAGCAAAGTACAGCCTAATCACAGTTGATAAAGGAAAGGGGAGGAGAAGCCTGCAATTCACATTTTAAAAATCAGTGGTGTTTTCTCTGAATGGCACTTCTTTCCTGCCAGGTCTTTTCTTGACTATACCATCTCAGGGGCTGCCAACAACCTTGTTAAACAGCAAAGAATCTTTGTAGTAGAAAAGTATTTAAAATGCCCTCTAGGCCCATTTTCTGACCACCTATCTCTAGTAATGGAGATGATGTGGTTGCTATTTGGGGGCTTGACAACATTTACCAACATTCCAATATTGAAATTGCTTCTTGGAAAAATACACCAGAAAAGTTCAAAAGAACCTCTGAGATGGTTTACTTCAGTGTCCTCTTTCTCTGGATTCTGCAACTGAAGCTCAGAGAGGTTAAGTTACTAATCCAGTAGTTTTGAGTTAGTTAGGATCCAGGGATAGAACCGAGGTCTAAGTATTCCTGAGGGGGGCATTTTCCAGAACTGGCAAATCAAACTTTGTTGCTTTATTGGTTATTGTATCAGTCTTTTGCTTGCCATACCAAAATATTCCAGACTGGGTGCCTTAAACAATTGACATTCATTTTTCACAGTTCTGGAGGCTACAAATCTTAAGGTCAAGGTGCCATCATTGCTGGTTTATAGTAAGGGCTCTCTTTCTGGCTTGCAGATGGCCGCCTTCTCACTGTGTGCTCACATGACTTTTCTATGTGACTGCGTTGAAAGAGAGAGCTGATTTGTGCTCCTTCTCCTTATGAGGGCACTAATCCCATTAAATTAGGGCCCTACCCTTATGTCCCTATGTAACCCTAATTACCTCCCAAAGGTCTCATCAACAAATACCATCGCATTAGGGCTCGACATATGAATTTTGGGTGACACAATTCAGTCCATAACAGTGTTGAAAGAAGTAGCCACTGCTTTTGTCAAAGTGGAAATCTAGAT
Source organism: Homo sapiens (assembly GCF_000001405.40). Taxonomy (NCBI): domain Eukaryota; kingdom Metazoa; phylum Chordata; class Mammalia; order Primates; family Hominidae; genus Homo; species Homo sapiens. The sequence goes on along the minus strand of NC_000023.11, from coordinate 72,756,628 downwards.
GCTACCATACACAGAAGAAGAGTCTAGGGCTCTGAAACGTCACCAGATACCCTCAAATGCCTGTTTTATTACAGGCATTTCCTCATTCTTCATTCTACTTGACGTTTGTGCAGTTACCACATGCTTTACCTTGGAGCCTCGTCCTGGAATGCTCATCCAGCTCCTCTGACGTCAGTTGTCTTTCTCCTCCTCTGCTGGCTCAGTCACTTTCCTTATTTTAGTCAGGTTTCTTCATAGAAAGTAGATGCCACCTGAAGTTTTCTGTTTGGCCTCTTCCCATCTTTGTCTAATTCCTTACTCTCCCTGTCAAGCTCCCATTGATTCAATTCTCACCTCTCACTCAATTCTCAGACCTGAATTCTAACTACCTGCTGGAAGTTTCCATACAATGCCTTAGAATTTAGAAACTAAACTCATTTCTCTCCTTAACACCTTCCAGCAAACTTCCATTCCTGTCTTCTCACATATTGAGTTATTTTCAACTTTGCCTTTATTTCTCTCTTACATCACTCAAAAAGTCCCTTAGACACAGCCTCCTCAATGCTTTCTGTTACTGGAGTTTCCCCCCTATTGTCTTTATCAAATTTAGGGATTTAGTGCATTTAATCTGATACATTGTATTGAGAACCTAACTGACTACTTTTCACTCTAAAACATTCTGAAAATGGTTTCCAAATAAATCGTTCTAAAGTAAAAAAAAAAAAATGCTAAAACACCAAAAGCAATGGCAACAAAAGCAAAAATTGACAAATGGGATCTAATTAAACTAAAGAGCTTCTGCACAGCAAAAGAAACTACCATCAGAGTGAACAGGCAACCTACAGAATGGGAGAAAATTTTTGCAATCTACCCATCTGACAAAGGGCTAATATCCAGAATCTACAATGAACTCAAACAAATTTACAAGAAAAAAACAAACAACCCCATCAAAAAGTGGGTGAAGGATATGAACAGACACTTCTCAAAAGAAGACATTTATGCAGCCAACAGACACATGAAAAAATGCTTATCATCACTGGCCATCAGAGAAATGCAAATCAAAACCACAATGAGATACCATCTCACACCAGTTAGAATGGCAATCATTAAAACGTCAGGAAACAACAGGTGCTGGAGAGGATGTGGAGAAACAGGAACACTTTTACACTGTTGGTGGGACTGTAAACTAGCTCAACCATTGTGGAAGACAGTGTGGCGACTCCTCAAGGATCTAGAGCTAGAAATACCATTTGACCCAGCCATCCCATTACTGGGAATATACCCAAAGGATTATAAATCATGCTGCCATAAATGCACATGCACACGTATGTTTATTGCGGCACTATTCACAATAGCAAAGACTTGGAACCAACCCAAATGTCTATCAATGATCGACTGGATTAAGAAAATGTGGCACATATACACCATGGAATACTATGCAGCCATAAAAAAGGATGAGTTCATGTCCTTTGCAGGGACATGGATGAAGCTGGAAGCCGTCATTCTCAGCAAACTATCGCAAGAGCAAAAAACCAAACACCACATGTTCTCACTCATAGGTGGGAACTGAACAATCAGAACACTTGGACACAGGAAGGGGAACATCACACACCAGGGCCTGTTGTGGGGTGGGGGAAGTGGGGAGGGAAAGCATTAGGAGATATACCTACTGTAAAATGACGAGTTAATGGGTGCAGCACACCAACATGGCACATGTATACATATGTAACAAACCTGCATGTTCTGCACAGGTACCCTAGAACTTAATGCATAATAAAAAAAATTAATGTCAACGTAAAAAAAAAAATAAATAAACTCACTCAAAACCACACAACTACATGGAAACTGAACAACCTACTCCTGAGTGACTACTGGGGGTAAAATAACGCAATGAAGACAGAAATAAAGGTGTTCTTTGAAACCAATGAGAACAAAGACACAACATACCAGAATCTCTGGGACACATTTAAAGCAGTGCGTAGAGGGAAATTTATAGCACTAAATACCCTCAAGGGAAAGGAGGAAAGATCTAAAATCAACACCCTAACATCAGGATTAAAAGATCTAGAGAAGCAAGAGCAAACAAATTCAAAAGCCAGCAGAAGGTAAGAAATAAGTAAGATCAGAGAAGAATTGAAGGAGATAGAGACACAAAATCCCTTCAAAAAAAAAATCAAAGAATCCAGGAGCTGGTTTTTTGAAAAGATCAACAAAATACATAGACCACTAGCAAAACTCATAAAGAAGAAAAGAGAGAAGATTAAAGACTTAAATGTTAGACCTAAAACCATAAAAGCCCTAGAAGAAAACCTAGGCAATACCATTCAGGACATAAGCATGGGCAAGGACTTCATATCTAAAACACCAAAAACAATGGCAACAAAAGCCAAAATTGACAAATGGGATCTAATTAAACTAAAGAGCTTCTGCGCAGCAAAAGAAACTACCATCAGAGTGAACAGGCAACCTACAGAGTGGGAGAAAATTTTTGCAATCTACCCATCTGACAAAGGGCTAATATCCAGAATCTACAATGAACTCAAACAAATTTACAAGAAAAAAACAAGCAACCCCATCAAAAAGTGGGTGAAGGATATGAACAGACACTTCTCAAAAGAAGACATTTATGCAGCCAACAGACACATGAAAAAATGCTCATCATCACTGGCCATCAGAGAAATGCAAATCAAAACCACAATGAGATACCATCTCACACCAGTTAGAATGACGATCATTGAAAAGTCAGGAAACAACAGGTGCTGGAGAGGATGTGGAGAAATAGGAACACTTTTACACTGTTGGTGGGAATGTAAACTAGTTCAACCATTGTGGAAGTCAGTGTGGTGATTCCTCAGGGATCTAGAGCTAGAAATACCATTTGACCCAGCCATCCCATTACTGGGTATATACCAAAAGGATTATAAAACATGCTGCTATAAAGACACATGCACACGTGTGTTTGTTGCAGCACTATTCACAATAGCAAAGACTTGGAACCAACCCAAATGTCCAACAATGATAGACGGGATTAAGAAAATGTGGCACATATACACCATGGAATACTATGAAGCCATAAAAAAGGATGAGTTCATGTCCTTTGTACGGACATGGATGAAGCTGGAAACCATCATTCTCAGCAAACTATCACAAGGACAAAAAACCAAACACCACATGTTCTCACTCATATGTGAGAATTGAACAATGAGAATACATGGACACAGGAAGGGGAACATCACACACCAGGGACTGTTGTGGGGTGGGGGGAGGGGGGAGGGATAGCATTAGGAGATATACCTAATGTTAAATGAAGAGTTAATGGGTGCAGCACACCAACATGGCACATGTATACATATGGAACAAACCTGTATGTTGTGCACATGTACCCTAAAACTTAAAGTATAATAAAAAAAATTAAAAAAAAATAGAACAGATCAGGATATTACACAAATGGAAAAGATACATTTGTTTTATGAAATGTTTCTTTCTGCTGTGAGTTTGTGTGTGTGTGTGTGTGTGTGTGTGTGTAATGGGCGGTGATATAAAAAGTACTATGAATAACAATAAATTTTTTTATCTTTCTAATTTTTAAATAAATAAACTTTAAAAATAAAGAATCAAATAGACACAATAAAAAATGATAAAGGGGATATCACCACGGATCCCACAGAAATACAAACTACAATCAGAAAATACTATAAATAACTCTATGCAAATAAACTAGGAATCTAGAAGAATAAATTCCTGGACACATACACCCTCCCAAGTCTAAACCAGGTAGCAGTTGAATCCCTGAATAGACCAACAACAGGTTCTGAAATTGAGGCAATAATTAGTAGCCTACCAACCAAAAAAAGTCCAGGACTAGACGATTCACAGTCGAATTCTACCAGAGGTAAAAAGAGGAGCTGGTACCATTCCTTCTGAAACTATTTCAATCAATAGAAAAAGAGGGAATCCTCCCTAACTCATTTTATGAGGCCAGCATCATCCTGATCCAAAGCCTGGCAGAGACACAACAAAAAAAAAAAAAAAAAAGAGAGAGAATCTTAGGCCAATATCCCTGATGAACATCTGTGTGAAAATCCTCAGTAAAATACTGGCAAATTGAATCCAGCAGCACATCAAAAAGCTTATCCACCATGATCAAGTCAGCTTCATCCCTGGGATCCAAGAGGCTGGTTCAACCTATGCAAATCAATAAACGTAATCCATCACATAAACAGAACCAACGACAAAAACCACATTATTATCTCAATAGATGCAGAAAACATCTTTGACAGAATTCAACAGCCCTTCATGCTAAAAACTCTCAATAAACTAGGTATTCATGGAACGTATCTCAAAATAGTAAGAGCTATTTATGACAAACCCACAGCCAGTATCATACTGAATGGGCAAAAACTGGAAGCATTCCCTTTGAAAACTCGCACAAGACAGGGATGCCCTCTCTCACCACTCCTATTCAACATAATGTTGGAAGTTCTGGCTAGGGCAATCAGGGAAGAGAAAGAAATAAAGGTATTCAGTTAGGAAAAGAGAAAGTCAAATTGTCTCAGTTTGCAGATGACATGATTGTATATTTAGAAAATCCCATCATCTCAGTCCAAAACCTCCTTAAGCTGATAAACAACTTCAGCAAAGTCTCAGGATACAAAATCAATGTGCAAAAGTCACAGGCATTCCTATACACCACTAATGGACAAACAGAGAGCCAAATCATGAGTGAACTCCCATTCACAATTACTACAAAGAGAACAAAATACCTAGGAATGCAACTCACAAGGATGTGAAGGACCTCTTCAAGGAGAACTACAAACCACTTCTCAACAAAATAAAAGAGGACACAAAGAAATGGAAGAACATTCCATGCTCAAGGATAGGAAGAATCAATATGGTGAAAATGGCCATACTGCCCAAGGTAATTTGTAGATTCAATGCTATCCCCATCAAGCTACCACTGATTTTCTTCACAGAATTAGAAAAAAATACATTAAAGTTCATATGGAACGAAAAATGATCCCGCATAGCCAAGAAAATCCTAAGCAAAAAGAACAAAGCTGGAGGCATCACACTACCTGACTTCAAACTATACTACAAGGCTACAGTAACCAAAACAGCATGGTACCAAAACAGATAAACAGACCAATGGAACGGGACAGAGACCTCAGAAACAACATCACACATCTACAACCATCTAATCTTTTACAAACCTGACAAAAACAAGCAATGGGGAAAGGATAGCCTATTTAATAAATGGTGCTGGGAAAACTGGCTAGCCATATGTAGAAAGCTGAAACTGGATCCCTTCCTTACACCTTATACAAAAATTAACTCAAGATGGATTAAAGACTTAAATGTAAGACCTAACACCATAGAAACCCTAGAAGAAAACCTAGGCAATACCCTTCAGAACATAGGCATGGGCAAAGACTTCATGACTACAACACCAAAAGCAATGGCAACAAAAGCCAAAATTGACAAATGGGATCTAATTAAACTAAAGGGTTTCTGCACAACAAAAGAAACTACCATCAGAGTGAACAGGCAACCTAAAGAATGGGAGAAAATCTTTGCAATCTACCCATCTGACAAAAGGCTAACATCCAGAATCTACAAAGAACTTAAACAAATTTATAAGAAAAAGACCAAACAACCCCATCAAAAAGTGGGCAAAAGATATGAACAGACACTTCTCAAAAGAAGACATGTATGCAGCCAACAGACATATGAAAAAATGCTCATCATCACTGGTCGTCAGAGAAATGCAACTCAAAACCACAGTGAGATACCATGTCACACCAGTTAGAATGGCGGTCATTAAAATGTCAGGAAACAACAGATGCTGGAGATGATGTGGAGAAATAGGAATGCTTTTACGCTGTTTGCGGGAGTGTAAATTAGTTCAACCATTGTGGAAGACAGTGTGGCGATTCCTCAAGGATCTAGAACTAGCGATCTTGACCCAGCGATCCCATTACTGGGTATATACCCAAAGGATTATAAATCATGCTACTTATAAAGACGTATGTTCACGTATGTTTATTGTGGCACTATTCACAATAGTAAAGACTTGGAACCAACCCAAATGTCCAACAATGATAGACTGGATTAGGAAAATGTGGCACATATAGACCACAGAATACTATGCAGCCATAAAAAAGGATGAGTTCACGTCCTGTGCAGTGACATGGATGAAGCTGGAAACCATCATTCTCAGCAAACTATCACAAAGACAGAAAACCAAACACCACATGTTCTTACTCACAGGTGGGAGTTGAACAATGAGAACACGTGGACACAGGGCAGGGAACATCACACACCAGGGCCTGTCAGGGGGTGGAGGGATGGGGGAGGGATAGCATTAAGAGTAATATCTAATGTAAATGACGAGTTGATGGGTGCGGCAAACCAACATGGCACATGTATACCTATGTAACAAACCTGTACGTTGTGCACATGTACCCTAGAACTTAAAATATAATAAAAAATAGATAAATAAATAAGGCCAGGCATGGTGGCTCACACCTGTAATCCCAGCACTTTGGGAGGCCGAGGCAGGCAGATAACCTGAGGTCAGGAGTTCGAGACCAGACTGGCCAAGATGGCAAAACCCCGTCTCTATTAAAAATATAAAAATTAGCCAGTTGTGGTGGTGGGTGCCTGTAATCCCAGCTACTCCGGAGGCTGAGACAGGAGAATCACTTGAATCTGGGAGACAGAGGTTGCAGTGAGCAGAGATTGCACCACTGCACTCCAGCCTAGGCAACAGTGAGACTCAGTGTTAAAAAAAAAAAAAAAAAAAGTAAATAAATAAATTAAATTGACCAAAAAAAGTAGGTTTCCTTTTGCAGACTCCTTCTGGTACTTACAATTTCCTCTCCAAATTCTAGTCTTGTGAGAAAAACAGACTTTGACTTCACATCAATAAAATGCTTCTACTGAGGTCATTACAACGTTACACAGAAACCTAGACCCTCAGGAATGGGAATAAATATTTGTTCCATTCAAAGACACTGCAGCTGCTTTGCAGGAACTATTTGGCTCCACTCAAGGAATTTACCCCCCTAAGTGACAAAAAATGGGCTTACTCTGGCTGGGAGCGGTGGCTCACGCCTGTAATCCCAGCACTTTGGGAGGCTGAGGCAGGTGGATCACGAGGTCAGGAGATTGAGACCATCCTGGCTAACACGGTGAAACCCCGTCTCTACTAAAAAATAGAAAAAATTAGCCGGGCGTGGTGGCGGGCCCCTGTAGCTCCAGCTACTCGGGAGGCTGAGGCAGGAGAATGGTGTGAACCCAGGAGGCGGAGCTTGCAGTGAGCTGAGATCGTGCCACTGCACTCCAGCCTGGGTGACAGAGCAAGACTCTGTCTCAAAAAAGAAAAGAAAAATGGGCTTACTCATGATGGGCCAAGTTATAGTCATACTCCCAATGCAGCCTGTATCCCACCTGGATACTACTTAAGTGGACATCAGGCTTACCCTCTTCTGCCACTAAATCAGCCTGGAGAATCTGGATGATTGACAGAGAATTGAGATATTTAGAACTAGTACCTCTCCATGTTTGCATGGGGAAGAAGCCCAGAAACCTTCAAGGTGAGGTGAGCACAAACTACTTGGGAGAATTCCCAGAAGAGATAACTGACTCCCTCTTTTTGCATACTATGCTGGCTACAATTCGCACAGCAGAAATAATACGACTAGAAGAGGTGGTGCAGAATTTTTCTCTGGACCTGGAAGAAGTCACAAATGGAACAATTTCTACTCTGGATGCCCTCCAAAAACTACTCTAAATCTGTTAGCTAGAGTTCTCATGGACAATTGCATAGCCCTTGGTTTCCTCTTAGCTATCCAAAGGAGAGCTCATGTTAGAGTAAATACATCTCGCTGCACCTGTGTAAATATTACACGGCAAGTAGAACAGTTTACGGTATATTAAAAGAAAATAAACTCATCTGGATCTCTAAGGCAGACCCAGCTGGATTCTGGGACATGCTTTCATTGCCTAGGCTTTATAACCTAGACACCCTTGGCTTGGAGATCTGCAGCAAGGGCTAATAATCATTTCATTTTTGTTAACTGCCTGTGTTGCAGTTTGTCAACATATCATGTCTAGCATCTAAAATGCTACTGTGTAGTTTTGAGAGATCTCCTTGATACTGATTTCTATTTTTATTGTACTGTGGTCCAAGAGTACACTTGGTATGATTTAAATTTTTTTTAATTTATTGAGACTTGCTTTATGACTGACCATGTGGTTGATCTTAGAATATATTCTGTGTGCACATGAGAAGAATGTGGATTCTGTGGTTGTTGGGTGGAGTGTTTCGTAGATGTCTATTAGGTCCAAATGGTCGAGTGTCAAGTTTAAGTCCAGGGTTTCTTGGTTAGTGTTCTGCCTCAGTAATCTGTCTAATGCTGTCAGTGGGGTGTTGAACACTCCCACTACTATTGTGTGGTTGTCTAAGTCTTCTGATAGGTCAAGAAGAACTCATTTTATGCATCTGGGCTCTCCAATGTTGAGTGCATATATATTTAAGATAGCTAAGGCTTCCTGTTGGATTGTTATTGTTTGTAATGCCCTTCATTGTCCTTCTTAATTTCTATTGGTTTAAAGTCTGTTTTATCTGAAATAAGAAGAGGGACTCATGTTCCTTTTTGTTTTCCATTTGCATGGTAGATCTTCCTCCACCCTTTTACTTTGAGCCTGTGGGTGTCGTTGCATGTGAGATGGGTCTCTTGAAGGCAGCAGATGGTTGGGTCTTGTCCTTTTGTCCAGCCTGCCACTCTGTGCCTTTTCAGTGGGGTGTTTAGCCCATTTACATTCAAGGTTAGTATTCATATACGGGATTTTGATCCTGTCATCATGATGCCTGGTGGTTGTTATGTGGACTTGACTGCGTAGTTGCTTTATACTGCCTGTGTGCTATGTGCTTAAGGGTGCTTTTGTGGTAGCAGGTGTCATTATTTTGATTCCATGTTTAGCACTCCCTTAAGAACCTCTTGTAATGCTGGCCTAGTGGAAATGTATTCCCTCAGCATTTGCTTGTCCGAGAAGGATTTTATTTCTCCTTCACTTATGAAGCTTTGTTTGGCAGCATGTGGAATTCTTGGCTGGAACTTCTTTTCAGTAAGGACACTGAAATTAGACCCCCAATCTTTTCTGGCTTGTAAGGTTTCTGCTGATAGGACTGCTGCTAGCCTGATGGGGTTACCTCTGTAACTACACTATAAAGCCACAGGAACCAAAACAGCTTGATACTGATAAAAAAAAAAAAAAGACACATAGACCAATGGAACAGAATGGAAAACTCAGAAATAGAGCTGCACACCTACAACCATCTGAACTTTGACAAGGCTGGCAAACACATGCAATGAGGAAAGGACTCGACTCCCTATTCAATAAATGATGGTGGGATAACTGGCTAGCCACTTGCAGAAAATTGAATCTGGACCCCCCCACTTTTCACCACATACAAAAATAAACACAAGGTGGATCAAAGATTCAAATGTAACACCCCAAACCATAAGAATCCTGGAGGACAACTTAGGAAACACTCTTCTGGACATCAGCCTTGGCAAAGAATTTTTGACTAAGTCTCCAGATTTAATTGCAACAAAAACAAAAATTGACACCCCAAGACCGAATTAAACTGAAGAGCTTCTACACAGCAAAAGAAGCCAGCACCAGAGTAAACAGACAGCCTACAGAATGAGAGAAGATATTAGCAAACAATGCATGTGACAACGGCCTAATATCCAGAATCTATAGGGAACTTAAACAAATCAACAAGTAAAACACAAATAGCCCCATTTAAAAAAAAAAAAAACAGGCAAAGGACATGAACAGACACTTCTCAAAGGAAGATGTATAAGCGGCCAACAAACATGAAAACATGCTCAGCATCACTAATCATCTGAGAAATGCAAATCAAAACCACCATGAGACATCATCTCACACCAGTCAGAATGGCTATTACTAAACTGTCCAAAAACGATAGATGGTGGCGAGGCTGCAGTGAAAAAGGAACGCCTATACACTGTTGGTAACTGCTGCTTCTTTACCACTTACAGCCCTAGGCATCATTTATTCTTCCCTCATTCTAGATAAGATTTATTAAGATACCCAATCATAGGATTGCCTCTGCTCCTTAGAAGTATCTAATGCAAAGTTTGCCCAAATCCTGTAAGTCCTTTCTAATGCCCTCCTGCTGAGTTGCTCCGCAGTTTCCCATGGGGTGCATTCTCCCTTAATACAACAAGCAATAAACCCAAATTTGTTCGACTACAGGCGTGCTCCTGGTGATTGTTGGGTCGTGAGCACTGACATATTATAAAGATCTGCTTAATTGCCTCCACCCTACCCCATCCCACAGACTGTGACCTTTGTTAGAACAGGGCCTGTGGCTTATTTATTTTTTGTCCCCAGTTCCAGTGGTGAATGGATGTATCATGGATGGCTCCATGGACGGATGGATGGATGGATGAATAAGAATAAAAGGGGGAGAAAGGGGAACATTGAGAAAATGAGGAGGGAGAGAGAAAAGAAGAGGGGAGGGAGGGAGAGAAGGAGAAGTAACTCAGGTTGTCCTGCTCTATTCCTTGGCCCGTGCACATGCTCACTTATCTTTACACACTGTCTTATTTCCTATGGGATCCATAGTCACCAGATGTCTGTTAAGGTGACATTTTATTTTGAAGGCAGTCTAGACGCCTATTACTCCAATTTTCTGCCATTGCCCTGTTTTCTTCCTACTCTTCCTCCCTTGTTTGTCTCATCCACGCTCATGGCTTCTCTTACTACTTTTCAGCAGAAGCCTTCCAAGTCGCTTCCTCCAACGCCAGCCTCTTCCCAAAGTTGTGGTCCTACATGTCTAGTTGTACCACATGGTGGTGCTCAAGAAGAGAGAAACTTGGATATGTTTTTCTGTTACATGTTCTGGAAGCTCTAACCGCATTCCCTCTTCTGTCTTCTGCATCGTGCTACAGTTCTCTGGTTATATTCTATTTAGGCTCTCGGTAGCTGTCTTGAGTCAAACTTCAGAGGAGGAAGGGCTTTTCTAAGAGGGTGAGGGAGTCATAATCTGAAAGTAACAACAATAATGATAATACTTGTGTGGAGGTTCTCCTCTGGTAGGATCAATACTAGACACTTTAAATGTTACCTCATTGTTTTCTTTTTTTGAGACAGGGTCTTGCTCTGTCACCCAGGCTGGAGTGAAGTGGCATGATCATAGCTCATTGCAGCCTCAAACTCCTGCACTCAAGCTATCCTCGTGTCTCAGCCTCCTGGGTAGGTGGGACTGCGGGCACGCGTCACCATGCCCAGCTATTTTTTTATTTTTAGTAGAGACGGGGTCTTGCTGTGTTGCCCAGGACGGTCTTGAACTCCTGTGCTCAAATGATCCTCGTGCCTCAGCTTCCCAAAGTGCTGGGATTACAAGCCTGAGCCACCACGCCCAGCCCTGTTACATCATTTAAGCTTGATCCTCACAACAATCATAGTAGAAAGGGCTTATTATCTTTATTTATAAATAAGAAAACAGGCTTAGAAAGGTGAATTCACTTGCCCAAGGTCACACAGCTAGTAAGTGGAAGAAACACCAGGATTCGAACTGGAAGCTGAGCTGCTACTGTAGAGCTGGAGCTCTTAACTGCTATGTTGTATTAATCCAGGGAATGAAGACAATGAGGTCTCTGCCCCCAGGTCTATATGGTGTTTGGGGTATGACAATAAGAGAATCATCTAGTGAAAAATGCTGTGGGGCAGTGGTGTCTTTAGGTGAACTAGGTAAAAATAAGGAATGATACCTAGTTCTCTTGTATTGCTACAATTAAGAAAAGGAGCTGGAGTGAACACTGAAAACAAAGTGGGAGGATATAGGGGAGATTTATTTAAAGTATGAAACAAAAAGCCAGAGTGCATTCAAGAAAAGAGTTGGGCAGAGTCAGACATAGAGAGGAAACAAGAAAATAATAGCCAGAAGTTCCTGCATTTGGGGCAGTATTGAGATTGACAGAGAAATGAGGCTTGGTGGCATCTGCTGGTCTAAAGATACCAAACAGAGGAGACTCTGATTAAAATTGGTCTGTGCTGGTACACCAATGTTCTGGAAGGTGCTGGCAGCCTACTGATTAGAGGCAGGTGGAAGTAGCAGTGGCCAATGCTCAGGGTTCAGGAGTAAGTGTCAGTGAAAAATTGTGATAGTGTTCTCTGCAAAAGAAGCAGACAGTTCCTAGGGCAGTATTTCACAGACACGGAGGCACAAACTCTATCTTGTGTTCCTATTGCCATACTGTTCCTGATATATCTTAGGAAGGCACCATATACATAGATCATTCTCATTTGGAGGATGTCTGGAATCAAGAACAAGAGCATTTGCCAGAGTGCTCCAGTTAAATGTTTGCAAGAGCCAATTTGTCATTCCACGAAGGGAACAAGGAAGATGTAACCTCGAGAGGATTAGAAAGGCTTTTTACCTGGTTGGGGAGAAAGTATAGAATACTTACGAGAAAATAAATCAAATCAGAAGACAGACCTCAGAGGGGAAGTGTCTGGCTGGATGTGGGAAGGGAGAGCAGAATGTGAGCACATTTTCTGGGACATGTGATAGCTGAGGAGAGGAACTTCTTAGGCATTATAGTCCACTGCAGCATGTGGATACAGAGATGGAAAAGGAAGCTGTTTTTCATTAAATGAGATACATGGAACAAGAGAAAACAGGCCCTAAACTCCATCCCCAAATGTGTAAGGCCAGTACTGGTGGCCCCAGACAAAGCTGTTACTATCCCTTGGAGGTCTTTGCTTCTTGCACAAGAGACCTTGTCAGCACCCTTACTGGCAGGGCAGCAACATTGGCACCAGGCTCCCATATTTGTTCCAAAGAATTGGGTACCACCTCAAAACTGGGAGGCTAAGGGGCTCTGGGGACAAACAGGATAATGGCAATTTGTGACAACACAATAATTATACATACCTTCTCTTTCCTTCCTCCCATCTGCCACCCCCACTTCCTTGCCCTTAGCTTAGAGGGAGGGACTTGTTCGTGTATTAGAGGCTGATTGGCTGCTGTGGGGGAGATATGAAATGGCAGGCTTATCATCAGCTTGCATCCTGATTGTATTTCCGATCATCCTAGCACATGATGATTTACAAGTTAAATTCAATCTCTGAAGTCAAACCATCTAGGTTCAAATTTCAGTTTACCACTTACTATCTGCGTGTGTCCTTGAGCAAGTTACTTAAACTCTCTGTACCTCAGTTTCCTTATCTGTAAATGAGAATAATAATAACAGCACTCTCTTCATTGGATTAATATATTAAATAAACTAGCATGCTTAGCACAGGCCTGCTCATCAACAGCTCGTCCGACAACAGAAGGAACAGAAGGGATTAACCCCAGTCTAACTACAGATTATGTTCTGTATAAAAAGTGTTTAATAAAAGTTAGCTAATATGATGATGATCTCGAGAAATAGACACCTGATTCATTGCTACTTAAAGCCTCTCATAGTACTGATCAACATAAGCATGTAAGAAAACTGCCCCGGATAAGAAAGAGCCATGCAAAAGAATTAGAGGGAACAGTACCTGGTACTTTCACAAGACTAGCAATAATGCCTATTCTCAACTATCAGACTGGAAAGTCTCTCAATTCTCTGAGCAATATACAAAGTGCTGAAAAGAGATTTACCTAACTAGTGGAGAGTAATGGGTCCTAGACTAAACACAGCTTTGGTATCATCTAACAAAGCTTAAAAGCAAGACCCCAAAGTATGAAACTACAAGCGACTTAACTGCATCCCAGAACAAAGCTCAGGAAAAATTATGAGATTACAAAAATATTCGGCACTCAACAAGCTAAAACTCATCATGTCTTGGCATCCAGTTAAAACCTAGCAAACAAATGAAGAACCAAGAAAACATGACAATAACAAGGAGAAAAATCAGTCAACTGAAAATGACCCAGAATTGACAAAGATGCTTAAATTAGAAGAGAAGAATATTAAAAGTTATAATAACTGTAGTTCATATGCTCAAAGTCAAGTCAAGACATGGAAGATACAGAAAAAATGCAAATCAAACTTCTGGAGATGGGCACTACTATATCTATGATGGAAAATGCACTGGATGGGATTAACAGTGTATGAGACATTGCAGGAAAAAAGATTAGTGAACTTAAAGACATGGGAATATAAGCTGTACAAAGAAAAAAATGTAAGAAAAATGAACAGAGCAACAGAGAACTATAGGACAATGTCACACAGCCAAATATATGTGCAATTGTTGGCCCTGAAAGAGAGAAAATAAAGGAGGGAGGGACAGAAAAAATATATTTGAATAAATAGCTGCTGAAATCTACCCATAATTGATAAAAACTTTTAGCCCACACATCCAAGAAGCTGAACACACACCAGGCACAAGAAACGTAGAGAAAGCTACACTAAGGCACATCACAATAACATTTTACAAAACCAGAGAGGAAGAAAAAAACCTGAAGAGCAGTCAGGAAAGATGGAGAGGCCACACGTTGCATACAAAGGGACTGAAATGAGGATGACAGCAGATTTCTCATCAGAAAAAAATGCAAGTGAGAAGACACTGGAGCAACATTTTTGAAGTACTAAATGAAAAATACTGCTAACCTAGAATGCTATGCCCAGTGAAAATGTCTTTCAAAAATGAAGGCCAAAAAGAAGGAAAGGGGAGCAAATTCATGAAGCCAATAGAAAACATAACACAAGATGGTAAATTTAAACCTAACCATATCAATAATTACATTGAATATAAATGGTCCCAACATGCCAATTAAGAGACAAAAACCACCAGACTGGATAAGAAAGCAAGACTCAACTCTATATTGCCTATAATAAACCCACTTTAAATATAAAGACACAACATAGCGTAAACATAAAGGTGGGGGCAGTATACCAAGCTAAGACTAATCACAATAAAGACGTAGTTGTTACATTGATATCAGACACAGTAGACTTCAGAACAAAGAATATTACCATTGATAAAGAAGACCATGTCATAATGACAACTCAGTGAATTTATGATGAGTAGATAACAATTCTGTGTTTGTGCACCTAAAAACAGAGCTTCAAGATGCATGAAGCAAAAATGAATAGACCTACACAGAGAAATAGCTGCATCAACAATTCTCGACAAAGATTTCAATGCCCCTCAATATATTGCTGGTGAAACAAGCAGACAGAAAGTCAATGACAATATAGAAGACTCGAGCATCACTATTACCAACTTGACCTAATTGTCACATGTAGAACCCTCCACCCCACAACAGAAGACTATGCATTATTTTCAAGTGTATGTGGAACATTTACCAAGAGAGACTGTATTCCGTGCCATAAAACAAGTCTCAGTACATTTTAGACAATTCCAGTAACACAAAGTGTGTTCTTCAACCACATACAATAAAATTAAGTTAGAAATTAACGAGAGCGTTATTCAGAAAATCTACAAATATTTGGGAACCAAATAATGTGCTTTCAATTACCCTATGAATCAAATAAGAAATCATAATGAAAATTAGAAAGTGTTTTGAACTGACTGAAAAGGAAAACACAACATATCAAAATTTGTGAGAGGCTGGTTAAAAAAAAAAAATGACTCGGGAAATTTCGTAGCAGTAAAAACACCTCTATGAAGAAAGGTCTCAAGTCAATGAGCTCAGAAAACATGTTAATAAATGAGAAAAAGGAAAACAAATTAAATTAAACAGAACAAAGGTAATGGTAAGTGTCAGAGTAGAAATAATACATCCTCACCTGTCAGGGGAGATACCATGAGCACAAAGGTGGTTTTCCTAGATTGAGGCTCATCTATTGCACCCTGAGTGTGCTGACACCCGATATTTCCACAAACAGGGGAGACTCGACTGCATAATTTGTGTACATGGGGGACTGAGTTCGCACTTTCCCTGATAAAATAAAAACAAAGAAGTCAACGTAATACAAAGCAGAAAAACAATAAAGAAAATCAATGAACCCCAAATCTGGTTCTTTCAGAAGAGCGATAAAGTTTATAAACCTCTAGCCAGATGGATCAAGAAAAAAAAAAAAAAAAGACTGAAGAGACAAACTACCAATACTAGGAAAAAAGAGAGATGGCATCCCTATAGATCCTATGTTTATTAAAATGGAGAAATTTGAACAATTTTATGTCAACGGATTCAATAACTGAGATGAAATGGGGCAATTCCTTAAAAGTCACAAACTACCAAGGCTCATCCCAGAAGGAGATCATCTGAATAACCCTTTATCTAGTAAAGAAATTTAATTGGCAATTAAACACTTTCTTAAGAAAGAAAGAAAACCTCAATCATAGATGGTTTCACTAATGAATCCCTATATGAAACCATATGGAATTATATAGAAGTATGTAAACAGGATCACATACTTCTTGAATCATTCTACGAAGCCAGAATTACATTGAAAAGAATGAATTTGGGCCTCTACTTCATCCTGTATACAAAAAAATTACCCAAAATCAGTCAATGACTTAAATACAAATGCTAATAACAAAAAACTCTTTAAAGAAAACACAGCGGTAAACTTTTATACCCTTGGATTAGGCAATGGATTCTTAGATATGACACCAAAATCATGAGCAACAAAAGAAAAATGATAGATCAATTAGATTTCATCAAAATTGAAAATGCTCATGCATAAAGAACAGTATAAAGTAAAAAAAGAAAACATTCTATAGAATGATAGAAAATAGTTGCAAATTACGTATCTGACAATGGTTTACTATTCAGAATATGTAAAGAATTCCTATAGCTCAACACAAAAAAGAAAAGCAACCTAATTAATTTTTTAAATGAGCAAATGACTTAAGAGACATTTCTCCCACTAAGCCCATGAGATGATGCTCAATATCATTAGTCATCAGAGAAATGCAAATGGAAACTACAATGAGATACCACCATTAACACTTTACATACACATCTATAATTAAAAAAAAAACTTTTCTTGAAGCAAATAAGAAGCATTGGTAAGGATGTAAAGAAGTTGAAATTCTTGCACATTGCAGATGGGAATGTAAAATGGTGCACCTCTGTGGAAAAGCTTGCGGTCCCTCAAAGAGCTCTTTTCATAATGTATACAAAGATCAAAACGTTATATTGTACCACATAAACATACATGGCTATTATATCAATTAGAAATAAATTTTAAGAGTTAAACATAGGATGCCTTATGACCTAGCAATTCCACTCCTAGGGAAATATACCCAAAATAATTGAAAATAGAATCTGAGACAGTCAGTTTCATGCTAATGTTCATTGCAACAGTATGCACTATAGCCAAGAGTTGGAAACAACCAAAGGGTCCATCAGCAGTTTAATGGACAAATGAAATACAGCATGTGTATGCAATGGAATATTATTCAGCTGTGGAAAGAAATGAAGTTCTGATATGTGCTACAACATGGATGAACCTGAAAAACTTACTAAGTGAAATAAGCCAGACACAAAAGGAAAAATATTGTATGGTTCCACTTATATGAAATACCTAGAATAGGAAAATTCATAGAGACATCAAGTAGATTAGAGGTTATCAGGGGCTAAAGGGAGGAGGGAATGGAGGGTTATTGACCAATGGGTACAGAGTTTCCATTTAACGTTTGGAAGTAGTGGTGATGGTGTCACAATGTTGCCAATGTAATTAATGCCACTGAATTGTACACTTAAAAAGGGTTAAGATTGCAAATTCTATGCTACATATATTTTACTACAATAACATTTTCCAAGGCCTGATGCAGTAGTTCATGCCTGTAATCCCATGTACTTGGGATGCTGAGGCGGGAGGATCACTTGAGGCCAGGGGTTTGAGACCAGCCTGGACAACATAGCAAAACGCTGTCTCTACAAAATTTTTTAGAAATTAAAAATCTTCCAAAAGGGAAACAGAAAAAAAAATCCAGGACTACAGGAGGAACAATCCATGCCCCGCACCTCCCTTACTGCTGTCTTTTAGAACATCACAAAACCCAGGACGGCACTGGGAAACCCTAAGCCACAATTCATAAATAACACTTGGCAGCAATCTTCTTTAAGTACCATCATGACAGCTGCCTCTGAGGCGGCTGCTACATTTCCTGTCTCCCACCTCTGCTTCTTGGGTTACAACTTTACCCTCACAACCTTTCTTTCCCACTCTGCCAGCATACTGAATATTTCTCACCAATAACTTCCTTCCAATCCACCCATCCCGGTGAAAATCTTCGGCCTACATTTATGTTCCTATCTTACTGACCAATCTATGTCTAGAACAGGACTCTCAACACTGTGCTGCTTTAGGTCATACCTCAAGCTTGACAACACTGTTTGAATAGTGAGTCTGAAATATAGGAATTGACTGGGACAAACACACTTAATATTAAGTCTATAGTTTGCCTTTATTTGGTTCTGTGTGATCATAGGCAATGTACCACTCTGAGCTTAGCAACCTCATTGATAAGATAGCAACAGCATTGTCTTCCTCCAAGAGTTATTTTTCAGGATTAAATAAGACTAACATGTGGAACATATCTAGTACATAATAGAATCTAAGTAAATTTTAGTTACCTTCCCCTTCTTCATAACATGTTATTACCAGAAACTGGGATGTTGAGGTAGGGGTTGCCTGCATTTCTAGCATTTTGAGGATGACATCAGGCAGACAAACTTACCTTCAGACATGCTAACATTCATGCCTCTGCCAAGCACCAATCTTGGGATGAAGGGAGGATGGTTTGGTCTTATTATGGCAACCTTCTGTTCTTCTGCACTAAAGGCCATTGCTATTTAGAAAAAAAGAATCCTCCCGTGAAGAATTTTGTAAATTAACTACTTTACAGTTTCAAAGCAAACAATTACATCTTTTGAGTAAAGCTGAGTTTTAATATATCTTATATATTGAGCTTGCTTAGAGTAAGACACAGCTCTAAAATAGAGGACCACAATATCAAGGAAGTGGAATTACCCTTCTTCCAGGCAAGGAGTCATTTATTCATAAATGTATCCATTCAACGTGTATGATATGCCACTATGAGCCATTCCTGGAGATATAGAGATGGAAAAACCATGGTTCCTGCCCTCAAGGAGCCCACAGTCTAGTAAGGGAGACAGAGAAGTAATTAGACAACTACAATACAGTGCACTAGGTGTTGTGAGTGAGAGGAATTTTAGGAGCAGGTTGGTAGGAGGCAACACCTGAGTTGTCTTGAAGTTCATGTATGAGATATAAAAACTCACCCCATTGCTATTATTATTTTTTCTAGGTTTGCGTATACATATATAAATTCATAGAAAAACATCTGGAAGGATCACACCAAGCTAGACATTTAAAGTCAACAAGTACTTCCTAAATCCCTACCATGTACCAGGTACTTTTTCTAGGCGCTTGTGACATATCACTGAACGCAACAGACCAAGATCCCTGCTCTTGTTGGTTGAGGATTATATTTTAGCAGAGGGAGATACACAGTAAAAAATAACTTACATAAGTAAAATATATATTGTATGTTGTAAGGTGATAGGTGCTATGAAAGAAAAAAGAAAAAGTTTAGTAGAGATAGAGAATACTTGGGAAAAGGTAGTCAGGCTGCGGTATTAAATACGGTGATCATGGTTGACCTCCTTGAGATGGTGGAAGTTGAGTAGAGACTGGAAGTAGGTGAGGAAACTAGCCAAATGAATATCTGGGGAATAGTGCTCCAGGAAGGGCAAAGAATTAAAGAAAGGCCCTAAAGCAGACATGCGGTTGACATGTTGGAGAAACAGCAAGGTCATTAACGCTGGAGCCGAGTGAATGAGGGATAGAACAGGAGGTGAGGTTACAGAGCTAAGAGGAAAAGTATGCTGATGAAGAAGGCAATTTCATTTACAACAGCCATGAAAAACCAAACACCTAGAAATACATCTAATGAAGGAGGTGAGAGGTCTGTACAAAGAGAACTAAAAAACACGGATAAAAGAAATCACAGACAATGCAAACAAATGGAAAAACTGTTTGGAGGAATCAATATCATTAAAACGGCCACACCACCCAAAGCAATCTATAGATTCAACACAATTCCTATCAAGTTACCAATGTCATTCTCCACAGAATTAGAAAAAAACCTATTCTACAATGTATATGGAACCAGAGAAAGAGCCAGAATAGCCAAACCGATTCTGAAAGAATAAAGCTGGAGGCATCACATTACCAGACTTGAAACTATCCTACAAGGCTACAGTAACCAAAGCAGCATGGTATTGGTGCAAAAATGGACACATAGAACAATGGAACAGAATACAGAACCCCAAAACAAAGCCACACACCTACACCCAACTGATCTTTGACAAAGTTGACAAAAATAAACCATGGGGAAAGGACACCCTATTCAAATAGTGGTGCTGGGATAGCTAGCTAGCTACATGCAGAAGAATGAACCTGGACCCCTACCTCTCACTATATACAAAAATTAAGTCTAGACGGATTTAACATTTAAATGTAAGACCTCAAACTATAAAAATATTAGAAGAAAACCTAGGAAAATTCTTCTGGACATTGGTCTGGGTAAAGAACTCATGACTAAGACCTCAGAAGCAAATGCAACAAAAACAAAAATTGACAAGTGGAACCTAATTAAGTCAAAGAGCCTCTGCGTAGCAAAACCATCAACAGAATAAACAGAAAACCTACAGAATGGAAGAAAATATTTGCAATCTGTGCATCTGACAAAGGACTAATATCCAGAATCCATAAGGAACTTAAACAAAGCAGTGAGAAAAAAACAGTCCCATTACAATGTGGGCAAAGGACATGAACAGACACTTTTCAAAAAAGCAAACAAGTGGCCAAAAAAAATATGAAAAAAATGCTCAGCATCACTAATCATCAGAGAAATGCAAACCAAAACCACAATGAGATGACATCTCGCATAAGTCAGAATGGCTCTTATTAAAAAGACTAAAAATAACAGATGCTGGCAAGGCTGAGGAGAAAAGGAAATGCTCATAGATCATTGGTGGGAATTTAAGTTAGTTCAGCCACTGTGAAAAGCAGTTTGGAGATTCCTCAAAGAACTAAGAGTAGAACTACCATTAGACCCAGCAATCCCATTCCTGGACATCTACCCAAAGCAAAAGAAGAAATCATTACATGAAAAGACACCTACACTTGTATGCTCATCGCAGCACTATTGACAATAGCAAAGTCATGGAATCAAACTAGGTGCCTATCAATGGTGGATTAGATAAAGAAAATGTGATACATATACATCACGGAATACTATGCGGCCATAAAAGTAATGAGATTATGTCCTTTGCAGCAACATGAATGCCTCCGAAGGCCATTATCCTAAGTGAATTAACGCAACAACAGAAAATCAAATACTGCATGTTCTCATTTATAAGTGGGAGCTAAACAATGGGTAGACATGTACACAAAGATGAAAACAATAGACAGTGGGGACTCCAAAAAGGGGGTAGGGAGGAAGTGGGGCAAGGGTTGAAAAACTACCAATTGTGCAATATGTTCACAATATGAGTGATGGGTTCAAGAGAAACCCAAACCTCAGCATTATGCAATATATCCATGTAACAAACGTGCATATATACCCCTTGAACCTAAAATAAAAGTTGGAAAGAAAAAAAAATTTAAAGATATATAATAATTGTGTGCTTTACTCTGTCTATGGGTGAGGGGTCATGCAGGATTTTGATAAGAGAAATGCTGTATTAGCTAATGTTTTAATATAATATGATGTCATATCTTATCGCTCCGACTGCTGTGTTGAAGACAGGCTTTGGGGAAAGAAACAAGCACAGAATCAGGAAAACCACTTAAGAGGCTTTTGCAGTAATGTAAGTGAGAGATGACATTGGTTCAAACCAAGGTGATATCAGCAGAGGTCATGAAAAATGGTAGCCTTCTGGATATATTTTGAGGTTAGAACCAGTCGGACTCCCTAAGAGTTTGCAAATGCGTGGGAAAGAAAGAGAGGAGTTAAGAATGACTCCAAGGATTTTGGCTTTAATTACTGGAAGAATAGAGTTTCCATCAACTTAGATGGGAACACTGTGGACAGAGTCGTTTTGGAGGGGATAGATCAGGAATTTAATTTTGACCACACTAAATTTGAGATGTCGGGCCTGGTAGCTCACGCCTGTAATCCCAGCACTTTGAGATGTCTATTTGACATTCAAGAAAAGATGAGTAGGAAGTTGAATATATAAACCTGGAGTTCAAGGGATACGTCTGTTCTGGAGTAATGCATTTGGGAGTCATTGTCGTATGGATGGTATCTAAAGCCTGAGACTGAATGAGAGCACCAAGCAAATGATTGTTCTAGTTAGAGTAGTAAAAGGCGATTCAAGGAGTAAGCCCTGGGGCATTTCAGTATCAGTAGATTGGGAAGGAGGGAAGGGATCAGCAGAATAAGAAAGAGCAACTGATGTGGAATAGAAGGAAAACTAGGAATGTTTGGTATTCTGAAAGCTGACTTGAAGGGATGGGTTGCCCCTCCACACCTGTGGGCATTTCTCGTTAGGTGGAACGAGGGACTTGGAAAAGAAAGAGACACAGAGACAAAGTATAGAGAAAGAAAAATGGGCCCAGGGTACCGGCGTTCAGCATACGGAGGACCCGCGCTGGCACCAGCCTCTGAGTTCCCTTAGTATTTATTGATCATTATCGGGCATTTCCCGGAGAGAGGGATGTGGCAGGACAATAGGATAATAGTGGAGAGAAGGTCAGCAGGTAAACACATGAACAAATGTCTCTGCATCATAAACAAGGTAAAGAAAAAAGTGCTGTGCTTTTGATGTGCATATACATAAACATCTCAATGCCTTAAAGAGCAGTATTGCTACCAGTATGTCCCACCTCCAGCCCTAAGGCAGTTTTCCCCATCTCAGTAGATGGAATATACAATCGGGCTTTACACTGAGACATTCCATTGCCCAGGGACGAGCAGGAGACAGATGCCTTCCTCTTATCTCAACTGCAAAGAGGCATTCCTTCCTCTTTTACTAATCCTCCTCAGCACAGACCCTTTACGGGTGTCGGGCTGGGGGACAGTCAGGTCTTTCCCTTCCCACGAGGCCATATTTCAGACTATCACATGGGGAGAAACCTTGGACAATACCTGGCTTTCCTAGGCAGAGGTCCCTGCGGCCTTCCGCAGTGTTTTGTGTCTCTGGGTACTTGAGATTAGGGAGTGGTGATGACTCTTAAAGAGCATGCTGCCTTCAAGCATCTGTTTAACAAAGCACATCCTGCACAGCCCTTAATCATTTAACCCTGAGTTGACACAGCACATGTTTCAGGGAGCACAGGGTTGGGGGTAGGGTGACAGATTAACAGCATCTCAAGGCAGAAGAATTTTTCTTAGTACAGAACAAAATGGAGTCTCTTATGTCTAGTTCTTTCTACACAGACACAGTAACAATCTGATCTCTCTTTCTTTTCCCCACACAGAGTGAAG
The DNA here is from genome assembly GCF_000001405.40 of Homo sapiens. Classification (NCBI taxonomy): domain Eukaryota; kingdom Metazoa; phylum Chordata; class Mammalia; order Primates; family Hominidae; genus Homo; species Homo sapiens. The sequence continues at coordinate 72,733,174 of NC_000023.11, read as the reverse complement.
AAAAATCAAAGAGGGAGCAATTAAGTGAGTCAAACGCTGCCAATAGGTCAAATAAAATGAGAAACGGGAACTGACCACTAGCTTAGCAAATTGTAAAAAATGGGTGAAGGGAGATCTTTCAGACAGAAGGGGTAGCATAATTGTGAGAGAATGCACAGTGATTTCCGGCAACTGCAAATAATTGAAAACAGCTAAAGCATAAGAATATAGCAGGGACTGGAAAGGAAAGCAACAGATGGATACTCGCAGCCTGGATCACAATGTCACACTAGACATTTTGGATTTACCCTAAAGGCTATGAGAATCCACAGGAAAATTTTATGTTAGGGAGTAACCGAGCCAGATTTGGATTTAAAAGATCAATTAGGCAGTGGTATGAAAAATAAGGAACAAATCTGAAGGCAAAGAGACTAGTTTAGAGGCTGTTAACAATTGTCTGTGGAGAAACTCAGCCAGTGACCATGGGGATCAAGATGGGAAGGTGACTCAGATAAATATTTAGGAAATAGAATCTATAGGACTTAATGACAATTTTGACATGTAGGAAGGCAGTGTTAAAGAGACGAAGGTGTCACAAATGACTCAGGTTCTGGTTTGGGTAAGTGGGTAGGGAGCGGTGCCATTCACCCAGGAACCCTTGAGAAAGAGCAAGATTGCCAGAAAAAAAAAAAATCACACACTCACAAAGCGCAGAAAGCAGCCTAGTATCTTAGACTTAGTGCATTCTCATTTAGTCCTGTTAGGAAGGTGGAAAAACAGGCTTAGAGAGATTAGGTAACTTACCCAAGGTTACACAGCCAGAAAGTGAGAGTCCAGATGAGAACCCAGTTCCCAACTCCAAGCCTACTGTTCATTCCACTTCTCCAAAACTGCTGTGAGAAAAACTTTGGGACAAGGAGAAAGAGTATTTTTTTAAATGAATAGAGAAGGCCAACAGGTGGAGAAAAGAGGTGGTTGTCGGCTTTTTAGGGCAGGTTTCCTAAATATATTTTTTTCTCTGAATCTGCCTGGATGGAAGATACAGAAAATACAAATGTTTACTAGCAACACATTTGGTTTTATTAAATTGAATGGTTTGTAATGTAAAGTAGGGAAGACACCAAGGTGGTGCTTTTTCAGAACCTCTCAATGTCTTGTTGGCTTGTCTTCATCATCTTAAGGTTATCCACAATAACTAACTACTGATGGGCCCAGGGGTAGTACTGAATGGTCCATGCTCTGGTGGTATTCACAGTCTAGTGAGGAAGATAAACACAGCATTACAATACAAGGTGTTCAGAACATCTAGCAACATCGTTTCTTTAAAAATAAACTTTTTATTTTGGAATAATTTCAGATTCACAGAAAAGTAGCAAAGGGTACAGAGAACTGTCTTATACTCCTTATCCAGTTTCAGTTTCTCTTAATGCCATCATCTTACATCACAGTAGCATATTTATCAAAAATTAAGAAACCAACATTGGTACCTTACTTTGAACAAAATCCCAGACTTTATTTGGATTTCACCATTTTTTTTAAAAAGTTCTTTTCCTGTTTTGCAGTCCAGTCCAGGGTTCTCTGCTGCATATTGGTTGTCCTTAGCTCCTTAGTCTCTTCTGATCTGTGGCAGTATCTTGGTCTTTTCTAGTTTTTCAGAAAGTATCAATTTGAAAAAAATATTTTATATGGTATATACATATAATATTACTATATATAGCAGATTGAACCACCTTGATTACCTTTGCTCAGGTATATTAAAGGAATAGGTTTATTTGGTGAAAATCAGACATAAAACACCTGAGGCAATGCATCACAGATTATTGTGTAAGGATTGCAGGAAATGCCACATTAACACACTGTGTTATTGTAATTTCTGCATAGGACATTGAACTACACAATACCAAGGAGAAATAAACATTGAACATATCTGTGTTAGCCCATTCGCATTGCTAGAAAGGAATGCCTGGAGTATGGGCAATTTATAAAGAAAAAAGGTTTATTGGCTCACGGTTCTGCAGGCTGTACAAGCATGGCATCCACATCTGTTTGGCTTCTGGTGAGAGCCTCAGGAAGCTTACTTTCATGCGCGTCTGTGTGAAGAGACCACCAAACAGGCTTTGTGTGAGCAATAAAGCTGTTTATTTCACCTGGGTGCAGGTGGGCTGAGTCCGAAAAGAGAGTCAGCGAAGGGAGATGGATTATCATTAGTTCTTACAGGTTTTGGGTTAGGTGGTGAAGTTAAGAGCAATGTTTTGCGGGCAGGGTGGATCTGACAAAGTACATTCTCAAGGGTGGGAAGAATTACAAAGAACCTTCTTAAGGGTGGGGGAGATTACAAAGCACCTTCTTAAGGGTGGGGGAGATTACGAGGTACATTGATCAGTTAGGGTGGGGCAGGAACAAATCACAATGGTGGAATGTCATCAGTTAAGGCTGTTTTTACTTCTTTTGTGGATCTTCAGTTACTTTAGGCCATCTGGATGTATACGTGCAAGTCACAGGGGATGCGATGGCTTGGCTTGGGCTCAGAGGCCTGACACTTACAATCATGGTTGAAGGTGAAGGGGGAGCAGATGCATCACCTAGTGAGAGAAGCAGCAAGACAGACAGTGGAGGTTCCGCTCTTCTTAACAACCAGCTATGGTGTGAACTACCAAGGGAGAATCCATTCATTACCATAGGGAGGGCACCAAGCCATTCATGAGGGATACGCCCCCATGACCCAAACACCACCCACCAGGCTCACTTCCAACACTGGGGATTATATTTCAACCCAAGAATTGGAGGGGACAAGCCCCCAAACTATATTAATATCATGCATTATAATGTAATGCCAACAAATCATTACTATGGGTAATTGCCTATGTTTCTGAGCTTTATCGCTACCCTGTATGATGTAGTGATTTGTCAATTGAACATAATACCAATGAAAATATCAACACAGACGTTTTTTTCATTAGACAAGCTCATTTTAAGTTTATATAAGAAACAAATAAGCATAAATGACCAGGAAATCCTGAAAAAGAAGAACGTTTTAATGTCTGTAGTTTTACAGACATTTAAACTGTAAAACGACAGACATTAAAACGTTTTAAAGTGTGTTTTCACTTATACGTAGGTGCTAAATGATGAGAACACATGGACACATGACAGGGGGAACAACACACACTGGGGTGTGTTGGAGGGTGGGAGGTGGGAGGAGGGAGAGGATCAGGAAGAATAGCTAGTTGATGTTGGGCTTCATACCTGGGTGATGGGATGATCTGTGCAGCAGACCACCGTGTTTACCTATGTAACACATGTTTACCTATGTAACAAACCTGCACATCCTGCACATGTGCCCCTGAACTTAAAATAAAAGTTGGAAATAAAAAAAATTTAAAAATAAGGCCGGGCATGGTGGCTCAAGCCTGTAATCCCAGCACTTTGGGAGGCCGAGGCGGACGGATCACTAGGTCAGGAAATGGAGACCATCCTGGCTAACACGGTGAAACCCCGTCTCTACTAAAAACACAAAAAATTAGCCAGGCGAGGTGGCGGGCACCTGTAGTCCCAACTACTCCGGAAGCTGAGGCAGGAGAATGGCGTGAACCCGGGAGGCAGAGCTTGCAGTGAGCCGAAATCACACCACTGCACTCCAGCCTGGGCGACAGAGCGAGACTCCGCCTCAAAAAAAAAAAAAAAAAAAACTTAAAAAAAAAATTAAAAAATAAATGACAAGCACCTGACCAAGAACGTCATTCTATTATTGCTCTTGTGTTAATAATAATTATTATTACATTACTGTGTTATTCATTAACCTAATACACTACATTGAGAATAAAGGGGAGAAAACAAAGGATGAAAAACATTTTAAAGCTTTGATAATTAAAAGCAAAGGGTAGTGTCACATAACTAGAAATACAGACCAATTAACAGAATAGAATATCCATAAGTAAAAACAAATAAATATTGAAGTTTGGGATATGATGAAGATGTCATCTTAAATTGGTTGGAGAAAAGGTGAACAATTCAGCAAACTGTTGTGACAACTAGGTAGCCATCTGAAAAAAATAAAGTAGATTCATGCTTCACACTGTACATCAGGATAAACCAGAGAGGAATCAATTATTTAAATGTAAAAAATAATAATAAAGAGCATTCAAAGGAAACATGAAAGAATTCCTTTCTAACCTGAGTTTCAGGGAAAGCCTTCCTAACCACGATTCAAGATTCAAATGCCATAAAAGATGCTCTAGAATTAGATAAAAGACCAGCAGCCCAGTAGAAAAATGGGCAAGCCTCATGAACAGACAAAAGGTAGAAAAGGAAAATATAAATGGCCCCCAAAGACGCTCATCCTCATAATAAGAAAAATGCAGAGAGCAGCCCAAGATGGCCGACATTGAGGACTGAGTGTTGGATGAGAAGAAGGTGTGTATAGCTGCTAAATTCATCACTCATGCTCCCCCATGGGAATTTAATGAGTATTCAATGATGTTTAATACTTAATAATGACACTCTCCTCAGCGAAGGGGCAGCACATGCATTTGCCCAGCATAACATGGATCAGTTCACGTCTGTGAAGACAGAGAAGGATATGAAGATCAGGTCTTAATTGCAGAGCACTCTAACCTAGGTAATAGCAGATTTCTAGATCCAAGAAACAAAATTTCCTTTAAATTTGATCACGTATGGAAAAAAGCAAGTGACCCCCAGCCACAGGAAGTAGATGGAGGTCTGAAGTCTTGGAGAGAATCCTGTGACCCTGCTTTAAAAGCCTATGTGAAAGATCATTATTCCAGCGGCTTCTGTACTGTTTATGTTAAAACTATAGATGGGCAACAGACTATTCCTGCATGCATTGAAAGCCACCAGTTTCATCCTTAAAAATTCTGAAGTGGTCATTGGAGTGGAAGGTCATCATCATACCTCCTACAGCCCAGGTGGCTGGAGTGCTTAAGATTCACTATTATGAATATGGCAATGTTCAGTCGGTTAGTCATAAAGATGTACAGGATTCACTAACTGTTTCGAATGAAGTCCAAACTGCCAAGGAGTTTATTAAAATCATAGGGAATGCAGAAAATGACCATCAGACAGCAACCAGTGAAAACTATCAAACAATGTCAGATACCACATTCCAGGCCTTGCGCCGGCAGCTTCCAGTTACCCGCAGGAAAATCGACTGGAACAAGATACTCATCTACCAGATTGGCAAAGAAATGCAGAATGCTTAAAGGCTGAATGTAGAATTCTTCAGTATGAGGAAAGACAAGGATTCAACATGTGGTCATACGATAAATAAGTGATTTATAAACAAGAGTGATATTTTGCTAGGGCTTTCAAATTTAACAGGTTTTCTAGCTTCATAGAATACTGTAGAATCTATAGCATGGTCTTGATTCTTTTAAGCTCTCTGCCTTGTAATTTTCTATTATCACTAGATCTACATGTAAATCTTTTTTGGTTGTCGTTAATTCTGCTACACTTAATGTTGGAGAGGAGATCTATTTTAGAGTCATTTTACTTTTCAGAAAGTTTTCCTGGGCCATGAAACCCTGTTACTGATTTGCATAAGATATTATGTTCATTACTTTCTACCCCTATCCTTTCAAGCACTTCTGGTAATTCAGTGGTTTTTACTGATCCACCAACAGCTAAAGAGGCTACGCTATGAACTATAGCTAAATAAAAGACACATTCATCCTTCTCCTTCTGACTGCTTTGAACATTTATAGCATCTCATAACTGTAGTTTTCCAAAGCTTGGATTGGAACTTTTCAAGTCCTTTTTTGGAGGACAAAGGAAGTGACAGCTTTTCTGAGAAACATGTTTTTAAATCCAAAGGCTTTAACCACATTCCTTGCACATGAACATGTTTGCTTTTTTTTCCCTTCCCTCATTGTCTCCTTCCCATCTAATACCATTGAAGTTATAGACATCTGCATTTTTAGCAGAGTTTTATCCATTCGTTTTTAAAAACTTGAAAAATGCAGATGTTGAAGAAATAATAAGTATCCTGCCCTTTTATACTTTGTGGCAGGATTGTGCTATAAGCAAATGAATCAAGCAACTATGTAAATCATAAACAAAAACTAAAAACGAACCAAAGTAAAAAGGATAACTTCCAGGTAGCATCTTTCTATTCTAACCTGTCATTTAAGGGAATACTAGTGATTTATTCTAAACAGGATGTAAAACTTACTCCAGATTACTCTTCCTCTGTCCCGCCTGGCAAGAACTCAAGTATAACTGTGGTATAGCAGCTCTTCCCAGGTATACTGGTTATACACAGGTTTGTGTGTGATCTCAGAATACACAGCCGACATAGATATGATATGATAATTGGTAATGGCAAGTTCATTTACATTCTTTACACTTCTATGACCAGGCCTTAAGGAAAGAACAGTTTTTTAAAGAACCAGGTAGTGTCTTCCTACCTATCTCCAAATACATGTCAAAAAATAAGGGTGTTTGTGCTTTGACTTTGTTTTTGCTCAGTAACACAGTCAAGCAACAGTTTGTTTCCAAGTGGCCCATTGAGCTGTGTAAGCATTTTTGTTTATTTCAAATAAAGTGCATTGGTATCATTTGTTATTCATGCTATGCATCCATACCACGCTATCTTCTGTATCAGGTAGTCTAACAGAAATGTACCCATGTTGTTAGAAGAAAGAAAGAAAGAAAGAAAGAAAGAAAGAAAGAAAGAAAGAAAGAAAGAAAGAAGCAAAATACAAAGATTGGCAACCACCCCCAAAATTAATAACTCGTTTTATTACCAAAGCTGTGGAAAAGTAAACACTCTCATACATTCCTAATGGGTAGTATAAACTCCAATAAAGGGCAATTTGGCATTATCTATCAAAACTAAGAATAAGGGCTATACTTTCAGGGGTAATTTCTATAGTTCATTACTAGAGTAGTTTCTCTGAATGTGTAGGGTGCCAGAAACCACAAGGAGGAGGCACAGCATTCTCTAGTGAGTGTGAAGCCGGCTGTTGGTGTTGCTTCGCTGAAACTGCCATTTGCCACTGATAATCGTTCTTCTTTTCCATCAGGAGACTAAGAGGTAGAAAACGCAGTCTGAGTGGTATTTAAAAAATTACAAATACATAATTTTCCATAGAACCAGCAATTCAATTTTTGAGTGTTTGCCAATATATCTGAACACATATAAAATATGTACAGTGTTCTTAATTTCAGCTTTTTTATAACAGCAAAAGATTGGAAATGATGCAAGTATCTCTTAACAGCATACCGGTTAGATAATTTAAGAATCATTCATACAGTGAAATACTATGACATATAAAAGAATGAGGAAACTTTATTTGTACCAATATGAAAAGATCTCCAAGATGTATTGCTAAGAGTAGAAAAATCAAGGTGCCAAACACAGTATAATACACTATGTAAGAAAGGAGGTAAAATAAGAATGTATATGTTACATAAAGAACCCTGAGGCTGGGCACGGTGGCTCTCGCCTGTAATCCCAGCACTTTGAGAGCCCAAGGCAGGCAGATCATGAGGTTGGGAGATTGAGAACATCCTGAACATCCTGGCTAACACGGTGAAACCCCGTCTCTACTAAAAATAAAATAAAAAAAAAAAAACCTAGGCGTGGTGGTACGTGCCTGTAGTCCCAGCTACTTGGGAGGCTGAGGCAGAAGAATTGCTTGAACCCGAGAGGCAGAGGTTGCGGCGAGCCGAGATCGTGCCACTGCCCTCCAGCCTGGCCAACAGCGAGACTCTGTCTCAAAAACAAAACAAAACAAAACAAAACAAAAAACCCTGAAAAAAATATGCATTTACAGGGATTAACTGATTGGGGGAAGGTAGGATGAATTGGAAAGACAGGAGAGGAATAGGAGCAAGACTTTTCACCCTATAACTTTCATTGTTGTTTCAGTTTTTGAACCATATGAATGTATTACTTATTCAAGAAAAGGTGAGCTAAAATTAAAGATGAAACGGACATTTTAGGCAACGATAACTAGCTGAAGAAAGAGGGGTTGTTCAATGAGTCCTTAAAGAATGCAAAAAACTTTGTCATGTTCGAAAGAATAGAAATACTGAACTATGTTACATGTATTAAAGCATTAAAACATATGTTACATGTATTAAAACGTTACAGTTAAGTGTACATATTAAAAACAAGGGCAACCACCAAAACAACAGCAATGCAAACTGTAGTTTCTAAGCCAGTGTAGGGAACAAAAGGGAATATAGAAAGCATTATCAATCCTACAGAAGGAAGGAAAGGAAAAAGAAAGTTTTAAAAAATGGTAAAAAAGATAATACAAAACGAGATGGTAGAAAACCTCTCCAAATATGGCAATCAATACATTTAAACATATGGGATCCATCAACTAAAAGGCAATTATCAGAATACATATGCACATGGCTATTTGCTGCAGCATTATTTATAACAGCAAAAGACTAGAAACAACTCAAATGTTCTCTTAATAGAGGTCTGGTATGTCCACAAAATGAGGTACGATGCAGTTTTGAAAAGGAATAAAGAATATCTCTACGTTCTCTGAGGGAGTGATGTCCAAGATGTGTTGCTTATTTTGAAGGAAGCAGGGTGGATAAAAGTGTGTATAATATTATACCAGCTACATAAGGGAAGAGAAATAAATAAATAAATGTGTGTGTATATCTATATATATATATAATTCTATATCTTCCTTTATATATATTTGTGTTTAAAAATATAATATATATTTGTATTTAAAAGGGAAAGATAAGCCACAATATAAAGAAAAGTGATTACCTATAGGGGGTGGGAACAACTAGCATAAAAAAGCAGGGAGAAAAGCTAGTCTTCTTTTAGTATACCTCCTTCTGTAGAGTTGACTTTGGAACCATGTAAGTATATTACACAATTTTAACATAACTTTGTAGAAAAGCAATTCTAAAACAATAGGAAGGATAAATACGATTTAGTATTTGATAGCACAACAGAGTGACTATAGTTAATTTAATTGTACATTTTAAAATAACTAAAAGAATGTAATTGGATTACTTGTAGCACAAAAGATAAATGCTGGAGGTGACGTATACCCCATTGATCCTGATATGATTATTATACATTGTATGCCTGTATCACAATATCTCATATATCCCATAAATGTATACACCTACTATGTAACCACAAAAATTAAAAATAAAAAATATTAAGTCAAAAGCAAAATGAAACAAATGAACCTGTGTATCCAGAAGCTAACATAATCACACATAAAGTAACTTTAAAACACAACAACGTTGATGTATATCCTAACAGGATACATCTTAAGGTAGGGACAAAAATATCTGCAAAAGAATCTTAAACTCTTTGTAGTAATCACATTTTTGGTGGCATAGCTGGTATTGTTACTCTGAAACTGTTATCTGTATATGGTAGGATAACACAGATGAGTGAGATGATAACAGATTGTATGTTGTTGTCTTGAGAACCAGGATTTTATTTGTGGGAGAAAGACGATGCAGATTGTTGAGTTGAAGTAAAAATTCTTTAATCTTGAATCTTGATTGGAAAGATCATAATGACCAGGGCCCAGATTTTTATTTCCAAACACCATTTCACAATAAAAGGAACCAGGGATCCTAGGAGAAATGCTGATGTCTAGTCTGGGGGCAGGAAATGGACAAGTAGAGCCTCCAACATCTTGGAGTCTCAGAAAGCAAGGAGGCTATCACAGACCAATAAGGTTCTGTCAAAAGGACACAGTAGCCAGGGTGTAGAGGCTCCCAGGGGCCAAAGTCCCACTGGACAATTTGAGCATCAATAAGGAGAATAACTGTAATGGATTGAAATACATCAAATGTTTACACCTATATGCTTATGATAATACTGGGAAAAAATTGGTCACATTTGAAAGATGATAGGGAACCAACTCATTATTTTGGAAACCAATAAATAAAGGGAAAGAGGCAAGCATTTATCCTGCCTGTCCTATGCAAACTGTACTGGTAGGTTCCAAATAGCAGATGAAGGGAAGTTTTCTTTATTTAAAAAAAGTCAGCTAATAAATGAATATAGAATGATAGGATATCACTATTCTGCAACTCATAATGAATTAAGGGATGTAGCCGTTAAAGGACAACCAGATATTATGTGTCTCCAGATGGGAGAACTCCATATACCCTATGAGCAGTCTAGCCAAGGTAATTGAACCTGAATCTGATTAAGCCTCTAAGGTCAAGCACCAATTTGTAGGAAATACAGAAGACAGAGAAAGTGTTAAATGGTACCATAGAAATGAAATCCACAAAGTTCAACTGGGGAAACCCTACAGGACAAACAACTTGATGTATTCATCACATTCCTAGGAAAAAAAGGAAAAATAAGAAGGAACCCCTATGGCTCAAAAGACTTAAAGCCTTAAGAAGCATGTCAATCAAATGTGATGCATGGACCTTATTGGCTCTTGATTCTGACAATCTATAAACCTCTCTATCTCTCTCTCTCTCTCTCTCTCTCTCTCTCTCTCTCTCTCTCTCACACACACACACACACACACACACACACACACACACATGCACATACACAAGCATTTATGAAACAGTCGGGAAATTTGAACAAAGAAAGGATATTTGATAATATTAAGAAATTGTATTTTAGGTGTAATCATGGGTGCATGGTTATATTTAATAAAGCTTTCTTAATTTTGTAGGTACATAATATTTACATTTGGAAGAATACACAATCTGGGATTTGCTTCAGAATAATATGGGAAAGGAGAGGGTGAGAAGGTATGGATGAAGGAAACAAGATTGGACATGAGCTGACAATTGTTGAAGCAAGGTGGTAGGGTTCACTGTATTGTACATTCTATTTTTGTAATGAAATATTTTTTAAAATTTTCTACTTGTTAGGTCACAAAGGAATACAAAAATGAGGATATAATTGATCAGTAATATTAAGAGCTGGTCTGGGAAAAGACTAATAAAATAGACAAATTTCTTGGTATGTTCATCTTATAAAAAAAGAGAGAAGGCACAAATGAAATACATCAAGAATACAAAAGGGGACGTGATTCAGATTTAGAAGCGACTTAAGAATTACATGCAAAACCTTGCACAACTTTATACTGACAAATTTTGACCTCCAGAGAATACTTTGCGATATCTGGAGGCATTTTCATTGTCACAAATGGCAGGGGGCAGGGGAGGGGGGTGGGGCAGGGTGCTACTGACATCTAGTTGGTAGAGGTCAAGGATGTTGCTAAACATTCTAGAATGCACAGGACAGCCTCCCACAACCAAGAATTAGCCAGCCCAAAATGTCAATAATTCTGAGATTGAGAAGCCCTGAGCCAACTTAAATTGGCACGCTTCTAGGAAAATATTAATTATCAAAACTGGCCCAAGAAGTGGAAAATCTTGATAATAACCTCGACTCTCTATTGCATTGTTCTTTGCAATAACCAGAGAAGAAATTGAAATGATTTTCAAAAATCTAACTGTTCTCAAAAAGGCAGCAAGTGAGTGAGTTCTACCAGGTAAGTTTCACCAAGACTGAAAGTAACACATAATTTTCATTTCATCTGAACAGTTCCAAAGAAAAAGATGGGAAACTACCAAAGCCATTTTACAGCCAGGCATAATTTTGATACTGAAATGAAACAAGGACTGGTAAAAATAGAAGGCTATAGGCTGACATAATTTAAAAACAAAGGTTTGAAAATTATAAATAAAATATTACTAAATTGCATCTAGTGTGTATTAAATCTAGTGTGTTTATCGTGATCAAATGTGGTTTAGCTTAGGAATAAAAATAAGGAAAGGTACTGATGTAATTCACACATTAGCCAAGTAAAGGAATAAAACCGTATAGTTTTTTCAATGCATGCAGAAAAAGAATCCAATAAAATTCAACATTCTTTCAAAATGATGTTAATAATAAAGTTTTAGGAAGCCAAGGAGAAAAAGAAACTATTTTAATGTGATAACGGTGTCTTTTGGAAACCTACTGCAGACTTATTTAATTGTGAAATATTACACCTAGTCCCATTAAAGTCAGGAGCAAGAAGTGATAACCACTATCCCCACTATAAGGGTCATTAAGATTTGAAAGACAAAAGCACAACTGTTACTCTTAGCAAATCATATGACTGTCTATCTAGAAAACCAAAAAATATTACCCTCAAACCACTGGATTTAATGTAAGAGTTTAATAGAGAGTGGATATAAAGTAAACATACAAAAATCATTTCCCTATACATAATAATAATCAATTAAAATATAACAGCGGAAAAAATACCAAGAAATAAACTTAACCAAAAAATGCAAGACTTTCATGAAGAAAAATATAAAGTTTACCGAAAGAAATAAAAGAAGCTCCAAATAAATAAATGTGCATTTTTTTGTAGACAGGAAAGCAAAACACTGTCAATATGTCAATTCTCCCCAAACAAATCTACAAATTCAATGCAATCAGAATAAAAATCAGAATTTTCAACTGGACATGGTGGCTTTACACCTGTAATCTCAGCACTCTGAAAGGCCTAGGAGGGAGATCACTTGAGGCCAGGAGTTCAAGACCTGCCTGCACAATATACACCCCACCTCTACAAGAAAATTAAAAAATTAATGGAGCATGGTGTCATGCACCTGTAGTCCTAGATACTTGAGAGGCTGAGACGGAGGATTGCTTGAGCCCAAGAGTTCAAGGCTGCAGTGAGCTATAATTGTGCCACTGCACTCCAGCCTGGGTGACAGAGTGAGACCCTGGCTCCCCAAAAAATAATTTCCGTAGAACCTGACCCGATGATTCTAAAATTCCAAGGTAGTACAATATTGGTGAAGGAATAGAAAAACAGATTGATGGAACAGAATCATGGGTATGCTCAAAGCAGCATTTCAAATCAAGGGAAAAGAATTACTCAATAAATGGTGTTAGCGGCCGGGCACGGTGGCTCAGGCCTGTAATCCCAGCACTTTGGGAGGCCGAGGCGGGCGGATCGCGAGGTCAGGAGATTGAGACCATCCTGGCTAACACAGTGAAACCCCGTCTCCACTAAAAATACAAAAAATAGCCGGGCGTGGTGTCCGGTGCCTGTAGTCCCAGCTATTCGGGAGACTGAGGCAGGAGAATGGCGTGAACCCGGGAGGCGGAGCTTGCAGTGAGCTGAGATCGCGCCACTGCACTCCAGCCTGGGTGACAGAGCGAGACTCCGTCTCAAAAAATAAATAAATAAATAAATAAATAAATAAATAAATAAATAAATAAATGGTGTTAGCATAACTGGCTAACCATTTAGGAAAATATTAAGCCAAATTTATGCCTAGACCCATTTAGAAAAATACAGAAGAATTAAAAGTTACAGATAAAAAGCACAACAATAAACGTATTAGATAAATGATCATTTATTGATGATCTTGGGGGCAAGAAGACTTTTATTTATTTATTTATTTAGAGAGAGAGAGAGAATCTCACTCTATCACCCAGGCTGGAGTGCAGTGGCATGATCTCGATTCACTGCAACCTCCGCCTCCCGGGTTCAAGCGATTCTTGTTCCTCAGTCTCCAGAGTAGCTGGGATTACAGATGTGCGCCACCATGCCCGGCTAATTTTTGTACTTTTAGTAGAGACAGGGTTGACTTTATTCATTTCTTAGGGCTGCTGCAACACATTACCACAAACTGGGTGGCTTACAACAGAAAATTATTCTCTCACAGTCTGGTGGCCAGAAGTCCTAAATCAAGGTGTCAGCAGGATTGGTTCCTTCTGAAAGCACTGAGGGTCAATCCATTCCATGCCTTTTTTCTAGCTCCTGGTGGCTGCTGGCAATCCTTGGTGTTCTTTGGCTAGTAAATGCATCACTCCCATCTCCACCTGGGTCTTCACATCACTACCTTCTTCTTGTGTGCCCTGTCCTCTTCCTATAAGGATGCTCATCATTAGATTTAGGGCCCGGTTGGAAAGTCTGACTGGATTTCATCTCCAGATCCTTAACTACAGCTGCAAAGACTCTTTTTCCAAATAATATCGCATTGGCAGGTTCTAGGTGGACATATCTTTTGTGGGGGTGGAGGGCACTGTTCAACCCACTCCAAAGGCCTTTTAATTTAAGACAAAAGGGAAAAGATTCATCAATTTGACTTCATTCAAAATAAAAGCTATATGAAAAAAGGCATCATAAATAATGTTAATAGACAAACCACTTATGGGAAAACATGTGCGGTATCTCTTTTACATTTATTTTAGAGAAAAGGTTAAAGTCCAGAATATATAAGTTGTAAAAATTGCTGTAACTCAAAAAGAAAAAGACAAGCAACCCAATAGAAAAATGACCAAGTATATGAGCAGTTCTGTTAGGGAAGCGAGAGCCTAGGAGAGCCAGAGTAACACCATTTTAAGTTCAGGTTCATCTTGAGATGAACAAGGCCCATTCCTTGCCAGTCACGACCCACATTCATAATATATTTACAGCTGAGGAAACAACCTAAAGACACCTACAAGGGGACACTCCTATAACAGTGGAAAGTCTCAATGTCCCAACACCCATAACAATACACATTTTCAAGATAATTATAGTTATGCTTTGATGTCTTCACACACTAAAATGTCAAGGATAGTTTTCTTTAAATCAATAAAACAATAAATTTTGCCATGCTGTCTGCTCACTCTCACATAGACACAGCTTGGTTTAGTCTTTACGTGGACAAGACTGCTACATAAGAAAAACTTAAGACAAAGACAGTGCGTTCATCTGCCTGCTTTCTGAGGACATCCTACTCTGTAACAGAGCAGTTTCTAGTAAACTTGCTTCCTTCACTGTGCTGTGTGACTCACCTTGAATTCCTGCACGAGATCTGAGAACTCCCTCTTGGAGTCTGTATTGAGACCCCTTTCTGGTAACAGTTTTTAACCAGAAGAAGAAATAAAATGAACTAAATAAATAAATAAACATAAATTAAACTAAAATAAACATTAAAAGTGATCAATGACATTCATATTCAAGAAAATAAAAATTAAAAGATGCCCTATATTTATATCAAAATTTAAAATGCACATTTCCAAAACACCTCTATGCATTCACAAGAAGACATATATGTATGCTCACTGAAGTACTGTTTTCAGGAGTTCTAATGGGGAAACAAACTAAATGCTTATCAATAAAGGAATGCCTATATAAATCATAGTTTATGAGGTAACTCTATGTAATAACAGGACTAGATCTTCATGGTATAATTTTGAGTGAATAAAGAAATATGCAAAATGTAGGTACAGTATAATACAGTTCATATTAAATGAATACACAGAAAACAACACTACATATTTCATATGCAGTTCTACATATATATGTAAATCCATAGAAAGAAATCAAGAAGGATACAAACCAACCCAATAGCAGTGGTTACCTTTGGGAAGGGAGATAAAGGGGACTGTGACGGAGGGTGATAGACATACGGAACTTTAGTCTAATCTTCAATATTTCAAAATTTTTCATTGAGAATGCATTCATATGTTACCTGTATAATCTTAAAAAAAATCTTAAAAAAATAATTCTTAAACAAAGTGAATGGGAAATAATGAAAAGGAAATAGTGTATGGACTATTTTTTTCAAGACATTAAATAATGAATTATTTTTAATTATGATGAGAATAAGCAAACTGTAGAACATCTACTAGAAGGAAGATTAGTACAGACATTAATGTAAAATGCAAAATGCTTATAATGTGAAGTTTTAAACTTTATGAATTTTAAGAAATTGGTATGATGAAAAAATTTCAGTAATATAAGGGAGCAACAAGAAAATTGTCTCAGGAACTTGGAAATACAATTTTATTTGAGAGTCACACTATAAAGTGAATGTACAATGAATCAAAGAGAAAAATCACCTTCATGAAACATAATGCCTTCCACTGGCAAGTCTTGTCTATAAGTCGTTTGATGATTTTGACATATGTAAGGAAAGAATGTGCCAGTAAGCCATGGAAGTGGAGAAAAGAGAGAATCAGTGAGGCCAACATGGACACAGCAGACTTGTCAGTTTCTCCATCTTTCCAATGGGATTAGCAATAGTGCCTACTTCATAGAGTTAGTGTACAAAGCAAACAGCACCTGGTATGTAGTGAGGCTGCACATTATTAAAGGGAGGGAATGTGGTGGTCAGGCCAATATAAACGGTGTCATAGTTCTATTTCTCATTATCAAACAGCATCCTGGTTTTCATACATCAGGCTCCCGTGAGGTAATCAGCACGAGTCAGCCTCCTGACTCTGACTGGTTCTGGGACACTGAACAGATCCAGTTTCCGAGACTGCAAGACTCAAAGTCCAGCCTGGACCGAGGTTGAAAAAGCACCAAGGCAATGCCATCCAGCAAGACCTCTTGATAGCCAGCCAGTAGTCTTTTGTAGTGACACCCTACCTTTGCCATACCTAATCTACTCAAACTTCTAAATAGCTTGAAGGGGAGTGGGGAAGGTCTATGCAGAAGAAATAAAAGAGCTGGAAAAATAAATTAAAATATTAACAGGTGTTTGTGCGAAGGAATTATGGGTGATTTTAGTATTTTCTTTGTTTTACTTTTCTATACTTTCCATGTTTTATTTAGTGTGTATTACTTTAATATTTAATATAAATATATTTAAGATTTAACATAAATATAAATATTTAATGTTTCATAAACATGTTTAAATCATGGTGAAGCGAAGAAAAAGAGAGGCTCTAGCTTGAAGGAGGCACAAGGGTGGAGAAACGGCTTCTGAGGCTACAGCTGAGGGGAAGATGTCAGCGAGTTAGGGGCAGAGCAGGGATGATCCAGATGCTAGTTCAAGTTCGAGACCAGCCTGGCCAACATGGTGAAACCCCGTCTCTACTAAAAATACAAAAATTAGCCGGGAGTGGTGGCAGGCGCCTGTAATCCCAGCTATTCGGGAGGCTGAGGCAGGAGAGAATAGTTTGAACCCGGGAAGTGGATGTTGCAGTGAGCGGAGATCGCGTCACTGCACTCCAGCCTGACCGACAGAGCGAGACTCCGCCTCAAAAAATAAAAATAAAAAAAGATGCAAGTCCAAGATGCACTTGCTTTCCATGGAGAGACTTTTTCTTCCACTGTGCACCTAGATTTTGAAGTGGCTTGTTATTTGCCAGTCATTGCATTTGCGTGGCGAATCACTGCAATGGAAAGCATCTCCTTGAGAACTCTAAGTGTGTCACGATATCTAACTATATCACTGGCTGTTGAACCTGAAAGTCCCATATTTGAGTTCTTAAACATTCCCTCCTTCCTCATCATCATTACCAAATTACTAGTCATCTCCTAGGTGCCTGCCTCTATGCTAAATTGGGCGGAGGTTTTGGGGTGGAATGGAGGGAGCTTATGAGGAGAGAAATAAAAAGATAAACGAAAATGCAAAGTCACCGTGGCCTGGATGAGGTGGCTAAGGAAGGTTTAGAACTTGAAGTCAATCGGTCTAATTTTCTTATCCCGCGATTCAGGGAATAGGTGGTACTTAAGCAGAGCCTTGAAAGGTTTGCAAGGTTTGAATAAGCAGAGAGCAACAGGTGGGGGATGGAGGGAGGAGCCGGAGATGAACGGAGCAAAGGCACTGGGGTCCAAGCCGGGCCGCCCCAAGGGTTGCAGACTGATTCCACGAGGCCAGTAAGCAGCGTTATCTGCAAGCTGCTGCCTTTTTTTTTTCTTTTTTTGAAACGGAGTTTCGCTCTTGTCTCCCAGGCTGGAGTGCAGTGACGCGATCTTGGCTCACTGCAACCTCCACTTCCAGGGTTCAAGCGATTATCCTGCCTCAGCTTCCCGAGTAGCTGGGACTACAGGAGCGCCCCACCACGCCCGGCTAATTTTTGTATTTGTATCGGCGGCGGGGGAAGCGGGGGGGGGGGTTTCCTCCATGTTGGCCAGGCTGGTCTTGAACTCCTGACCTCAAGTGATCCGCCCACTTCAGGCTCCCAAAGTGCTGGGATTACAGGCGTGAGCCACCGCACCCGGCCACTACAAGCTGCTTTTATTATTTTATTTTTATTTTATTTTTTTTGAGACGGAGTCTTACTCTGTCGCCTGGGCTAGAGTGCAGTGGCACGATCTTGGCTCACTGCAACCTCTGCCTCCTGGGTTCAAGCGATTTTCCCGCCTCAGCCTCCCGAGTAGCTGGGATTACAGGCGCGCGCCACCATGCCGGGCTAATTTTGTATTTTTAGTAGAGATGGGGTTCCGCCATGTTGGCCAGGCTGGTCTCGGACTCTTGACTTCAGGTGATCTGCCCTCCTCAGCCTCCCAAAGTGCTGGGATTACAGGAGTGAGCCACCGCGCCCGGCCTCCAAGCTTCTTACGCAGCCTTCCTTCTCCACTTTATTTTCAGCTGAATATTTGTTGCCTCAGCCTTGTGACCTACGTGCGCACGAGGGAGCCATCCAAAGCAGTTATAGGATCTCTTCCAGCTCGAGTCCTGCCAACGCCGCCTTCTGGGGCTGCCAGCTCCCAGCTGTTCCCCGCACTGGCTTCCTCAGAGTGCACCACTGCCTCCTCCCTCCCAAGCCCGCAGACTCGCCAGTTACTAAGGAGTAAAGTACCCTAGGGAGTTCCTGTTTGGTTGGTCTGGCTGGAAGTGAGGCGTGTAATCTGAGCTTTTAAAGTCAAAATCTAAAATACAATAAAGACCCAGA
This sequence comes from Homo sapiens, assembly GCF_000001405.40. Taxonomy (NCBI): domain Eukaryota; kingdom Metazoa; phylum Chordata; class Mammalia; order Primates; family Hominidae; genus Homo; species Homo sapiens. Next base: position 72,714,576 of record NC_000023.11, on the reverse strand, counting down.
AATCCAAGTCTTCAGACCTGGAACACAAGCGTGTCTTTCAGTTTTGAAGTTCACTGTAGGTTCCTTTATAAAACTAGTCCTGTAGAACGAAGGAGAGCCTCCCCAACATCCTGTGTGCACAGCAAGTGTGGAAAACTGAAATAGTGATCTGAGGTGTTTCGAAAATAAACCTCGGAAAGCACATTGCCTACGGTGACACATTCTCGGCCCCGGGGCGGGCGAGCCCCGGGGTCGCAGCGCGCAGCTGCCAGAACCAGTCGCGCCCGCCCCGCCTCCCGCTCGCGTCTCCCGCAAGGTGGAGGCGGCGCAGCGGTCGTTGACCTGTTGGCGGCGGCCGGGCGGGAGGCTGTGGGCCGCGGCGGTCTCCCGGGGTTGAGGGGAGGATGCAGGAGTCACACGCGGAGGCCGGACTGGACTAAGGGGGCAGGAGCGGCGCCTGGGGCGCTGCGGCGGGGCTCTAGACCGCGGGAAGCCAGTGCTAGCGCTGGCGCGTGGTGGGCCCCTGAGGCCGCCGGAGTCCGGAGAGGTACGCGGAATCCGCGGCGCCAGGCCTGAGCGGTGGGAGGGCTCTGCGGGGCCTGGTGTTCAGGCGTCCCACCACGAGGGTGGAGCAGCGTTGGATACTTGTTCCTTAGGGACCGAAGGCTCCGGTGGCACCCGGGCTATTTCTCAGAGGACAATTAGTAACGTGTCGCCATGAGGAGCCGGAGTAACTCCGGGGTCCGGCTGGACGGCTACGCTCGACTGGTGCAACAGACCATCCTGTGCCATCAGGTAACTGCAGGGGTGTCTCTCGTAATCACCGAGCGAGGATGTAGCTTGTCATAGCTTGGACGGAGACCTTGGATGAACTCCGTGCGTGCGTGCGTGTGTGGGTGTGTGTGTGTGTGTGTGTGTGTGTGTGTGACGGAGACCTTGCATGAACTCCGCGTGTGTGTTTGTGTGTGTATCTGTATCTGTCTGTAGCAGGTTCTCCCGCCCCTGTTAATTATATATTTTTTCTGCTGGTTTTTCATTGCTAGTTCGCTAGTTCATTCTAACTAGAAAGGTAAAACTTTCTTTTAATAATACCCATTATAAATGCACTTAATAATACCTTTAATTGTGCCTTTAATAATACCCACATTTCAGACTCGAAAGGCTTCAGCCACCGCTTACCCCTTATTCAAGATAGTATTTGCAAAGGGCACAAAGTTTCAGTTATAAGATGAGTAAGTTCTGGGGATCTGATGTACAGCAGCATGGTGACTGTAGTTAATCATACTGTACTGTATACTTGAAATTTACTAAGAGAGTAGATCTTAAGTATTCTCACCACACCAAAAAAAAAGGTAGCTGTGAGGTAATAGATGTGTTAATAAACGTCATTTTGGTAATTTTCCAATGAATACATAAATCATCATGTTGTACTCCCTAAATATACACAATTTTTAATGTGTTGAATATAGCTCAGTAAAGCTTGGGAAGGTGGGAAGATAGCATTTGCCTGCAATAGGTCAGAAGAAGAGGAGGTTATAAAACTCAAGAGTGGAGAAGTAGAAGAAAGACCAAAGTCCCTAAAAAACCCATTTGGAAGATTCTGTTTCCTGATGTTAACACCTATGGTTACCTTCCTGCCCTCTTTTTCTTGACCTTGCAGAATCCAGTGACTGGCTTGCTTCCAGCCAGCTATGATCAGAAAGATGCTTGGGTCCGAGATAATGTGTACAGCATCTTGGCTGTGTGGGGTTTGGGCCTGGCCTATCGGAAGAATGCAGACCGGGATGAGGATAAGGCAAAGGCCTATGAATTGGAGCAGGTACTCAAAATAAAAATACAAAGAGATCTGGAGCTATGTGTGATTGGGGGTTGGGGGCAGAGTGGGGACTGAAGGAAGTGAAACCCACCAAAAGCTAAGAGAACTGTATTTTGCCTTTCCCTCTTTCATCATCTTTCTGAAATTATATTCCAGAAAGCTTTCCTGTATTGTACTGAAGTGGTATTCTTGCAGTGGAAACTTGAAACTTGCTGATTTGAGGGAGAGGGAACAGTCTGTTCTGTTACAGTGGAAAATCCTATCCTGGGATCTTTCCTAAAATGCATGACTCTCTAAGTTAATCTATCTTGTAGTCACCACTGTATTTATTCTCATTGAGAAAATGTTTGGGAGCAGGTATCTACTATTTTATTTCATTTTTAAAAATTGTGGTGTTTGTATGAGGGTAAATGACATGAATCAGCAAACCTTCTGGACTAGACACAGTAAAGACTTTATCTGTTGATTTTTATAGCTGTGGCCACTGTTTCAGAGCCTGTTGCTTCCTCCCTCCCCCAACTCCTGGGCAAAATGAGGTCAGAGTCAGCAGATGCCTTTAAGCCAACTTTTAAGGCACTTCCCCTCAGTAAACCAGCATCCTTTATAGAACTGTTGAGACGCAAAGGTAGCTGCATCCTCTTCAACGACCAAGAAAATAATATTAAGAAAACAATATTCTGGGCTATGGTGGGAGTTGAAGTACTCTGTTGTCAGTTATAAGATGCATGTGCATTCATTTCCATTAGTGGGAAAAATTCTCTCTATACCAGCCATTTTCTCCAGTGGTCTCTCCAAGACTTAGGCAATCTGAGCTCCAGTCTTCATCTATAAATCAGAATATTGATATTTGGTTATTTTACGAGTATCAATATAATGTGGGGTTGCACTGTGTTGTCCTTAGCAACAGCAGGCATTTGTTGTTCTTTCAAGCCATTATTGAGAGATACATAGGTCCACCAAAAAAAAAAAAATTATTCAAGTTTTTGCTCCACACCAGGTAGTACAGATCATTATTTTTATGACTTTTTTTGTTGTTGTTGAGACGGAGTCTCACTCTGTCCCCAGGCTGGAGTGCAGTGGCACGATCTCAGCTCACTGCAACCTCCACCTCCTGTGTTCAAGCGATTCTCCTGCCTCAGCCTCCCGAGTAGCTGGGACTACATGCGCGTGCCACCACGCCTGGCTAATTTTTTGTATTTTTAGTAGAGACGGGGTTTCACCATGTTAGCCAGGATGGTCTCAATCTCCTGACCTTGTGATCTGCCCGCCTCGGCCTCCCAAAGCGCTAGGATTACAGGCGTGAGCCACCGCGCCCAGCCTTTTATGACTTTTATAAAAATACCATTGTAGAAATTTGGAAAATATAGAAGAGTGTTTAAAAAAATTCACCTGTAATCCTGCCCACTCCCCTCCCCCAAATCCTACATCCTACTCAACGTTTTCTAGTTTGAGCTCAGTGTTTTGTTTGTTGCTATTTTTACTAGAAATTAATATCAGTAGAATTGGAATTTCATATCTGGTACAATTTGACCAATTTTTTCAATTCTATTAGAAGAAATCTGTTATCTCCCTGTAATGTTAACACTTTTTCTTATTTGGCCCAGTTATAAAGAATTTAACAGGCCGGGCGCGGTGGCTCACGCCTGTAATCCCAGCACTTTGGGAGGCCGAGGCGGGCGGATCACGAGGTCAGGAGATCGAGACCATCCTGGCTAACACGGTGAAACCCCGTCTCTACTAAAAATACAAAAAATTAGCCGGGCGTGGTAGCGGGCGCCTGTAGTCCCAGCTACTCGGGAGGCTGAGGCAGGAGAATGGCGTGAACCCGGGAGGCGGAGCTTGCAGTGAGCCGAGATCGCGCCACTGCACTCCAGCCTGGGCGACAGAGCGAGACTCCGTCTCAAAAAAAATAAAAAATAAAAATAAAAATAAAAAAAAAAATAAAAAAATAAAAAATAAAAAATAAAGAATTTAACAGAGGAAGGGGGAATAGTAGGGAAACATTGAATTGCCCATTCTAAAATTTTAATATTCCATTAAATAATTTTTCACATAGCCAAAAAATACCTTTCATACCACCTTAATAGTAATTAGGAATGTTTCAAAACATTATAGCAATGGGAAACATCTTTCAAAAAGAAAAGATTTTGTGGGAATTTTTAAATTTATATGAACTTTCCTTATTAATTGCAACAGGTTTTTATTATTAGGTCTCAATTTTTTTCTCAAACCTGATTCAGTGTTAATCAAGGACCAGAAAATCATATCTTTTTTTGTCATTAGGGTTGTAGGTCACATGTGGTCTCTATCTAACTACTCAGCTCTGTGATTGTGGTGCAAATGCAGCCAGAGACAATGCAGTCATCCCTCAGTATATGTGCAGGATGGATTCCAGTACAGGCTGCTTATAACCAAATCTCTGCATACTCAAATTCTGCAGTCAGCTCTGTGGAACCCATCTATAAGAAAAGTCAGCCTTCCATATACATGGGTTTCTCACCCCTGAATCCTGTATTTTTGATCCGTGTTTGGTTGGAAAAAAGCCACATATAAGTGGACCTGCACAGTTCAAACTTATGTTGTTCAGGGGTCCCCTGTATATAAAGAATGAGTATAGTTATGTTTGAATAAAACTTAATTCATAAAAATAGCAATGGGCTAGATTTGTCCCTGATCTAGATGAGTGGTTCCAAACTCTGACTGTACTTTGAGAAGCTTTTTTTTTTTTTTTTTTTTTTTGAAGACTAAGTCTTGCTCTATTGCCCAGGTTGGAGTGCGGCGGTGCGATCTCGGCTCACTGCGATCTCCATCTCCCAGGTTCAAGCGATTCTCCTGCCTCAGCCTCACAGTAGCTGGGATCACAGGCGTGCACCACCACACCCGGCTAATTTTTTTGTATTTTTAGTAGAGATGGGGTTTCACCATGTTGACCAGGTTGGTCTGGAACTCCTGATCTCAAATGATTCACCCACCTCAGCCTCCCAAAGTGCTGGGATTACAGGTGTGAGCCACCATACCCGGCCAGGAATCTTTTAAGAAATACCCTTAGTACACCACAGCTTAGAACAATTTAAATATGAATCTCTGGAAGTGGAGCTCAGTAGCATCAATATTTTTAAAAAACTACCCGGGTGATTTTAATGTATAGCCAGTGTGAAGAATGACTAGTTATGGCAAAATATGAACATAGATTAAATCCAATAAATTCATAGATTAAATTCCCACCTACTGCAACTTTCTATTACTGTGTGGATTTTCCCAAAACATTGATTGTTAATTATTTCTACCCTTCCTTCCAATTCTTACCTTGGTTTCTTTCTGAGAAATAATGTCAGAGAATTGAAGAGAATTCTGGAAGAAAAGAGGACAAGGGTTTAGGCAACTACTGCATCCTAGATTGAGAGTAGAATTATGCACATGTATGTTTTTACAAATGTCTTTCTCTAAGGTATATAGATACAGTCTCATACCCATAGAAATATAGGCACACAAATAGGGATATCTCTTTGCATTCATGGTACCATCAAATTTCAGCTTCATCTCTGGGCCTCACTCCAGTTCTTTGTGCTAAGTTTTGTTCTTTTTGTGTGGTCATTCATTTTTTCTCATGACTTTAACTATTACCTTTATGAGAATGACTTCTGAGTCTTCATCTCTGACCTCACTTCAATTTTAAACCTAGGTTTTCATTTGTCACCTCATCAGTTTCATCTGCATATACTGTGGCTCCTCAAACTCAATGTGTCTGAAACCCCACCTTTCCAACTAAAAACAAACTACAAAACAATGGAAACTCATCAACAATCTCTTTTTCTGTTATTACTGTCTCCATTCTACCAACCACCCAGGCAATATTACTTGGAGTATTTCCCATAGTATGTTCTGTGGAATACTAGGCCAACTAAGTTTGGGACTATGTTAAAGAGCATGTGTCTTTACTCCATAATTTCTCAGAGCCTTTGATGTACTAATGTGCATATTTTGTCTAAGATGGGAGTGAATTTTATAGCCTTTCCAGAATCTCTTAGACTAGCACTCTATAAAACAGTGCTTGAAGTGTGCTACTTAACCTTAGAATGATTTTTGACTTCTCCCTCTTACCTTTTGATGCATGCACACCAGTCTGTTGATTCATATAATTTCTCTTGAATCTATCCCCTCTTTTCTCTTCCCTTCTGCCTCAACCTTAGTCTAAGCCCTTATTTCCTAACACTTCTGTGAAAACCACATTTAAATTATGTTATTTCCATCCTCGACAATCTTTCTGTGGCCCTCATTTCTCCACAAGTAAAGTCGAAACATTTTGGATTGATAGACAAGGCCCTCTATGGGTTGGTCCCAGCTTATTTTTTTCAATATTATATCACGCTGGTGCCCTCCATTATACCCCCAGTTCCAGCCAGGCTGATGTCTTTATTACTCCTCTAATCCCTTAATAAAAATACCTAACATTTGTATAAATACTTTCCATTGTACAACACACTTCCCCATAATTACCAGTATTTTATTCTCACAATACCCTGTGAATCAAGTATTATCCTCAATTTCCAAGTGAAGGGACTGAGGCCCAGAGATGAAGCTGGAATTTGATGGTACCATGAATGCAACCTGGGTCTTATGACTTCGGAATCAGTATTGTTTGAATTTTTGCCTCCGTGGGAGCCATAGACATTGCCACCTGCAAAAATTTTTATGGGCTTCTTCTTCTACCTGCCTATTCCCTTTCAATCTAAACTAATATCCTTTGAAAGCCTAGCACCAATCCCACTTTTTCTGTGGTCCCTGTCCTTCCTCACAGACCACTCACTTGTACAGTGATCACTTCTTTCTCAGGACTCCTTTCTTGGAACTTCTAGATCACTTACCATCTGTGCCATTCAACATCTTCATTTTTTTAAATTTAAAAGACTGTGTAATCATCATGTGCCAGGCCCTATAATAGATGTTAAAAAGAAAATGGTACAAAATGTTTATATGTAACCCTCAACTTTTTTTTATGGAAAATTTCAAACTTACAGGAAAGTTGCAAGAATAGTAAAATAAACATATTTGCATATACTCTATCTAAATTCGCTAGTTGTTAACACTTTGTCATATTTGCGTACCCACCCCTCCACACACACACACACACACACACACACACACACACACGATTTTTTGATAAGCCTTTTGAGAGTTACTTGCAGACATGAGTTTGTTTTTTAATTCAACTTCCTTCGTCCATTGACTTGAAGGTCTTTTTCTGAACCTGGCCTCTGCCCCTTTTTCTCAGGGAGTTCATTGTCTGATGGGGGAGACAGATATATAAGCAAGTAGTTACAGTACATTAAGATAGGTACTATAGGTACTGATTTATATATTTGAGATAACTACTAAGCTCTGTGGGAACACACAGAGGTGGGAATGTCTAAACTTCTTTGGGACGAGGCAAGGAAGACTTCAGAGAGGAGTTGGGTTTTAAAGGATAATTAGGAAATGCTGGGTAGACTATGCTGTAGTTAGTTTTTAAAACATATCTGTCCCATTTCCCTTTTCTTTATGTTCTACAAAACCTGATAGAGGTTCAATAAATATCTGATTGCACATATACCTGGGGGTAGAGAGAAAGAGGTACACAGATATGGTTGTGTAGTTATATATTCTTATAAAGTCAGTTCACAGATATATATTGATTTATGTCGTCAAAAAGAATAGGCAAGAGGGAGAGTCACTTGGTATGGGGTAGAAGCCCTGATGTATGAATGTACATGTATAATTAATGCCATCTAGCACACCTGGATCAGAAAACAGTTAGTTTGGGGAACACAGAGTACAGATACCTCCCATCATTCCTACCTCCCGATACTTCCTACTAATTTTATCTTGCCTTGGAAATTAGAACTTGAGGATAGAAATGGCTGACAATGGCCACTAATTGAGATCCTCCACTGAGTCCTTGATTCCCCAGATTTGCTGTTTAAAGAAAATTTAGATGGGAGTAGTGGGGCTAGAGGGTAAAGGGAGTTGATGGGTTTGCAAGAGAAAAGATGACTAAGGCAGTAAAATAGTGAAGAAGCCAATGACATGAGCCCAGGATTCTTACAGAATAGTATAAATGCTGAGTTCTATATTGGTCGACTAGAGGCCCTTAATATGTTTTTTTAAAATGAGTTCCTTTAGGCCATTGATATAAAGACAAGACTATTCAAGCCCCTCCCTCTGCTTCCCATTCTAATTCATTGACTTTTAGAAAAGACAGAATATGGTAGAAACCTTTGAGTATGTGGTGACATGTATCAGAATTGAATAAAGTTTCCCCACAGAAGAGGTTGTGTTAAATACTTTCCATAACAGGTATATTAAAGAGATGGACTCTTTCATTAGCATCAAAGTCATATAGATGTCTTCTTGTAGGGGTTACAGTAAGTTTCCTTGCTTTATAATAAATGTTTCAGGCTTTAAAATGTGACAAGATCATGCACTGCCTATTCTTTCTCTCTTTTTAAAATTTCTTCTTTTGATCTGTAAGGGGAGGGGACCATTTATAGACAGAAATGACTTAAGAAAGGGGACTCTCCCACAGAAACCATTTTTATTCTTATTTTTCCCTCAATAAAAGGCTTCATAAAGAGTTGGAACTTAATAGGTACTTATCCTTATCATGACTATTGCTTGTAGTCCCATTTGAATATGTTTTGAAGAAATAACAGAATCATGTGGCTTCCAAGTAGATTAGTTTTCAGAGGTGTCCTGAAGTTACCTCTGAGCCAGCATACCCTGGAGTAACCTGGTTGGATTTCTTTTGGACTGTGAAACAGAAAGCTTTTTGGAGAAATAGAGAAACTGTTCAGTGCTATGTTCTTCCAAAACACATTTCTACCCATGCCACGATTGATGGGCCCTTTAGTGTCATGTAGTATATAGTTGGTGATCAGAATTTTGAGATGTTATGATTGGAAAACAAACTACTTTAAATTATCAAGCCCCAGTAAGAGAAATAGTGATGACTTGAAACTTAAGAATTTGTGACTTTCTTTCAAGGAAAACGGGTTGAGTCAAATGAACAGATCCCCTTTATACTTATTCTTTATTAAAATTCACTTTATTCTTTAGAGGACATGTCCAGATAAATATTTCTGTGGACTCTTGAAGATAAGTCTTGGCTAGCTTAGAAAAAATGAAAGCAATGTTGTAGTGAAGTCTTTCTAGGCCATAGGATGTATTTTAGAATATCCTCAGAGCCTTAGGATTTTTGAGCTGACTTGCCCCTTTCTCCAGGTGGAATGTCCTCTAATAGGATGGTTGGCTTATTTTTACATAAACCAGTTGAAGCTTGGATGATTTTTTTGACTTGAAGGAATCATAAAGTGTAGCTTTTGATTCCACTTTTAGCTGTAATCTGCTCTTCTGTGTACCAATAAAGTAAATGTCATGTAAATAGGAACACAGGATAGGGTTACTTGTTCTCAAAAGGTCATGTACCATCTGCAGTTGCTGAGTAAGTGTTCCTGTATCTAGGGATGTTTATAACTGTCTTGTTTCCATTTATTTCTGCAGAGTGTAGTGAAGCTGATGAGAGGACTACTGCACTGCATGATCAGACAGGTATGGTATTGATAACACCTTCCTCTCTAATAAAAGCACATTGTAATAGTATCTCTACCCTTTAGGGAATGTTTATAGCTTATATTTTCTTTCAGTTTCACAAATAGTACACACTAATTTTAGAAAATTTTGAAAATTGGAGAGGGATAATGTCACCCATAATCTCACAATGTAATTACCACTGGAATGTTTCTTTCCAGTCTTTTTTGACCCTCTACAAATGATTTTCAATGTGTTTCATCATTACTGTACATGCAATTGTGTATGTAGGGTGAAAAGATGATACAGGTTTAAAAACCCTCATTTGACCAGGCACTGGTGGCTCATGCCTGTAATCCCGGCATTCTGGGAGGCCAAGGCGGATGGATTGCTTGAGTCCATAAGTTCGAGACCAGCCTGGGCAACATGGCGAAGCGTTGTCTCTACAAAAAATATAAAAATTAGCCGCGCATGGTTGTGTGTTCCTGTAGTCCCAGCTACTTGGGGTTAGCGGGGGTGAAGTGGGAGGATCACTTGAGCCTGGGAGGTCAAGGCTGCAGTGAGCCAAGATGGTGCCACTGCACTCCAGCCTGAAACCCAGTCTCAAAAACAAGTAAACAAAATGCACACACACACACACACATGCACATACACAAAACCCTCATTTGAAACCCTTGGGGCCATCAACTTTAGAATTTAAAGTTTTTCAGATTTTAAAAAGGCAGTACAGTGCATACTCCTGCCAACCTTTAATTATATGGTGTATGGTATATATACACCATATATTACCTTATGCCTTCTGCGGGTCTAGAACAGCACTCTATAATCAGAAACATTAATATCTCTGTAGGGAAACATGCAATTTCATACTAAGTAGAATAAATAAAGACTTAATTTGAATCTGGTGTTGCCAACAAATGAATTTTAATGCAAAATTTAGGGGAAAAGCCTTTTCAAAGTGTTTCAGATTTTAAGATTGGAGATAAGAAACCTTGAATTTGCATCTCCTTGCAGTAATTTGCATTTTCCTGACCTCCAGTGAAGTTGAGCATCCTTTTATGTGTAGATTGAAAATTTGCATTTCCTCATGGATGAATTGTCTGCTAAGTCCTTTGCCTATCATCTAGGTTCTCTTTCCTGCCTGTTGAAAAGTTATTGTACATTATAGACATTAGTCCTTTGTCATATGCATTGCGAATTTTTTAGCAGTCTATCATTTATTTTTGAGGCTTGTTTGTGATATTTTTGCATACAAGAGTGTTTTTACTTTAAAAAATTGTTTTATCCTAGGAGATCTTAAAGCATTTTGCCCACACTCAATCTTACCTGTCTTTTCTGAAGATCAAGATTGTGTTTTATTAGAAGAAGAAATTGAGGCCCGGATTGCTAAAGTGACTGCCTACAGGCACAGAAGTCTATAGTAGAAGGAAATATATAGTAGATAGAAAGTAGTACATAGAAATATATGATAGATAGAAAGTCTTTGCTACTTTATTTTGTATTTTAGATATTTGCACTTTCGTTTTTTTCTTTTTAGATAGGGGTCTCACTTTGTCGCTCAGGCTGGAGTGCAGTGATATGATCATAGCTCACTCACTGCAGCCTTGGCCTCTGGGCTCAAGTGATCCCCCCACCTCAGCCTCCCGCATCACTGGGACTACAGGTGTGCACCACCATGCCTTGCTAATTAAAAATTTTTTTTTGTAGGGATGGAATCTCACTATGTTGCCCAGGCTGGTCTCAAACTCCTGGGCTCAAGCGATCCTCCCACCTTGGCCTCCTAAAATGCCAGGATTATAGGCATGAGCCACCTTGCCTGGCCAATATTTGAACTTTTTACCTTACCAAATAGGTTTAAGGTCACTAATTTCAGGAACCAAATTTAAGGTATAACGGTTACTGTCATACATCAGAGGCATTAATTATCAAATTTAAATTTCAGGAACTAAGTCTTTCAGTTGTCCTTTGCACAATATTTCCCTTCTGACTTCTAGTTTTAGCTTTCTGTTTTGAACCCAGGAAATCTGAGACAGATCTCAGTTAATTTAGAAAGTTTATTTTGCCAAGGTTGAGGACCCACCCATGACACAGCCTCAGGAGGTCTTGAAGACATGTGCCCAGGGTGATTGGGGCACAACTTAGTTTTATACATTTTAGGGAGACATGAGACATCAATCAATATATGTAAGAAGTATAGTATATTAGTTCCATCCAGAAAGGGTGAGACAACTGAAAGCAAGGCCTCCCTCCACTATGGGCTTCCAGGTCACAGGTAGGTAAGAGACAGATGGTTGCATTCTCTTGAGTTTCTGATAAGTCTTTCCAAAGGAGGCAATCAGAATATGCATCTATCTCTGTGATCAGAGGGATGACTTTGAATAGAATGGGAGGCGGATTTTCCCTGACCAGTTCCCAGCTTGTAGGGGCCCAAGTTATTTTCCTTTCACATCCCCCCACCTTTGTTTTTTCAAATCTTTTGGAGAAAGCATTTTACAAGAAAATGAATCTCTGATCTCAGGTTTCGCCTGATCTCTCATGAGTAGGACAGTTTATTTCTAGATGGGTAGGTCCCAAAAGCTCATTTTTAGCAGGTTGTGAAGTCTCATATCCTGTGAAGAGAAAATGGGGGGAGGTAAGGGAGAAAAAACAATAACAAACAAAAGAACAATCCTGGAAAAATCAGTATAGGCCCTATTACTCTGAAGTCCATACATTATTAGGCAGGTATGAAAGTGGCTTATGAATGTAAATAGGTTACTGTTGTTTTTTGAGATGAAGCCTCTTTCTGTCACCCAGGCTGGAGTGCAGTGGTGTGATCTCGGCTCACTGCAACCTCCGCCTCCCGGGTTCAAGTGATCCTCCTGCCTTAGCCTCCTGAGTAGCTGGGATTACAGATGTGCGCCACCACACTCGGCTAATTTTTGTATGTTTTTAGTAGATATGGGGTTTCACCATGTTGGCCAGGCTGGTCTCAAACTCCTGACCTCAAGTGATCCACCAGCCTCGGCCTCCCAAAGTGCTGGGATTACAGGCATAACCCACCGTGCTGGCCAATTACTGTTATTTTTTTCTGAAGTTTGAGTTGTCTGGCTTCAGTTCCCAGGGTTTTAAGAAAGCACAGCTGAGTTTTCAGGGACTCCAAATTAGGAAAAATGGGGGAAAAAAAGGAAGGAAAAAGTTGAAAACATTATTTTGAAGACTTGTAGCCAAAAAAAATTAGAATTCCATCCAAACTGTAGAAACTAATAAAAATTGAAACAAAAATTAGGCAAGACTAGAATCTAACAATGGGTGTCCTATCGTTTTGAAATATAATTTTTTCTCTCTCCGGTTTCCCCTTTTACTAAAGACAAATCATGGTAGGACTGGTTTGCTTATTATACTTGGCCTAATTATTTGTATACAGTGCAGCAAGAATAATTATTTTTTACATAGGCTTTTAAATGGGCTTTGATGGAATTTTGTTCCATAGGAGGAATCTCAGATAAGATTTTTTTCTTGAGATGGAGTCTTGCTCTGTCACCCAGGCTAGAGTGCAGTGGCACGATCTCAGCTCACTGCAATCTCCACCTCCTGGGTTCAAGTGATTCTCCTGCCTCAGCCTCCCGAGGAGCTGGGGTTACAGGCGCCCACCACTGTGCCCGGCTAATTTTTGTATTTTTAGTAGGGACGGTGTTTCACCATGTTGGCCAGGCTGGTCTCGAACTCCTGACCTCATGATCCACCTGCCTCAGCCTCCCAAAATGCTGTGATTATAGGCGTGAGCCACCACACCCAGCCATTAGTTAAGACTTCTTGAAAGCCGAGCCCAGCCATGAATTTATGCCATCAAATATCTATGAGTTGTTTGAATTTCTCCTCCTCTTGGGGTTCCAAGATAAACCTGAGGCTTCTGTGCCTGTCGGAAAGTGACATTCTTTACTTACCAAGGGTCAGAAACCCTATATGTGGTCTGTGTACATGAAATATGAGGCCAGTTTTTCCAAGGGCTTTATTGGCTTCACAAGTCAAGTTTGATTCTTTAAAGGAAAGCACACCATTCCAGTCAAAGCCTTGGTAAAATTACCAGTTTCTCCAACTGTGTCCCGTTACAAATGAAAACAGATTCTTATTGCACTTACGCAAATAACTGTATTGCCATAAGTTAAGAATACTCACAAATAGTTTCCAAATTCTAGAGAAAATCAGGTAGAGAGAAATAAATATGCTCCAAATCTTTTTTATGGCAGTATACTAAATTGTTAAAAGCTGTCAGTAGCTCAAAAGAAAAGTTTTAAGTATCTGAAAAACAAAACAAAGGATCAGCAAACATTTTAAGCAAAAAGTCCAAAAAATTAGTTCAGTCCATGCAGTTATTTCTTGTTCTGCTTGATATTCATGAACATTTTAGTTCTCCATGAGTCCTGGAAATTTTTCCTCTATTCTGATGTCACAATCTTCAAAAGTTATCAGAAACCTGCATTTAAGAGCACCTATTGGAATTTTATAGCTGATTATAAAACCGTCTTCTAAAAAGGACCAAAACAAGACAACAATTGTCCATGGATGAAAAAAAAGTTTTAAGGCAGCCATAATCAAAAGACATAATTGACAAAGAAATTTGTTACCTCTGTGGCACACAATAATTTTAACATAACAATTAGGAATATTACTGATAATGTACACTAAGTTATATCAGAATTTCAGGAGTTTCTCATAATTTTGGAACACATACCAATAACATATTTATACAAATACAGCCCAAAGAAAACCAAACAACATTTCATATTTGACAGTGCTTCCTGTATAATTTTTATACCAAATAAGCCAAATTATGACATTTTTGGACTTCAGGGAACCTAATGTCTTAAAGGATTAATTAGGTTAGAAAAAGACATAATTTATAATTTGATTTTGGAAAATTTGTCAAATATAAAAGTTTGAAATGCTTGATATTACAAAAGAATATTACAGGTCATTGTTTAACCAAAGTGATAATTCAAGGACTTCAAAAAAAGTGAAAACCTTAATTCTTTGAGAGAAGAGACTTAATTTTCTAAACAAGAAGCCCTAATAAAAACAGCATGAAGCCAATTACATTTGTTTTTCAAAATTTTGTAAACAATCTATAAAGTTTAACCTTGATTATAAAATATAACTTCCATAAGGCTTTTATAACCTTTATTAAGGAGTTGGTGGAGTTGGTTAATGCTTTAAGAAAAACCTGTTAATCTGACACAGGGGTCCATATACTGGTTTTGCATCAGTGTGCCTTTCATACTAATGATTAATTTATAGAGAAACTGAACTTATTTTATCTTTAAAAATTGGCCTTTACAATCTGTGCACTGTCTTCTTCCACGATAGTCCCTGGCTCATGAGGAATCAAATAGCTTTAATTGTTTTTTGCCCTGTATTTCAGGAATGCAGCTTATTTTGATTGGCATCTTCCATGGGGCCTGAAGATGAGGCTTTAATTGCTGTTAGTGTTTAAGATTTAGCAGGACTTGATGTCCTTTTTAGACCCAGGAGTTAAAGCCCTCTAACTCAATGTCACAAGGACTTTAAAAGCCCATATAGGAAGATACATGGATGTAATAACCTTAGTTTAAAAAAATTTTTTTTTGTTAATCTCAGTTTTTTTCCTAAGCAAAACCAAAACTTAATAATAATATTTGGACTTTCTGGTTTGTCCTGAACATCCCTCTTTTTTTTTTTTTTTTTTTTTTTTTGAGATGGAGTCTTGCTCTGTGGCCAGGCTAGAGTGCAGTGGCGCGATCTCGGCTCACTGCAACCTCCACCTCCTGGGTTCAAGCAATTCTCCTGCCTCAGCCTCCTGAGTAGCTGGGACTACAGGCAAGCACGCCACCACACCCAGCTAATTTTTTTTTGTATTTTTAGTAGAGACAGGGTTTCACCATGTTGGCCAGGATGGTCTCAATCTCTTGACCCCCTCCACCTGCCTCGGCCTCCCAGAGTGCTGGTATTACAGGCATGAGCCACTGCGCCTGGCCTCTTTATTCTTATAACTTTCTTTACATCTCCTTTTGTTTCCTGGTTGTTTTTACCTTGTTTTATACATAACCTTTAAATAAGCTTTGAATTAGACAAAACTTGTTCACCTTTTATTTTTTAGCAAGAATGTTTTCCTACAATATATATTTATTGGAAAATACCCAAATAATTAAATATCTATTATTTAATATAACTTTATATCCTAAATTATGACCAGTTTTTCTGCAAGTACTTATCCTATTACATTTACGTAATTATTTTAATTGTTTTACCCTGATTATTTATGAAAACTGTGATAGTCGTGATTTAAAGTTATGAAACTGCCATTGAAAATTATGACTGAGACAGTGAAAAAAGATTTGACCTAACTGACTCCATCTTGCTCTTAGCCCCAAGCCGTCCTTGTTCACTCCTGGGCATAGGCCAAACTAACTTTGGGAGGAATTTAGCTTATAGATTAGCTTTGAAACAAAGAGAATAACAGTCCTTTCCCAAAACAAACCTCCTTATTGTCTGTGCATACTGCCTAAAGCCACAAGATTCGAAGTTACGGTAATATTACTAAATTCAAGATGCAGCTATTTTCATTAAGCCCATATCAATGTCTTATTTATTAAAAATTACACAAGCAAAGAATCGTTCTGTTTTGGGCTGGGCTTATAGTTTGTAACCCCTATGCCAAATTTTGACACCTGATAGTATTTGGCAGGGATAAGTATGAAATTGCTTGATTCATAAATGTAAAACAAAAGAATGTATACTGGCAAATCTTAAGACATTTCTAATGTTACTTTACCAAATAATTTTAAAACTAGCTTATTTATTACAGATTTTACTTAAGTTACATAAACTTCAAAAAGCATTTGACAATTCTTTTTTAGTATCTGATTTAAATGCTTTTATTTTTCTTTAAGCCAATTAATTAGATCTCTTATATATGTTTAGTAGTGAAACAGTGTGTACACAACACATAATTACATATAAGGACACATTAGGCATGCCAATGGATTTATAAAGACCCCCTCTTTTTTTTTTCTTAGATTTTCATATTCTTGATAACCTGTTTCACAACCCTACACAGTTGTCAGCTAAACAGCTTTAAATTTGCACATTGAAGGAAACAGTTCAGGTGAAATCAAATAGCAAAATTTACATCATAATGTACAGAGAGAAAGGTCTGGTGGTGCAGAACTACAGGGAGATGCTTTTACAGTGCACTTAAAAAAAATTTTTTTTTTTTTGAGACAGAGTCTCGCTCTGTCACCCAGGCTGGAGTGCAGTGGCGCAGTCTCGGCTCATTGTAACCTCCACCTCCCAGGTTCACGCCATTCTCCTGCCTCAGCCTCCCGAGTAGCTGGGACTACAGGCACCCGCCACCATGCCCGGCTAAGTTTTTGTATTTTTAGTAGAGACAGGGTTTCACCGTGTTAGCCAGGATGGTCTCGATCTCCTGACCTCGTGATCCACCCGCCTCCGTCTCCCAAAGTGCTGGTATTACAGGCGTGAGCCACCGCACCCGGCCAAAATTTTTTTAAACAAAGACATTTCTGAGTGTCTTCCTTAAAAACCCAAGTGTAGCCTCTGTTGCGATAACTATTTTAGTCAAAAAATCAGGTGAAAACAGAATTCAGTCAACTGAGAAGAAAAAAAAAAAAACTTTTGCTCAAAAAAAAGACAAGGTCTTAGGAGACCTTGTTTTTTTTTCTCAAAGAAAATCAACCTCAAAACATGAAGGCCTTTTAAATACAAACATGCCCACATGCACACATATACACACACATCTTGGATGTTAACCTTTTAATTAAGCCGACTTTTAACCATTGAGCTCTTTTAAAAAAAATCTTTTAAAATCTTATTACTGTATTTCAGCTAGGACAAAATGCTGCTAAACTAACAATCATCACACAAATTCTATGATTTCTGAGCACTCTAAGTGTAAGCAGAATTTAACACCAGCTGGTTGTTAATGCTAACTTCAGTCATTTAAAAAGAATTTTCAAGACAGAATCCCAAACCAGTTTCTTACATAATGATGGGTCTCAGGCTGTAGACTGCTCTCTACGGTCCTAGAAACAGGAAAAACAAAAACAAAACTCATCTTCCCCGTTAGAAGCGTGTTCAAACTCCATAAAGGAGTTACCTGCCTTCCATCGACATGGAGGCAGGAAAACTTGCTTTCCTTGTGTTGGAAGCAAGTAAAACTCCAAAAAAAGAGGAGTTGTAACAGCAAAATAAGCTTTAGATCTCAACCAAATTTTGAGAGATCAGGGATTCTGTTGAGGGGGTGCTCTCAGGCCTCAGCAAATTGTCCTGTTGGTTTGAGCCATCAAGTTAGCTCATGCTGGTACCAAGCACCAACAGGAGATTTGTCAAAGGTCAGGGGCATCTCCACTCAGAATCCACCCCACCTTGAGGTTACCAAAATGTGAACCCTGAAAATCTGAGACAGGTCTCAGTTAATTTAGCAAGTTTATTTTGCCAAAGTTGAAGATGCGCCCATGACACAGCTTCAGGAGGTCCTGAGGACCTGTGCCCAAAATAGTTGGGGCACAGCTTGGTTTTATACATTTTTGAGAGACATGAGACATCAATCAATATATGTAAGAAGTACATTAGTTCAGAAAAGCTGAGACAACTCAAAGCAACGCCCCACAACTGGGGGCTTCCAGGTCACAGGTTGGTGAGAGACAGATGGTTGCATTCTCTTGAGTTTTTGGTAAGTCTTTCCAAAGGAGGCAATCAGAATATGCATCTGTCTCTGTGAGCAGAGGGATGACTTTGAATAGAATGGGAGGCAGATTTTCCCTGAGCAATTCTTAGCTTGAAGGGGCCCAAGATATTTTCCTTTCAGACTGTCATACCTTTACTCCCTCACTCTATGTGTCTCTCAGCAGCTCTTTTCATTACTCCTTCAAAATATATCCTCTTATTCTAATTTACTTCGAAATTTCTACCTCAGTTTCAGGAACAAATGTATCTTTTCACATTCAGTTACCTCTTACTAAGCTGTTCTCACTCAAGCACTCTGAATCTCAGTTTATCTACAATGTGCAGTGTGGCAAAGCAACCATATGAAGAGTAAACAAGAGGCAATGAATAGGAAAGAGCTGTTTTTGACTATTTGGTATTATTTTCTGATTAAATCACCTAAATTGAAAAACAACAATAACAGACTTTCCAGTTATATTAGTGCAGGGAAAAACAGGTAACGAGTATTTTAAATATTCACAATTGCCTGAAGATAGTGTATCTTCACATTGCAATAATGTATGTTAGAGTATTACAGAAGTGTGGCATATGGGTTGATTTTTCAGTATATCCTTCTTTTAATGTTTTTGTTCTTTTCAGGTGGATAAAGTAGAATCCTTCAAATATAGTCAGAGTACTAAGGATAGCCTCCATGCAAAGTACAACACCAAAACCTGTGCCACTGTAGTGGGTGATGATCAATGGGGACACCTGCAGTTGGATGCTACCTCTGTGTACCTGCTCTTCTTAGCCCAAATGACTGCCTCAGGTCAGTACAAGGAGAGAAGTGCTGGGAGCCCCTGAGCATGGAGTCTGGGGTACTAATTAATATTCTTTTAAATTGAGAACCGGGAAGGCTGGGGTAGATCTTCATGAAACAGGTATTTTTTATTATTTATTAATTCTCAGATATCATGAGATGGCAAAGAAGGGCTAGGTTTCATTGCTTGTTCTCATTACAGTACATTGACAAGCCTGCCAGTTAGTATAAATACAAACTCAATCACCTACTTTATGCTACTCTTTATGAATATATTATAAACAAGGCATCTGTCTATAGGCATCTAAATTATATTAAGAAAATTAACTTAGGAATCAGAATCCAAATTTTTTAATTATTGAATACTATATCCTTTTCAGATGGTTCTCAATTTATTAATTTTGGATGCTTTACCTGAGAAAGGGAAATGTAAGAAACAACTTAATTTCCTTTTATTTTTCCTAAATTGGGGGAGGGCAATGTATCCGATTATACCTAGTTTATAAAAGTAATGGGACCTTTGCCAGAGCTTCCTAAACTAATGTACTTCTCAAAATACCATATTTTTGACATTTTAATTTCTTCATCTTCCAACCCGGTTATTGAGATCCTTGGTACTAAGGGCATCCAGGGTGGGAATTCCCTCAAAATACTCTTCTTCTCCTTTTTTAATAGAAATAAATATTTGATGATAAACCTTTCCTTTATTTCCTCTAAAACACACAGCTCAGAAGCTGAATAGCCTTTTCTTAAAAGTATGAACTGGCTACCCAGATATGTCCTCCTGTTGTAGGGGAGGTTTCTTCCTGAATAAATGTATTTTTAGGTTTAATTTATTTAAATAGAATGACAACTATAACTCTATTTCTAATAATACTTTAATACCAATTCTGGAGTTATGTCTACAAAGCAACAATGTCTGAATATCTCTTGTAGTTTTTCATTTTGAGTCCAGAATGCAAGCAGAAATGTATCAAAGAGGCTTATAGGAGACATAGCCATTCATTCAACAAATGTTTATTGATTCCTGACTTAACATTTGATTTTCAGCTCAATCAGCAGAGTTTGATAGGTACTTGGAATAAGGTAGATATTATTTGATCAGGCCTTTGAGGAATAAGTAGAAATTTACAAATCAGAGAAGGGAAGGGAATAGCATGAATATAACATGGAAATTTGAAAGGTACTGCCCATCAAGGTAAGGCTGGATATCTTCTATGGTTAGAGTATAACATGCATCTGGAAAAATGACAAACTGTGAAACTAGAAGGTTGGGACTAGCTATTCGAGGGCCTGTGTACCATGCCATATAGTTTGCAGTTTAGGCCATCATCAGTAGCGAGTCATTCAAGGTAAATAATCAAGGAAGTTTCAGATGATTCACTTCAGTAGCAGGAAGATAGATTGGATAGGAAAGAAGGTTAAGATGGCAGACTAGTTAGGAAGTTAGTGAAATACTTTAAGGCAAGATTGATTCAGAATTTATGTAAGGCAGTTACCTTGAGAATGAAAGGGCATATGTGAGATTTAAGTGGTAGTATGCAAGATCTTCACAGAGTATTTAGCAATGCTCTACACATTTTTGAATACACAAATCTCCACCTTGGTTAAAAGAGAGGCTTAGACAGAACTTGACTGCAACTTACAGAATGGGGGCAGGAGGGGCTCCATGGAACCTCCCCCAGCAAAACAACCATAAATGTTGAAAATTATTTTTTAAAAACCAGCCACTACATTATTGGAAATTGTCTGAAGGACATACAGCAGGTAGAGAAACATTTACTCCAGGAAATCTACCAAGTATTGGTAAAAGCAGTGAGGGAGTGTGGCATTTGAGTCTAAATCTACTCCCCCCTCCACCCCACCTCAGCATGGCAGAAGCAATATTCAAGGCGGGTACAACCAAGAGCACAATCTCCCCAGCTAGTTCCCAGTTTAGGGACACTGTATCTCTCTGAGGGAGGTAAGGAGATACATCCTCTCCAGCTCCATGTTGCAAAAGCTAGTTCAGGCAAGAATAGCTGACAGGCCTGGAGTTCCCCTCCTCCCCAGGAAAAGGCAGGGTGAGAATGCTAGGCCCTGATTAACCTTGGCCCACTTCACTATTAGGGTGGAGGTTCCCCACTGGGAGGGGCAAACTAAGAAGATCAAAGGCTACCATCCCTTCCCAGCACTCAATTTGTAAAGCAGGGGTGTCACTCCAAAAGAAGTGGGCCACTGTTCTCACCACTAGCTCTGGAGCACTGGCACGGAAATTTTGCTGGGGAGAGAGGCAGGCTGTAAGGACACAAAGCTCTGTAGCTTTTCCCAAAGGAATTGACTTTATTTAACAGAGTGTGGAAAAGTTAAAGCCTAAAGGCAATCTCAAAAAACAATGGAGATTTGGGTTCTAAGCAATTAAGAGGAGGCTAGTAGCTCAATAAGAGCAAGAAGCTAAACCATATACTAGCTCAATGGCACATGGAACATTTTTCAGGATAGATTATATGGTATACCATAAAACTAGCCTCAATAAATTTGAAAGATTTCAAAATCACACAAAGTATGTTCTATGACCAAAATGGAATGAAATTAGGAACAGAAAGAAACCTAGGAATCTCACAAATATATGGAAATTAAGCAATACACACCTAAATGACCAATGAGTCAAATTGAGAAAATACTTTGAGCTAAATGAAAAAGAAAATACAACATACCAAAACTTATAGGAAGCAGAGAAAACAGTGCTTAGAGGGAAGTTTATACCTGTAAACACCAATGTAAAAAAAAAAAAAAGAAAGAAAAATCAGTAACCTAACCTCCCACCTTAAGGCACTGGAAAAAGACAAGCAAACTAAACCCAAAGCAAAGAGAAAGGATGAAGTAATAAACATTACAGCAGAAATTAATGAAACAGAAAATGGAAAAAACAATAGAGAAAATCAACAAAACCAAAAGTTCATTCTTTAAAAAGATCAACAAAATTGATAAATCTTTAGCTACATTGACCAAGAGAAAAAGAGAGGATACTCAAATTACTAAAACTAGGAATAAAAGAGGGGACATCACTACAACCTTACAAAAATATAAAGAACTAAAGGGGAATACTATGGACAACTGGTTACCAAAAATTAGATAATTTTGATGAAATGGGAAAATTTCTTGAAAGATAAACTACTGAATCTGACTCAAGAAGCAAAGGAAATCTGAGTAGACTTACTACAATCGAAGAGAATTAGTAATATAAAATCTTTCCACAGAGAAGTAAGCCCGGGTGCAGATAGCTTTACTGATAAATCTACCAAATAAAGAAGAGTGAACACCAATTATTTACAAACACTTCCAAAAATAGAAGAGGTGACACTTGCAACCTCATTCTGTGAAGCCATTACTCTGATGCTAAAACCAGACAAAGATATCACAACAAAGTACAATTATAGATCAATATCTCTTATTAATATAGACATAAAAATAAACAAAATACTAGGTAACTGAATCCAGCAATATATTAACAAGTTTATATACCTTGACCAAACCATATATATTCCAGGAATGCAAGGTTGTTTTATTATCTGAAAATTAATGCAATACATCATGTCAGTGGAATAAAGGACAAAGATATATTATTGTCTCAGTAGACACAGAAAAACATTTGACAAATTCAACACCTTATCATGATAAATACTTACCAAATAAGGAATAGAGGAGAATTTTTTCAACCTGATAAATGGCATCTTTGAAAATCCACAGCTAACATGACATTTGATGGTGAAAGAATGAATGCTTTTCCCCATAGATCAGAATAAGACAAGGACATCAACTCTTGCCACCAGTATCTAAAATTGTACTGGCAGTTTAGCAAGGGCAAATAGCCAATAAAAAGAAATAAAAGGCATCAAATAAATGAAGGAGTATAATTATCTCCATTTGCAGATGATACGTTCTTACATAGAGAAATCCTAAGGAATTCATTAAAACTCTAGAATAAACAAAGTTCAGCAAGGTAACAACGTACAAGATAAAAATGCAAAAATGAGTTATGTTTCTAAACAGTAGCAGTGAATAACCAAAATGAAATTTAAAAATAATTTCTATTACAATAGGATCAAAAATGAAATAATGAGGAATAAATTTAACAGAAGAAATATAAAATTTGTACTTTGAAAGATATGAAACATTGTTGAAAGAAAGTAAATATCTAAATAAATGGAAAGACATCTATATTCAAGGATCAGAAGATTTATTGTTAATGTGGCAACATTTCCCAAATTAATCTACAGATTTAACATCAACTGACTTTGCAGAAATTGACAGGCTGTTTCTAAAATTTATATGGAAATTTAAAGGACCCAGAAGAGCTAAAACAATCTTAAAAAAGAAGAAAGTTGAAGGACTCAAATTTCCTAATTTCAAAACTTACTACAAAGCTATATTAATTAAAACAGTACAGGTACTGGCATAACTATAGACATGTAGCTCTTTGGAATAGAATTGAGAGGTTAGAAATAAGCCATCACTTTATGCTCAGTTGATTTTTGACAAAGGTGCCAAGATAATTCAATGGGGAAAGAATAGTCTCTTCAACAAATGGTGCTGGGACAACTGTATGTCCACATGCAAAAGAATGAAATTGGACTTCTTCCTCACACCATATATAAAAATTAACTCAAGGCTGGGCGCGGTGGCCCATGCCTGTAATCCCAGCACTTTGGGAGGCTGAGGTGGCAGGATCACTTAAAGTCAGGAGTTTGAGACCAGCCTGGCCAACATGGCAAAACCCCGTCTCTACTAAGAATACAAAAATTAGCCAGGCGTGGTGGTGTGTTCCTGTAATCCCAACTACTCAGGAGGCTGAGGCAGGAGAATCGCTTGAACCCGGGAGGCGGAGGTTGCAGTGAGCCAAGATCACGCCATTGCACTCCAGCCTGGGCAACAGAATGAGACTCCATCTCAAACAAACAAACAAAAAAAGAAATTAAATTTAAAAAATTAACTCAAAATAAATTGTAGGCCTAAATGTAAGAAGGAAAACTAAAACACTATATTAGTCTGCCACAACAGAATACCACAGAATAGGTGGCTTAAACAACAGAAATTTATTTTCTCACAGTTCTGGAGGCTGGAAGTCCAAGAGCAAGGCTGGTAGGGTTGGTTTCTGGTGAGGCCTCATCTTGCCTTTCAGATGGCTACCCTTTCTGTGTTTTTACATGGCCTTTTCTCTATGTGTGTGCACTCCTGGTGTGTCTTCCTCTTCTTATAAGGACGGCAGCCCTATTGGGTTAGGGCCACCCTCATGACCTCATTTATCTTCTTAATTATCTCCTTGAAGTCCCTATCTCCAAATATAGTCATATTAGGGGTTAGGGCTTCAATATACAAATTTTTGGGGGGAGGACACAATTCAATACATAACAAACACTTAGAGAAAAATACAGGAGTAAATGTTTCTGGCCTTGGGTTAAGAAAAAGCCTCTTAGATATGGCACGAAAAGCATAAGCTACTGAAGAAAAAATAGATAAACTGGAATGTATCAAAATTAAGAACTTTTGTGCTTCAAAGGACCCCATCAAGAAACTAAAAAAGCAACCAATAGTATAGAAGAAAATATTCACAAGTCATATATCTGATAAGGTACCTGTATCTAAAAGAACTCGCAGAACTTAATATAAAAGATAAATAACCTAATTAAAAATGGTCAAAGAATCAGAATTGACATTCCTCCAAAAAGATGTTCAGATAACCAATAAGTACATGAAAGGATAGTGAACATCATTAATTTTGAAAGAAATATAGGTCCAAACCACAATGAGATACCACTTCACACCCATCAGGATGACTGTAATCAAAAAGACAGATAATAAGTGTTGCTGAGGATGTGGAGAAATTGGAACCCTCATACACTGCTGGTGGAAATGTAAAATGGTGCGGCTGCCTTGGAAAAGAGTCTGGTAGTTCCTTAAAAGGCTTAAAAAAGAGATACCATATGATCTAGCAGTTTCACTCCTAAGTATATATATACCCAAGAGAAATGAAAACATATGTTCACTCAAAAGCTTATACATTAATGTTTATAGCAGCATTACTTATGATAGCCATAAATGAAAATAACCCAAATGTTTATCAACTGATAATTGGATAAATAAAATATGATACATCTGCACAATGGAATTTTTAAATTTTTTTTCATGTTACTGCTACCTCTCAAGATGGAATATTTTGGGCAATAAAAAATGAATTACAGGTACATGCCACAACACTGACAAACCTTGAAAATATTATGCTAAGTGAAAGAACCCAGACATAAAAGGCCACATATTGTATGATTCCATTTATATGAATGTCAACTAAGGCAAATCATAGAGACAAGAAGTAGATTAGTGATTACTTAGGCTGGGGGGCAACTGTAGAAGGGAAGTGGGGAGTGACTGCTAAGGGGCACAAGGTTTCTTTTGGAGTGATGACAGTGTTCTAAAATTGATTGTGGTGATGGTCGCATAACTGTGCATACACTAAAAACCGTTGAATATATACTTCTTATGCATGCTTTTTACATATCTCAATAAGGTTGTTTCTAAAAATGAGAGAAAGAGGCTTAATGTTATACAGATGAGTGCAGAATATAAGTGCAATAGACCACTGATTTAGCTCCATTTCTGGAGCCCTGTATGCCTTAGTATTCTTTATATAGTCACCTTTGGTCTAATCCAGCCCTATCTCATTTTATGTGTACTCACCTCTGCATTCTTTGTTCGACAAGCAGTGTCTGGGCTCTACAGGAGGCACAGGATCCAGAGGTCCTCCATTTATGACCTTTCCTCAAGAGGCTGATCCCTTTCCTGTGGTTAACAGAGGTGTTTAAAATCACTTAATAAATTTTCAAACATCTACTGTTCAATGCTATTTAATACCGTTCAGAATACTACGTGAGATACTTTTAGTGGCTATGTGAGATAATTTTAGAAGATGCAGATATAAATAAGATGTAGT
The DNA here is from genome assembly GCF_000001405.40 of Homo sapiens. Classification (NCBI taxonomy): domain Eukaryota; kingdom Metazoa; phylum Chordata; class Mammalia; order Primates; family Hominidae; genus Homo; species Homo sapiens. The sequence continues at coordinate 72,688,749 of NC_000023.11, read as the reverse complement.
TCTTTCCTTAAAATTCAAGTACACATTTGTCTATAATACAGAGTAAAAAAATAAGTTCATAAAAGTAAGAAAAACAAAATTCTGTGAATCACAAAATAGGAGAATCAATGATAGCATCACAGAGGACATAGCATTTGAGCTGAGCCTTGAAAGAACAGTAGGATTTCAAGATCTGGAGAGAAGAAGGCCATTTAAATGGAGAATATAACAAGCAAAAGGACATAAATGGTAGAAATGTCTGGCATTTGTATGATATAGCTGTGATGCAAGTCTAACAGATGAATAATACCAGTTTCATACTTTTGCCTTCTCTGTCTCTGCTCAATCGCATTGTCACACAAAGATGACAAGATAAAGCTATGAAGCTGATGTCCCATGTCACTATCATCTCTTCTCTTTACCGGCGTCTTTCCAAGAAGTTAGTGTCATTACGATTGCAAGAAAAAACACACTTTGCCACTTTGCTTCTGCAGCTTCCCTGTGCTATGGATGCTATTTTGACAGAGCCATGGATCAGGAGGAGTTTGCAATCTGATAATACCAATCATATAGTTCTTTTTAATTATAAAGTTACACAGTTCCATGATTTAAAATATATGTTAATAGATCAAAGATTTAGATGTGGCCAGGCGCAGTGGCTCAAACCTGTAATCCCAGCACTTTGGGAGGCTTAGGCGGGCGGATCACAAGGTCAGGAGTTCAAGACCAGCCTGGCCAACATGGTGAAACCCCTTCTTTACTAAACATACAAAAAAATTAGCCGGGCATGGTGGTGGGTGCCTGTAATCCCAGCTACTCAGGAGGCTGAGACAGGAGAATCACATGAACCTAGGAGGCAGAGGTTGCAGTAAGCCAGGATCATGCCACAGCACTCCAGCCTGGGCAACAGAGCGAGACTCTGTCTCAAAAAAAAAAAAAAAGTTTCTGATAATAAAAAAATACTATAAACAAGTCCAAATTCCAACAAACTAGCAAAAATACTTGCAACACATATGATGTGCAACGGACTAATTTCCTTAATATTTGTTAAAATATCAATAATAGAGAAAGAAGTTTTTTTTAAAGTTTAATGCTGAGCAAATACACACACACAAACACACACACACAGTATGTTTGTGTGAACCACAGAAAAGGGGAAGCAATGACAGCATCACAGAGGAGATAGCATTTGAGCTGGAACTTGAAAGAACAGTGAGATTTCAAGATATGGGAAGGAAGGGAAGGCCATATGAATGGAGATTATGAGCAAAAGGACATAAGTGGTAGAAATATGTGGCATTTGTATGGTATGGCTGTGATACAAATCTAAGAGATGAATAAGGCCAGTTTCATACTTCTGCCTTCTCTCAGCCTCTGATTTCTATTGAATTGCCAGTCTTTCTGGCAATATATACTTACAATGCATACTTTTTATGTATCTCAATAAAGTTTTTAAAAATGACAGAGAATGAGGCTTAATATTATACAGATGGTGCATGTATATATATGTATATACCAAGACCATACATATGCCATTTTATATATATATACTAAGACCATACATATGCAAAGACTGGTATATGTATGTACCAGGAAGACCAGCAATTCAGTAAAAATCTGAAGGACATGACCAAACAGTTCATAGGAAAAGAAATATGAAACACAGATAGCTTATAAATATATCAAAAGATTTACAACCTTACTCATAATAAAAAACTGGAAATTAAACTACAAGGGGCTTCTATTTCTTATCCACTAAAGTGAGACAAAGATTAAAAATTTTTTTTAAAGCCTGTGTTTGCAAAGATGTAGGGAAACAGGCAGTCAGTGTTGGTATATAAACTGTAGAATTTCTTTGAAGAATAACTTGGAGATGATTATCAAAATTTAATATACATGATGAAGTATTTAGAGGGAAGTGTACGGATATCTGCAGCTTACTCTGAAATGTATCAAAAAGGAAGATGGATAGATATATGATGAACAAAGTATACTAAAATGTTAATGGTGGAGTTCAGATGGTGAGTATACAGGGGTCCTCTGTAAAATTGTTCCATATTTTTCTGTTTGTTTGAAAGTGTTCATAATAAAACATTGGAAAATAATATGCATACATCTTTGGGTCAGCAATTCCAAGAATCTGCCCTGATATACTGGCACATGTGCATAAAGATATATTTCCACAAATACTCATTGCAACATTGTAGTGAGGAAAGATTTGATACAACCGAAATGTCCTTCCGTAGGGAACTGGTTACATGAGTAACCGTTCAGTGAAATGTTCTGTAGCTATTAAAAAAATGAGACAGATGTATTTGAAATTATCTCCAAGTTACTTATATATGAAAAAGCAAAATGCAGTATAATATACAGTACTACCCTTTGTGTAATGTTTGTACATGCATAATATATCTCTGAAAGGATACAGAAGAAACTGGTAAAACAGGTTTCTCCAGAGAGATTTGGCAGTGGTGAAGGTGATGTGGTTCTGGGTAGGAGGAAGACTCACTGGTTATCCTTCGGCACAGTTTGATTTTTTTCATGAAAGAGTATTACTAAGTGCTGACTTACGAAGGGCGTGTTAGGTCTTAGAATTCTTTCTGAACTGGAATGGGTGTTCAGGATATTCACAGTGGAGTTCATTTGAAAGCTGACATTAAGAAACATTTGACAATCATTTTACATCATGCTTCTAAGAATGTGAGAGGACTTTTTCCATTCTCAAGTCCTTTTAAGGAAGTTTTTTTCATCTAGATCTAATTGCTCTAGATATGCCCACTGTTCAGCAAACTAGAATTTCTTGGCTTTTTCTGGCTAACACAACTACATAGCTGGCACATGTACTCATTTCCATTAAACCAACACATCTGTTTTTGTGACAAATGCGAACAAAAAATGTTTTGTTTAAATAGAATAGCCTCCACCAAGTAAATATGAGAAGCTTAAAAGTTTAGTCTCTATAGCTAACCTGATGTTCACTTTTTCCTCCTGTTTGTTATAGACCAGAAAGGAAAAATTAGCTTCCTGATTTTTAAATTCTGAAATGATTTCTTAGTTTAGAATCAAATAGTCCAAACCAAGTCTTTCATATGTAAACAGTAATATTTATTGTTATAAAAGAGGTATATTAAAAGTTAACTGCTTAGTAAATTTTAGGTGTATAAAAACTTTTAGTGCTCAGGATTAAGTAATTTTGTATAAAATTTTATGAAATATATCCTGCAGTTTTCTGATTTATTATGATTTTGCTTTTTAATATAACTTTAAATTACAAAAAATTACAAAAGTAGCACCTGTTTCTTGTAGAATACTGTAAAATTGCAAAAATGTCCAGAAAAGATAAAATAAAACTACCTTGAATCTCACCACCAAAGATAACTGCTATTAACTAACATCCTCCTGGTTATATATTTGTGTAGTTCTGTATGTTTGAGGGGGGAGATATAAAGAGAGGAGTTTTTAAGCAAAAATGGATCATATTATACATATTAGGAGGCAGTATAGCATCTTACCTCCTAATGAAACTGCATTCAGCATTCTCTGAAATGAAACTGAAATCAACAGTCAATTGAGTCCCGGTTCCACTATTTGTTAGTTACATGACCTTAGGAAAATTTTTAACTCCTTTAAGCCTCATGGAGAAAATAGAGGTGCTTACCTCTTAGGGTGGTTGTTGAAAAATTAAATGGATAATTCATGTAAAACATTCTGTGTGTAAGTTATAATATCTTTGTATGGCTTACATTTAGAATAATTATCATTTTTACTTAAAAATGCAATTTAAGTCCTTTTTAAAATCATAATTTTATCTATTTCTTGCTTAGTATTTAGACCCCTTCCAGCTCAGTTTTGAAATATTTGTCTTTTATTCCCCAAGTGCTTAGGTTTGTACATTTAAGCATATTATAAATTAGTTACCTATAGAATCAGATTTTACTTTTTGGTAAAATCTGTAAATAACAGTTAAAATTCTTCCATGTTGAAATATGCTTATATCTCGCTTAGTTGGAGACTAGCCTAGGACTTGTTTGTGGTCTTGTTTTTATAGTTTAAGATCAAAGTGCCTTCCATTGTTCCTAGGCAGGAGTAGGATTGCTTGGGATTAGTGAGATCAGTTAGTCACTATGGCTGCCTATAAAGCTTATAGTGATAATTGACCAGTTCTGTATCTTTATTCCCTCTTTCCTCAGGACTCCATATCATCCACAGCCTAGATGAAGTCAATTTCATACAGAACCTTGTGTTTTACATTGAAGCTGCATATAAAACTGCTGTAAGTACTGATTTTAGAATGGATTTTAGACATATGATGTTTTTGTTTTCTAAATACTGGGCAACTCAGTTGTTTTCTTAATGCTACTGCTCATAGTGAACCAACCTAAAAGGCTTCTGGCAGAAATTGTCTTTAGCCTCTTTCTTTATTAAGACCTGTCATCCTGTGTCTTCTCTTCAAGGGGGTTACAGAGACAAGAGGGTCAGGATGCTATACTTTCATTCCTTTCAAACTCTGTGATATCTCATGGTATGTATTTGGCAATCTGGGCTAAATTGTGGTCTTATTTTAATGATTTAAGTTCTTAAGAGCAAGATAGCTAGGTTGTATTGTGGGTCAGTTAGCTACTTAGAAATAAAATTTAGTCATGTTTGTAATATTATCTGTAGGTGTTGATTCAGTGCTTACAATGCAAATAAGTTATTTTTCCTTACAACTACCATATGAGGTAGGTTTCTGTTAAATCATAATATATTTAACATCTTCTCTGTATAAAATGTTAAGTTAGACACTATACAGGAATGCGATTTTTTTCTTCTTCAGTCTAACATAGACAACTTTTCTTTGTTGTTCATTGAAGCTTTATTCATAATCTCCAAAACTGGAAATAACCCAAATATCTATCAACAAGTAAATGGATAAACAAACTGTGGTATATCCATAAAATAGAATACTACTCATCAATAAAAAGGAATGAACTGTTGATTCATGCATCAGTGGGTGAATCTCAAAGGCATTATGCTTAGTGAAAGAAGTTAGACAAAAAATGTACAGACTGTATGATTCTACTCACATAAAATTCTAGAAATCTATAGTGACAGAAAGCAGATCCATGATTGCCTCAGGAGAGGAGCAGAGGGAGAGATAAATTACAGAAGAGTATGAGGAGACTTTTGGAAATTTTACAAATATTCATTATTATGATGATAGTTTCACGCATGAAAACATATCAAAATTAATCAAGTTGTACACTTTAAATATGTGCAGTTCTTTGTATATCATTTATACCTCCATAAAAATACAAAAGTTGTTATTATTTGTTGAATCTGTGTTTCCATTTCTGTTTCTGTTTTTGTCTGTTGCCCAGGCTGAAGTGCAGTGGCATGATCGAGGCTCACTGCAGCCTCAAACTCCCAGGCTCAGGTGATCCTCCCACCTCAGCCTCCTGAGTAGTTGTGACTAAAGGTATACGCCACCACATCCAGCTAATTTTTGTATTTTTTATAGAGACGAGGTTTCGCTATGTTGCCCAGGCAGGTCTCAAACTCCTTGACTCAAGCAATTCACCCTCCTAGGCCTCTCAAAGTGCTAGGATTACAGGCATGAGCCACCACACCTGGCCTGTTTTCCACTTCTTACTAACCACCCTCCTCCTTTGTGACCAACACATTATTTTTTATTTCTGTTAATTGGACAGTTATCTTTTAAGTATATTTAAATAAAAATTAGAAATTCATTTACCATTTCTGGTGTACTTCTTTTCTTCATGTAGATTCAGATTTCCAACTGGCATTATTTCCTTCTGCCTGAAAAACTTTCTTTTTTTTTTTTTTTTTTTTTTTTAATTTATTTTTTTATTGATAATTCTTGGGTGTTTCTCACAGAGGGGGATTTGGCAGGGTCATGGGACAATAGTGGAGGGAAGGTCAGCAGATAAACAAGTGAACAAAGGTCTCTGGTTTTCCTAGGCAGAGGACCCTGCGGCCTTCCGCAGTGTTTGTGTCCCTGATTACTTGAGATTAGGGATTGGTGATGACTCTTAACGAGCATGCTGCCTTCAAGCATCTGTTTAACAAAGCACATCTTGCACCGCCCTTAATCCATTTAACCCTGAGTGGACACAGCACATGTTTCAGAGAGCACAGGGTTGGGGGTAAGGTCACAGATCAACAGGATCCCAAGGCAGAGGAATTTTTCTTAGTGCAGAACAAAATGAAAAGTCTCCCATGTCTACTTCTCTCCACACAGACACGGCAACCATCCGATTTCTCAATCTTTTCCCCACCTTTCCCGCCTTTCTATTCCACAAAGCCGCCATTGTCATCCTGGCCCGTTCTCAATGAGCTGTTGGGCACACCTCCCAGACGGGGTGGTGGCCGGGCAGAGGCGCCCCTCACCTCCCGGACGGGGCGGCTGGCCGGGCAGGGGGCTGACCCCCCCACCTCCCTCCCGGACGGGGCGGCTGGCTGGGCAGGGGGGCTGACCCCCCCCACCTCCCTCCCGGACGGGGCGGCTGGCCGGGCGGGGGGCTGACCCCCCAACCTCCCTCCCGGACGGGGCGGCTGACCCCCCCACCTCCCTCCCGGACGGGGCGGCTGGCCGGGCAGAGGGGCTCCTCACTTCCCAGTAGGGGCGGCCGGGCAGAGGCGCCCCTCACCTCCCGGACGGGGCGGCTGGCCGGGCGGGGGGCCGACCCCCCCCACCTCCCTCCCGGACGGGGCGGCTGGCCGGGCGGGGGGCCGACCCCCCCACCTCCCTCCCGGACGGGGCGGCTGGCCGGGCAGAGGGGCTCCTCACTTCCCAGTAGGGGCGGCCGGGCAGAGGCGCCCCTCACCTCCCGGACGGGGTGGCTGGCCGGGCAGGGGGGCCGACCCCCCCCTCAACCTCCCTCCCGGACAGGGCAGCTGGCCGGGCGGGGGGCTGACCCCCCCACCTCCCTCCCGGACGGGGCGGCTGGCCGGGCAGAGGGGCTCCTCACTTCCCAGTAGGGGCGGCTGGGCAGAGGCGCCCCTCACCTCCCAGATGGGGCGGCTGGCCGGGCGGAGGGCTGACCCCCCCACCTCCCTCCCGGACGGGGCGGCTGGCCAGGTGGGGGGCTGACCCCCCCATCTCCCTCCCGGACGGGGTGGCTGGCCGGGCTGAGGGGCTCCTCACTTCCCAGTAGGGGCGGCCGGGCAGAGGCGCCCCTCACCTCCCGGACGGGGCGGCTGGCCGGGCGGGGGGCTGACCCCCCCACCTCCCTCCCGGATGGCACGGCTGGCCAGGCGGGGGGCTGACCCCCCCACCTCCCTCCCGGATGGCACGGCTGGCCGGGCGGGGGGGCTGACCCCCCCACCTCCCTCCCGGATGGGGCGGCTGGCCGGGCGGGGGGCTGACCCCCCCCCACCTCCCTCCCAGATGGGGTGGCTGCCGGGCGGAGAGGCTCCTCACTTCTCAGACGGGGCAGCTGCCGGGCGGAGGGGCTCCTCACTTCTCAGACGGGGTGGTTGCCAGGCAGAGGGTCTCCTCACTTCTCAGACGGGGCGGCCAGGCAGAGACGCTCCTCACCTCCCAGACGGGGTCTTGGCCGGGCAGAGGCGCTCCTCACATCCCAGATGGGGCGGCGGGGCAGAGGCGCTCCCCACATCTCAGACGATGGGCGGCCGGGCAGAGACGCTCCTCACTTCCTAGATGTGATGGCGGCTGGGAAGAGGCGCTCCTCACTTCCTAGATGGGATGGCGGCCGGGCGGAGACGCTCCTCACTTTCCAGACTGGGCAGCCAGGCAGAGGGGCTCCTCACATCCCAGACGATGGGCGGCCAGGCAGAGACACTCCTCACTTCCCAGACGGGGTGGCAGCCGGGCAGAGGCTGCAATCTCGGCACTTTGGGAGGCCAAGGCAGGCGGCTGCTCCTTGCCCTCGGGCCCCGCGGGGCCCGTCCGCTCCTCCAGCCGCTGCCTCCCGGGCGGCGCTCGCCGGCGCGGCGGCAAAGACTGAGACAGCTCCGCTGCCCGCTGAACTCCATCCTCCCGGCGGTCGGGCGGCGGCGGCTGCGGTCGGTCGCGGCAGCGGCTCCGCTTCATATCTGCAGCTGGGGCCCGCGGGCGTCAGCGCCGCGACTGTCCTGGCTCCGCACTGCCCCGGGCCGCAGCGCAGCGCGCCAACCACCAGCCGCGGCCACCATGGCCAGACGGGCTCCCTCGAAAAACTTTCTTTAACATTTCTTCATTCTTCTAGTGATGAACTATTTCAGCTTTTGTATGCCTGAAGAAATCTTTATTTCATCTTCATATTTGAAAAATATTTTCACTAGGTTTAGAATTTTATGATGGCAGATGTTTTTGTCTTTCAGTACTATAAAAATGTTGTTCCACTTTCTTCTTGCCTGTATTGTTTCTGATGACAAATTTGTTGTCAACCTTATGTTTGTTCCGCTACATGAATGTGCCTTTTTCTGCTGTCTGCTTTTAAAAGTTTCTTTTATGGCTGGGCATGGTGGCTCATGCCTGTAATCCCAGCACTTTGGGAGGCCGAGGTGGGTGGATCACCTGAGGTTGGGAGTTTGAGACCAGCCTGACCAACATGGAGAAACCTTGTCTCTACTAAAAATACAAAATTAGCTGGGCGTGGTGGCGTGTGCCTGTAATCCCAGGTACTTGGGAGGCTGAGGCAGGAGAATCGCTTGAACCCCGGAGGTAGAGGTTGCGGTGAGCCAAGATGATCACACCATTGCACTCCAGCCTGGGCAACAAGAGTGAGACTCTGTCTCAAAAAAAAAAAAAAAGTTTCTTTTATTACTGACTTTAAACACTTCGATTATGATATCCCTTGGTGTCATTTTCTTCACGTTTCTTCTATTTAGGGTCCATTTAGCTCCATAGATCTGTGCATATATCGCTTTCATCAAAAGTTTTCAGCAATTATTTCTTCATATTGTTTTTATGTTCCCCCCCTTCCTTCGAGTATTCAATAACATGTGTATTAGGCTGTGTGATGTTGTCCCACAGCTCACAGATGTACTGTTTAGTTTTTTAATTCTTTTTTCCCTCTGTGTTTCATTTTGGATAGCTTCTATTACTATGCCTTCGACTTCACTAATCTTTTTATTTACAATGTCTAATTTGTCACTAATCCCACCCAATGTATTTTTCAGGTCAGATACAGTTTTATCGCTAAAAGTTGAATTTGAGTCTATTTTTCTATATTCCATGTATCTACTAAGCTTTCTGAATGTATGGAATATAGTTATAATACATGCTTTAATGTCCTTGTCTGAGTATTCTAACATCTGTGTCAGTTCCAGGTTGGTTTCAGTTGATTGATTTGTCTCATTATGGGCTATATTTTCCTGCTTCTTGGCATGCCTAGTAATTTTTTACTGGATGAAAGACATCATGAATCTTATCATGTTGCATCCTAGATATTGTTGTATTCCTGTAAATATTCCCGAGCTTTGTTCAGGGACCTAGTTAATTTAGTTGAAAACAGTTTAATCCATTATTACTTTTAAAATGTGTTTTGTGGGACCAGAGTCATGTCTAGTCTGGGGCTAGTTATTCTCCACTACATAGGTAAGACACTTCTGAATACTCTACCCCATGCCCCCTGAATTATGAAGTTTTCTAGTCTGGCTAGTTGAAACAGGCACTATTTCTTGTCCTGTGTGAGCACTAGGTATTTTTTCCCTTTAATTCTTTGGGTGGTTCTTTCCCTAGCCTCAAGTAGTTTTCTCACTTACATGCATTCTTCATTATTCTGCTGAATATTTGAGGGGGACCCTCTGCAGATTTCTGTGGTTTTCTGTGTAGCTTTCTCTTCTCCGTTAGTCTGTCCTGCAAATTATGGTTACCTTGGTGTATCTGTACTTAGCGCCATTTCCTCAACTCAGGGAGTCTGCCAGGCTCTGTTTAGTTTTCTCCTTCCTGTATAGTGGCCTGCAAACTCTTACAACAGTAAGCTGGGACAGTCATAGGACTCATCCTATTTGCTGCCCTTTCTCAGAAATCACTGTCCTTCATTGTGTAGTGTTCATTGTATTGAAAACCATTATGTTATAAATAGTTTTTTAGTTGTTGCAGGTGGGAAGGTAAATCTGGAACCTGTGACTTCATATTCACCAGAAGCACAAACCTAACATAGATAATTTTATGCAAGCAGACATTATTTGTTGACTGATGGCTTTGCTTCTGACACCACAGGCCTGCTGTGGTTCAGTGCGGAAGTTAGGGTTCTTTGGCCTCTCCATTATATCCAATGATTATAACAGTAGAATTATTGATATTTCTGTATTCTCATACTCTAACCTTTGCTGCACAAACTAGAATGGAGCTGGATTGGGGGACAGATAAGGCCAGTCATGGGTTAAACATGGCTTACCTTCCTGAAACTTCACTTTAACTCAGAGATTTGGCATGAAAAGTAATTAAAGGTAGATACAGAGATACAGATGTGTGTGGGAGGGTGTGTGTTTGTGTGTATGCACATACACATTTGCACATGTCTGTTTCCAAGTTCCATTTAATGAGAGGGCCTAGAAGCAATGACACCTCAGTGACAATGAGTGTACCCAGTGCCCAGGTCTTGGATTCTGACTCTCATTTTCTGATCAAGTAAACCAGGACTTCTTATGAAAGTGGTTGATTCCAGGGCTATGGCGGGGAAAATATGAGATAAGATTGGAGCATCTTACAGTGCCAAAAAGTGAAGAAACGTTCAAAAAGGGAGTGTTTTATTTTGTTATGTTTTGTTTTGAGACAGGGCCTCTCTTTGTCACCCACACTAGGATTCAGTGGCGCAATCATGGCTTACTTCAGCTTCAACCTCCTGGACTCAAGCTATCTTGCCACTTCATCCTCCCTAGTAGTTGGAACTATAGAAGCACCATCATGCCTGACTAATTAAAAAAAATTGTAGAAACCGGGTCTCACTGTGTTGCCCAGGCTGGTCTCGAACTCCTGGGCTCAAGTGATCCTCCCACCTCAGCCTCCTAAATTGCTGGGATTGCAGGCAGGACCTACCATGTTCAGCCATGCTCAAAAAGGAATAGGCATGTCAAAAGGTCACAGGAGCCAACCTGAAAGAATACCCAATGGCCAAAGCTGGAACAGTTTGAACAACAAAATAAATGGTGATAGTGTTTTATTATAAGCCAGAGAAAAACCTAAATATCTGTAAGTTCATAGTAATATAAATAACTGAATAAATAAATAAATAAATGGGAGAGAAAGGACAGCTCTTCCTTAGAGAAGAGTTGCAACTAGTGGCTGTAGGAGTAATGAAGAGAACTGGAAAATCACCATTAAAGCACCACTGTAATAATTGTTTCTGGCAAGATCCATCAGTGGTTGCTGAATTAGTGGGTTAATGTTTGAGAGAAACAAGGTATTTGCATATTCCTAAAGTATCTCTCTCAAGATATTTATTAATTACAAACAAAAAAATAGTAACAGTGGAATTGAGAAACCCAGCAGACATCACGTTAACCAAGTGATGAGGGTTAATATCACCAGTAATAAGACGTATCAGCATTGTATATCCCTGCTATGATGCACTGAGAAGGACACAGCATAATGTCTGTAATACATATTCTTGCCTAAAATGCATAATCTCAGTCTAGTCTAATGAGAAAACATTAAGCAAACCCAAATTGAGGAAAATCTACTAAATACCTGATCACTAATCTTCAAAGAGTGTCAAGGTCACAAAAGACAAGACTTGAGGAACTGTCACTGATTAGAAGAGACTTAAAGAAACATGACAAATGCAGCATGAAATTCTGGATTGGATCCTGGAATGTAAAAAGGCCATTGGTGGAAAAAGTGGTAAAATCCAAATAAAGTCCATAGTTTGGTTAATAGTATTGTGCCAATTTTAATTTCTTAGCTTTAACTATTACACTGTGGTTATGTTAGACGTTAACATCAGGGGAAGCTAAGTGAAAGGCATATGGGAACTCCTTGTAGTGTTTTTGCAACTTTTGTATAAGTCTAAAGTTATTCCAAAATAAAAAGTTTTTAAAAGTAATTTTAAAGGCTATATGATTCAGGGGATTTATAGAGCTCTGGCTAAGAGGGTAGGCTTTGGAGTGAGATTCCTTGGATTCTAATCCTGGCTCTGTCACTTATTAACTGTGTGACTTTGAGTGAGTCACTTAACTTCTCTTTGCATCATCAGTTTCATCATCTATAAAATGTAAGGATTAAGAAAGATAATGTAAAATGCGTAAATTAGTGCATGGTACGTTGTCAGTACCAATAGAGAGTAAAATTAGAATGAATGTTTACAATAAAATATTGGGCTGCTATTTAGGCTCCATCTTGCAGATCTACTGGGTATTTGCTTTAATGAAAAATTTTGAGAAACACCTCTCCAGATAGACAGAGTTATAGTTCTTAGCCCTCCTGATTAACTGTTGAGGAGTCTTCCAATGGCTTGGAGGCCCCAGTAGAATTTAAAGCTATTGGCAAAGTAGCTGCAGGGGCCACCCCACACATTAGCATCTCCTTAATAAGCATTGTGGGTATATATATATATATATGGCAAATTAGTTACTCCTAGTGTCTTTTATTCAAGGGTAAACACTTCCTGCATCTAGGAAGTATTTAGTAGTTATGACTTGCTAATTGTATATTGGTTATTTTATGCCAGGACTTCGGGATATGGGAACGTGGAGACAAGACCAACCAAGGGATCTCAGAGTTGAATGCCAGTTCAGTTGGAATGGCAAAGGTAATTTTCCTTTCCTGTTTGTACTAAGTATGGGATGAGGAAGTCTGGTATCCCTTTGTCACAGATAAAACTTAATGTGACTGTGGACCATAATCAAATTAATTATTATTTTAAACCACAGGCAACATTCAGATTCTCCTGTAGAACCATGGATATGTAGATGAAAACTTTCATAAGCTGCAGATTTGATATCCAACTGCTTTTGTGGCATGTCTCTACTTATATTATATGCCATAAGGACTTGAAAGGACTTAAACTAAACTTATCATCTCTACCATTACAAAAACAAGCAAAAGAAGGCTTTTATTCCTTTCGTTTACCAGTTGACCAAGCTTTATATCAAGGAATCATCTTTCAATCCTCTATCCTCTTTATTTTCCTCCATCCCCCAAATCATCATCATCATCATCATCATTAGCAGCAGCAGCATTACTATTCAACTTGGCTCTACTTTTTCATCCTACCCACTATTGTCTTCTCTGGAAACAGCAAGAAGACATACAATAAGATAGCAGGAATAAGATCAAACATATCCATTATGAGAAATATGCATGATTTAGTCTGTCCTACTAATATGCAAAGATATAGATTGATTTTAAAAAATAAAAGGAAATCCAATATATGCTGTCTATAAGAGCTCTAATATAACAAAATGATACAGAAAGGTTAAAAACAGAAGGATGAGCAAAATACAGTCTGACAAGCATAAAATGAGCTAGGGTGACTGTGAATGTCAAGTGAAGTAGAATTCAAAGTAAAAAATATTGCATGGAACAGAGAGGACAAAGGGAGTCACAATAGAATTTTATTCCATTTTTTTATTTTATTTATTTTTATTTTATTTATTTATTTATTTATTTATTATTATTATTATTATTTTTTGAGACGGAGTCTCACCCTGCTGCCCAGGCTGGAGTGCAGTGGCACGATCTTGGCTCACTGCAACCTCCACCTCCTGGGTTCAAGAGATTCTCCTGCTTCAGCCTCCCGAGTAGCTGGGACTACAGGCATCTGCCACCATGCCCAGCTAATTTTTTTTTTTTTTTTTAGTAGAGACAGGGTTTTGCCATGTTGACGAGGCTGGTCTCGAACTCCTGACCTCAGGTGATCCATCTGCCTTGGCCTCCCAAAGTGCTGGGATTACAGGCATGAGCCACTGCACCCAGCCTAACAATCTCATAGTGCACTGAACAACATAACCAAACATCCTTCTATGTCATTTCACACAGACAAATTTAGTTCATTCTTTTCAGCTGCTATACAGTATTTAATAATTGCTCCATTGACAGAATTGTCTTTATTTTTTAACATTCTAGATAATGCTTTAGTGAAGATCCTTGTACATACATCCAGGTAAATTTACACAAATATTTTTATAGGAAAAATTCCTCAAAGTGGAACCCTTAGGTTAAGGGATGTATACTTTTAAATTGCCCTTCAGATATGAACAGACACTTCTCAAAAGAAGACATTTATGCATCCAAAAGACACATGAAAAAATGCTCATCATCACTGGCCATCAGAGAAATGCAAATCAAAACCATAGTGAGATACCATCTCACACCAGTTAGAATGGCGATCATTAAAAAGTCAGGAAACAACAGGTGCTGGAGAGGATGTGGACAAATAGGAACACTTTTACACTGTTGGTGGGACTGTAAACTAGTTCAACCATTGTGGAAGTCAGTGTGGCGATTCCTCAGGGATCTAGAACTAGAAATACCATTTGACCCAGCCATCCCATTACTGGGTATATACCCAAAGGATTATAAATCATGCTGCTATAAAGACACATGCACACATATGTTTATTGTGGCACTATTCACAATAGCAAAGACTTGGAACCAACCCACATGTCCAACAATGATAGACTGGCTTAAGAAAATGTGGCACATATACACCATGGAATACTATGCAGCCATAAAAAATGATGAGTTCATGTCCTTTGTGGGGACATGGATGAAGCTGGAAACCATCATTCTCAGCAAACTATCCCAAGGACAAAAATCCAAACACCACATGCTCTCACTCATAGGTGGGAATTGAACAATGAGAACACATGGACACAGGAAGGGGGAACATCACACACCGGGGCCTGTTGTGGGGTGGGGGGAGGGGGGAGGGATAGCATTAGGAGATATACCTAATGTTAAATGACGAGTTAATGTGTGCAGCACACCAATATGGCACATGTATACATATGTAACAAACCTGCACGTTGTGTACATGTACCCTAAAACTTAAAGTATAATAAAAAAAAATTTCAAATGAAAAAAAAAATAAATTGCCCTTCAAAAATATTTCCACTAGTTTACATTTCCCATCCTCATATGATAGATATACGTCATTATGTACCATAGATGTCATTTTTCTTTTCTTTTTTTTTTAATCATATGCTGTTTCTTTCAGTGAATGAAAGTGTTTGACAGAGAAATACCTTTGGAAACAAATATTGAGAACATGTTATTACAACTTGTTTCTTTTTGCACTGGTACTTATTATTACAAATTTACATATAGAGCTTTTTTGCCACTTTTCTCAAACTCTCACTACCTGGATATTATCAATATTTTTGTATATTTGATTTAAAGTTTTTTACCATTTAAACTTTTTTACTTTTTATTTTGTAATCATTTGTGACTTAGAGGAAAGTTATAATAATTGTACAAAGAATTCCTATATAGTACCCTTCACTCAAGTTCCCTACTTGTTAATATTTGCTTTATCTTTTTCTCTGATTAAACAAAACAAACACACAAACACACAATTGTTTTTTTCTGAACCAGTAGAGAGTACATTGCAGACATGATGCCCCATTACTCCTAAATATTTCAGTGTGAATTTCCTCAAGGACTCTTTTATAACCATGATACAAGCATCAAAATCAGGAAATGAACACTGGCATTATACTGCCACCTAATTGATATAGCCCATTCAAATTTATTTAGTTGTCCCAATAATGTGATTTATAGCAAAAAAAAAAAATCCTTTTGATCCAGGATCCAGTCTAAGATAACATATTACATTTAATTGTAATGTCTCTTTAGGCTTCTTCCGTCTGAAACAGTGCCTCAGTCCTTACTTGTCTTTCATGACCTTAGCATTTTTGAAGAGCATAGGCCAGTTATTTTACAGAATGTTCCTCGATTTGATTTTGTGTGATATTTCCTCACGATATAGGTTCAGGTTATGTGTTTTTGGCAAGAATACCACAGAGGTGATGCTGTGTCCTTAGTTTATCATCAGGAAGCACATGATGTGAATTTGTCCCATTACTGTTGATGTTATCTTTTATGACTTCATTAAGGTGGTATCTGCCAGGTTTCTCCACTGTAAATTTTCTATTTTCCCTTTGTAATTGCTATGACTTGAATGTTTGTGGTCCCCCCTCACCAAAATTCGTATTGAAACTTAATTACCAATGTAGCAGTATTGAGAGGTGGAGCCTTTAAGCCGTGACTGGATCATAAGGGTTCTTCCATCATGAATGCATTAATCAATTCATGGATTAATGGATTAGTGAGTTATCATGGGAATGGGACTGGTGGCTTTATAAGAAAAGGAAGAGACACTTGAGCTAGCACACTCAGGCCCCCTCATCATCTGATACCCCATTCCACCTTGGGACTCTGCAGAGTTTCTACCCGCCAGAAGCCCTCACCAGATGGGGCCCCTTGACATTGGACTTTATCAGCATGATGAACGGGAGCCAGGTGCTATTCCTCAAGACAATGGAGGAAAGACCCCAAGGCATTTCAGAGATCTTAGATGCTGCCTTTTCCATCACAGGTCCAAAGGCCTAGGAGGGCAGAATAGTTTCAGGGGACAGGCCTGGGGTGTTCTTTATGGGCTGTGCCCAGGACTGCCTTGGAACTGTACTCCCGGCACCCCTGCTTCAGTGTTCACTCAGCTCATGCCACTACTCCAAAAGGTCCAAGTGATAAACCTTGAAGGTATCCATGTGGTGTTAATTCTGCAGGCCCACAGAATGCAAGAGCTGCAGAAGCATGACAGTTTCCACCTGGATCTCAAAGGATATATAAAACAGCTTCTGTTCTGAATGGTATTGCCTAGGTTTTCTTCTAGGGTTTTTATGGTTTTAGGTCTAACATTTAAGTCTTTAATCCATTTTGAATTAATTTTTGTATAAGGTGTAAGGAAGGGATCCAGTTTCAGCTTTCTACATATGGCTAGCCAGTTTTCCCAGCACCATTTATTAAATAGGGAATCCTTTCCCCATTGCTTGTTTTTGTCAGGTTTGTCAAAGATCAGATAGTTGTAGATATGCAGCATTATTTCTGAGGGCTCTGTTCTGTTCCATCGGTCTATATCTCTGTTTTGGTACCAGTACCATGCTGTTTTGGTTACTGTAGCCTTGTAGTATAGTTTGAAGTCAGGTAGCGTGATGCCTCCAGCTTTGTTCTTTTGGCTTAGGATTGACTTGGCGACGCGGGCTCTTTTTTGGTTCCGTATGAACTTTAAAGTAGTTTTTTCCAATTCTGTGAAGAAAGTCATTGGTAGCTTGATGGGGATGGCATTGAATCTATAAATTACTTTGGGCAGTATGGCCATTTTCACGATATTGATTCTTCCTACCCATGAGCATGGAATGTTCTTCCATTTGTTTGTGTCCTCTTTTATTTCATTGAGTAGTGGTTTGTAGTTCTCCTTGAAGAGGTCCTTCACATCCCTTGTAAGTTGGATTCCTAGGTATTTTATTCTCTTTGAAGCAATTGTGAATGGGAGTTCACTCATGATTTGGCTCTCTGTTTGTCTGTTATTGGTGTATAAGAATGCTTGTGATTTTTGTACATTGATTTTCTATCCTGAGACTTTGCTGAAGTTGCTTATCAGCTTGAGGAGATTTTGGGCTGAGACAATGGGGTTTTCTAGATATACAATCATGTCATCTGCAAACAGGGACAATTTGACTTCCTCTTTTCCTAATTGAATACCCTTTATTTCCTTCTCCTGCCTGATTGCCCTGGCCAGAACTTCCAACACTATGTTGAATAGGAGTGGTCAGAGAGGGCATCCCTGTCTTGTTCCAGTTTTCAAAGGGAATGCTTCCTGTTTTTGCCCATTCAGTATGATACTGGCTGTGGGTTTGTCATAGATAGCTCTTATTATTTTGAGATACGTCCCATCGATACCTAATTTATTGAGAGTTTTTAGCATGAAGCGTTGTTGAATTTTGTCAAAGGCCCTTTCTGCATCTATTGAGATAATCATGCGGTTTTTGTCTTTGGTTCTGTTTATATGCTGGATTGCGTTTATTGATTTGCGTATATTGAACCAGCCTTGCATCCCAGGGATGAAGCCCACTTGATCATGGTGGATAAGCTTTTTGATGTGCTGCTGGATTTGGTTTACCAGTATTTTATTGAGGATTTTTGCATCGATGTTCATCAGGGATATTGGTCTAAAATTCTCTTTTTTGGTTGTGTCTCTGCCAGGCTTTGGTATCAGGATGATTCTGGCCTCATAAAATGAGTTAGGGAGGATTCCCTCTTTTTCTATTGGTTGGAATAGTTTCAGAAGGAATGGTACCAGCTCCTCTTTGTACCTCTGGTAGAATTCTGCTGTGGATCCATCTGGTCCTGGACTTTTTTTGGTTGGTAAGCTATCCTTCACGTCTAAAACACCAAAAGCAATGGCAACAAAAGCCAAAATTGACAAATGGGATCTAATTAAACTAAAGAGCTTCTGTACAGCAAAAGAAACTACCATCAGAGTGAACAGGCAACCTATAGAATGGGAGAAAATTTTTGCAACCTACTCATCTGACAAAGGGCTAATATCCAGAATCTACAATGAACTCAAAGAAATTTACAAGAAAAAAACAACCCCATCAAAAAGTGGGCAAAGGATATGAACAGACACTTCTCAAAAGAAGACATTTATGCCACCAAAAAACATGAAAAAATGCTCATCATCACTGGCCATCAGAGAAATGCAAATCAAAACCACAACGAGATACCATCTCACGCCAGTTAGAACGGTGATCATTAAAAAGTTAGGAAACAACAGGAGCTGGAGAGGATGTGGAGAAATAGGAACACTTTTACACTGTTGGTGGGACTGTAAACTAGTTCAACCATTGTGGAAGTCAGTGTGGCGATTCCTCAGGGATCTAGAACTAGAAATACCATTTGACCCAGCCATCCCATTACTGGGTATATACCCAAAGGATTATAAATCATGCTGCTATAAAGACACGTGCACCCGTATGTTTATAGCCGCACTATTCACAATAGCAAAGACTTGGAACCAACCCACATGTCCAACAATGATAGTCTGGATTAAGAAAATGTGGCACATATACACCATGGAATACTATGCAGCCATAAAAAATGATGAGTTCATGTCCTTTGTAGGGACATGGATGAAACTGGAAACCATCATTCTCAGCAAACTATCACAGAGACAAAAAACCAAACACCGCATATTCTCACTCATAGGTGGGAATTGAACAATGAGAACACATGGACACAGGAAGGGGAACATCATACACCGGGGCCTGTTGTGGGGTGGGGGGAGGGGGGAGGGATAGCATTAGGAGATATACCTAATGCTAAATGACAAGTTACTGGGTGCAGCACACCAACATGGCACATGTATACATATGTAACTAACCTGCATGTTGTGCACATGTACCCTAAAACTTAAAGTATAATAGTAATAAAATTAAAAACAACAACAACAACAACAACAAAAAAAAAGAAAAACAGCTTCTGGGCCCAGGCAGAGACTTGTCACAGGGGTGGAACCACAACAGAGAGCCCCCGCTAGAGCAACACTGAAGCAGAAACATGGGGTTGCAGCTTCCACAGAGAGTTCCCACTAGGGCAGGACCACCACTGGGATGCCAGAACTGTGGAGTCACTGGCAGCATGCAAGGTCTGCCTGAGAAAGCTTCAGATACCAGACTGCAACCCATAGAAGCAGCCACCTGTGCTGTACCCATCAAAGCCACAGGGGCAGGGCTGCCTGAGGCCTTAGAGACCCAATCCCAACCTGCGCGCAGAGTCAAAAGGGATTATTCTTCAGCTTTCACATTTAATGTCTGCTATGCTGGGTTTAAGACTTGCTTTAAGCCTGTTACTGCTTTCTTTTTGCCTGTTTCTCTCTTTTAGAATGGGAATATCTCTGTCTGTCTTATGCCTGTACCACCATTGTATCTTGAAAGTTGATAACTTGTTTTGATTTCAGACTCACGGATGAGATTTTGGACTTTTGAGTCTTATCCTTGGTGCTGGAATGAATTAAGACTTTGAGGCTATGGGGTTAGAATGAATGTATTTATATGTGAGAAGGACATGAGTTTGGTGAGGGTAAGGAGTAGAATAGTAAGGCAGTAATTAATGAGTATTTTGTGCCTGGCCAACTTCTACTTACCCTATAGGTCTCAGTTTAGGTGTCATTTCTTCAGGGAAGACTTTCAAAACTGGCTTCTACCCCCAAGACTAGGTCAAGTCTGCCCTTTAATTGAGGAATTACAGATAACTAATAAATACTAGAAATAATATTCAATCTTGTTAACAATTTAATGCATATGAATGCAACAGATATACCATTTTTTAATCACATTAGGAAAAAATGTTTAAGATAATACATTGTTTGCATTAAGGAAGGTATTGTCATATACTGCTAGTGATAGCTATGTTGGTACAACTTGCAAGAAAAGCAATTTAGCATTATGTCTTAAAAATTATTCATACTCTTTTACCCAATGATTCTACTTCAGGGAATTGATGCTTACAAAATAACTCAAAATGAATACAAAGAGTTATTTTATTAGCTTGACAGTCATTATTGAGAGCCTACCGTATGCCATGGTTTGTGCTAGATATTAGTGAAGACATAATCCCCGACCTCAAGGAATTTATAATTTAGCAAGAGATGTTTATCAAAGTTCTATTTCTAATAGCACAAAATTAAAGGCGACCTAAATTTCCAAGAATTGGTAAATGGCTAAATATACTTTATTATAGCCATATGAGATAATAGTATGTCAAAATAGTGTTTGTAATGTGGAAAAATACTTACACTATATTATTAATTGTAAAAAGTAGGATACCAGATGTGATCTCAACTGTACACAAATAGACATAGAAAAAACTAATAAAAAACATGTCAAAAATGTTAAAAGTGGTTGTTTTGGGTGATTTTCTTGCCCTCTCTGTACTTTACTGTGTTTTCAAAGTATTCTATAAGGAGTGTGTTTTACTTTTATGATCAAAAATATATTTAGAAAAGTAAGAAATAAATAAATAAATTCTATTTTAAAAAACATAATATCTCATTTATATGTGGAATCTAAAGAAGTTGAACTCATAGAAGGAGAGAGTACAATGATGGTTAAGTATGATACTTGATAGTGCTACAGACTCCTTTTTAACTTTCTCTGAGACAATATGGGAGACAAAGAAAAACTCAGAATGCCCTGGGAATAAATAATGTTTTTGTATTATATATTCTGTCAGACATATTCAAAAGTGACATCATGTGTGTTGATAAGATACTGGGATATAGGGAGAAGAAATATATATCTTTCTAATGCTAAACTTGTCCATTTCTTTCTTGTTCCTCACAGGCAGCCCTGGAAGCATTAGATGAACTGGATCTGTTTGGTGTGAAAGGTGGGCCTCAATCAGTTATCCATGTCCTGGCTGATGAAGTACAGCACTGCCAGGTAAAATATTATGGAAAATGGAAATAGCAAATTTTATTCTTGCCCAGACTCAGATTTAAGCATGAGCTTTAGATTAAGGATAGCTGAATGAGAGACAGTGCATCATCTGATTAATTACCATGTACCAAAAATATATTTAACAAGCATACTATACTGAGATAAGCCAAATATAGCATGGGCTATAAAATAGATCATAGTCCTGTTCTCTAGCCAAAGGTTATAAAGGGATCCCACCATACTATGTGGAATTATCCACCACTATCATATCAAAGGGATATGGTCTCTCTTTCTGAGTATCTCCTTTTCTAAATATATAAAGAAAACCAGAGATGATGGATTTGTAGTATTCTTGTTAGTGTTTCTGAAACATTCTCTTGTTCCTGGTTGGCTCTAGGCTTAGATATTTGGAGATTAGACTTTAAGTGGCAAATATGTATTTTCAGTTTTGTTTAGGATTACTCTCCATATTGAAAGATTAAGGTTTTTCTCATTGGCATGAGGAATTTTCTCCTTTCCTTCAAACCCTGATTAGATACCATAGGGTCCTATTGAATATAAACTCATCTCCAATTTTAAAAACACAAAATTTCCCAGAGGAAAAAAGTGGGTCAGAAGTAGAGGAGCTGAGCCTTCCCTATCCTGCTTCTTAGCAGCTGTGTTTTCTCTTGACTTTATTCTTAAGTAGTTGCTAATGGAGCAACAGGACTGTGGGTGGTATAATAATGTTAGAATATTCCTTATCTGTGAGTAACTGGTTAAGAATCAGGATAGGGAAGTATTGAGAGCAGAATTAAGACAAGGGATGATTTTCAGAAATTGCTGGTTTTCTAAGTTCTAACTATTGAATAATGTCTAGATTTTCTTGTGAATGGTCCTCTTCTACATAAATCTTTTGAAACTAAAGCTATTAGTTTTACAATGCTAAGGTATTTACTAACCTACTTAAAATAGATAAAGAATGTTCTTTTCTATTTTGTCAAACATATTCAAAAGTGATATCATGTGTGTTGATAAGATATTGGGGTAAAGGGAGAAGAAATACATCCTTTTATATAAACTTAACTTCTTTTCTCTTAGTCTATCCTAAATTCACTACTGCCCCGTGCTTCAACATCAAAAGAGGTTGATGCTAGTCTACTCTCAGTGGTTTCCTTCCCTGCCTTTGCAGTAGAGGATAGCCAGTTGGTGGAGCTCACAAAACAGGAAATCATCACCAAGCTTCAGGTATGTCCCTATGTACCTTTGTTTTCTTTAAGGCTGTGACTTTAAGGATAAATTGTGCCTTTGGGGGCCTTAAGTATGACCTGTGTCTGTGATTTCAAGAAACCTTTAAGTTTTCTGAGTTGTCTTTATAGTTTCTTTTAAAAGTGTTAAAGCTTCTACAGCCGTTCCTGGTAGCAATGCAGGGTGGTACACCCACTTTAGAAAACAGTTTGGCAGTTTCTTATAAATTTAATCATACACCTGCCTTATAACCCAACTATGTCATCCTAGAAATCTACCCTACAGAAATGAAAACTTATGCTCACAAAAAAATCTGCACACAAATGTTTACAGCAGCTTTATTCATAATTGCCAAAAACTGGAAAAAACCTTCAACAGAGGAAGGGATAAACAAATTACACTATATTCATGCAGTAGAATACTGCTCAACAATAAAAAGATACAAGGTACCAACTTGATCAGATTTAATCATGGTGTATAATCTTTTTGATGTGCTGTTGGATTTGTTTTGACAGTATTTTGTTGAGGATTTTTGCATCTATGTTCATCAGGGATATTGGCCCATGGGTTTTTTGTTGTTCTTGTGTCCTCGTCAGTTTTGGTTTCAGGGTACTGCTGGCCTTGTAGTGAGTTTGGAAGAATTCCCTCCCCTTCAATTTACTGGAGTAGTTTGGTTTTAGCTCTTTAAAAGTTTGGTAGAACTCAGCAATAAAGCCATCCATTCCTGGACTTTTCTTCATCGGAGTACATTTTATTACTGATTCAGTCCCATTACTCGTTATTTGTCTTTTCAGGTTTTCTATTTCTTCTTGGTTCAATCTTGGTAGGTTGTATGTGTCCAGAAATGTATCTGTTTTCTCTAGAGTTTCCAATTTCTTGGCATATACTTTTTGATAATAGTCTCTAATAATCCTTTGTATTTCTGTGGTATCGGTTATAATGTCTCTTTTTTATTTCTTATTTTATTTACTTGGGTCTTTTATTCTTAGTCTGGCTAATGGTTTGCCAATTTTGTTTATTTAAAAAACTTTTCATTTTGTTGATCTTTTGTATTTTTTGGCCTTAATTTCACTTATTTCTTGTTTGGTCTTTGTTATTTCTTTCCTTCTATTAATTTTGGGTTCTGTTTGTTCTTTTCTAATTCCTTGAGGTTCATCATTAGGTTGTTTATTTCAAATCTTTCTACTATTTTGATGTAGGCATTTATTGCCATAAACTTCCTTCTTAGTACTGCTTTTGCTGTATCCCACAGGTTTTGGGATGTTATGTTTCCATTTTCGTTTATTTTAAGAAATTTTAAAATTTCTTTCTTAATTTCTTCATTGACTCGTTGGTCATTGAGGAGCATGTTGTTTAATTTCTGTGTATTTGTACAGTTTCAAAAGTTTCTCTTGTTATTGATTTCTAGTTTTCATTGCAGTCAGAAAAGATAATTGATAATGATTTCAATTTTTTAAAGTTTGTTGAGACATGTTTTATCACCTAACATATGATCAATCCTGGAGAATGTTCCATGTGCTAATGTATTTTCTGTACCTGTTGGATGAAATGCCCTGTAAATGTCTGTTAGGTCCATTTGGTCTATAATGTAGTTTAAATCTGGTATTTCTTTGTTGATTTTCTGTATAAATGATCTATCTAATGCTAAGAGTAGAATGTTGAAGTCTCCCACTATTATTGTACTGGAGTCTAACTCTCCTTTTAGATCTAATAATATTTGGTTTATATATCTGAATGCTGCAATGTTAGGTGCATATATATTTACAATTATTATAACCTCTTGCTGAATTGATGCTTTTATTATTATATAATGACCTTCTTTGTCTCTTTTTACTTTCAACTTAAAGCCTATTTTATCTGATATAAGTATAGCTACTCCTGCTTGCTTTTGGTTTGTATTTGCATGGAACATCTTTTTCCATTCCTTCCAGTTTAGTCTATGTGTGTCTTTACAGGTGAAGTGACTTTCTTGTAGGTATCATGTGAGTCTTGTTATCCATTCAGCCAATCTACATCTAAATTGAGAAATTTAATCTATTTACATTCAAGGTTATTATTGATAAATGAGGACTTTCTCCTGTTATTTTGTTAATTGTTTTCTGGTTGTTTTGTATATCCTTTGTTCCTTTCTTCCTCTCTTATTGTTTATCTTTACAGTTTGGTGGTTTTCTGTAGTGATAAGGCTTGATTCCTTTCTCTTTCTCTTTCTCTTTCTCTTTCTCCTTTCTGTATGTGCCCTTTCTGTATGTGCTCCTTTCTGTATGTACTAGTGAGTTTTATACTTTTGCATGTTTTCATGATGATAGTTATCATATGTTCACTTCCAGTTGTAGAACTCCCTTAGGCATTTCTTGTAAGGCTGGTCTAATTCTGGGTATAGTGTTCTTGCCTGACAGGTTTTTTTTTTTTTTTTTCAGCTCTTAGAATATATCATCTCATTCTCTTCCAGCCTGTGAGATTACTATTGAGAAATCTGTTGCTAGTCTAATGAAGATTCCCTTATATGTAACTTTATGCTTTTCTCTTGCTGTTTTTAAAATTTTCTCTTTGTCTTTGACTTTTGACATTTTGACTATAATGCACCTTTGAGAGAACATTTTTTGGTTTGAATCTATTTGGGAACTTTGAGTTTCCTGGATCTGGATATCCATATTTTTCCCAAGAATTGGGAATTTTTCAGCTATTATTTCATCAGATAGGTTTTCTGCACATTTTCCCATCTCTTGTCTTTCTAAAACTTCCATAATGTGATTATTTGTTTGCTTTATGGTGTTCTGCAAGTCCTATAGGCTTGTTTCATTCTTTTTTATTCGTTTTTTTTTTGTATGCCTGGTTTATTTCAAAAGATCTGCCTCCAAGTTCAGAAATTCTTCTGCTTGATCTCATCTGTTGAAGCTCTTGATTGTGTTTTTTATTTCATTAATTGAATTCTTCTGCGTTAAAGTTTGTTTTTTAAATAATATCTGTTGAATTTCTCATCAGATCATGAATTGTTTTCCTGATTTTATTATCTATCTTTATTCTTTTATATCTTGCTGGGTTTCCTTAAGATCATAATTTTGAGTTTCTTTTATAACATTTCATAAATTTCCTTTTCTTTGAGGTCTGTTACTAGATAATTATTACGTCCCTTTGGATGTGTCATGTTTCCTTGCCTTTTCATGTTTCTTGTGTCCCTGAATTGATATATGCACATCTGGTGGAGCAGGTACCTCTTCCAATTTATGGAGCAGCTTTGATAGGGAAAGACTTTCCTGGAGATGGGTCCTAAGGTGTTGGTTTAGGTAGGATACACTGGCTTTGGTTCTAGGTGGACACAGTTATTATAGTCTCTGTGCAGTTTCTTGAGCTGTAATCCACATAATAGATGTTTGTGAGTACCTCAATGGCCTAGGCTGCAGGAGTTGTGAGTGTGGTGGGTAGCTTTGCTAGGGGTGGGCTCCTGAACAGACTGATTTCCGGGCCTGGGGTGTAGACATGCATGAGGAGAAGGGCTGCCAGACTGTTTTTCTAGCCAAGGTCATAGGCACATGGCAGGTCAGCTGGTTCAGAGACTGGTTTGCCAACCAGGGGCAGGGCTGCTGGGCTATTTCTGTGCCTGGGGGCGTGGGACTTGGGAACTGGCTTGCCAGGGGTGGAGCCACTGGGCTGTTTCTCTGCCCAGGGACATGGGTCCATCAGGCTGTTTCTCCGTCAGGCTGGTCCAGGGTTGGCTTTCTACTATGCAGGACCAGAGTCATGGCCATTCCTGGGGCCAGGCTTCGAGCAGCTGAGGTCATGGCACTGCAGCCACCTGTGTGGGGTTGGTGAAATGATGGCAAAGAGTCAAGGTTGGAGAGGTACAATGGCTACTGGCCCCCAGAGTAGGGGGGCCAACTACTGCACTCCTGCAGTAGCTCCAGTTTCAAGATGGCACTGTACTGCAGCAGCTTTGGTCATGAGAAATAGGAAGTGCACAACATGTACTTGTACTCTGGAGTAATATAGTTGTGTGAATTCTAGGCAGCTCCCCAAACTGGGCTCAGCACTTGGGAGGACTGTAGGATTCTCCTATAGTAAGGACTGCAGGTGTCTGGGCTGGCAATGAGGGACGGTGGGAGCCTTTTGCTTACCTTTTCCCTGCAAGGGGAAGTCCCTCCTGTCTCTGAGCCAATCCCAATAGGGGAGATGGGGCAGCAGAGCCAGGGTGCCTCGCTCTCCTCTCTATGCTGCCATCCTGGGCTTTTCTACTTCACAGGGTTCTTGCTGCCAGTCACTTGCTACACCACAGTGCTCTCCCTCAGACACTCCACTTGAATTTTAGTTGTTTATTAGTTGTTTTGGTCCTTTTTTGTGGGGAAGACAAGCACCAGGCACCTCTAGTCAGCCATCGTGCTCTATGTTGATTCTTTTTTTTTTTTTTTTTTTGTCAGTACATTCCAAACATGTGTAACCAATGAACATGGCCTAGGGTTTTTTTTTTGTTTTTTTTTAATTGGTATTCACTTCAGTAACTTCAATCCACAGATACAAGCAGTATATAACCAGAAAGTTACAAGTAAACACAGATTATACATGCACATTTCTGTTCACAAAGGTCACATGTGCAGGTACATGAATTAGAAGCGTGCATCTAGGATTATGGCCAAACTGTTTTTAAGATGCAGAAATATAAAATTACATCTTGAAAATATGAAGAGGTGGTCTACACACTTCAAAAATCAAATGTTGCTTACACCAGAGATGTATGACGATTACAGGATTCAAGTGACAAGCAATAAGATCTCAAAAATTAGTACTGGTCAAAGAGAATGGGAATATTTTTACGTTTCACTGAAAATATTGACTACTAGAATATAAAATCTAGCAGGAACTCAGGGAAAAAAATACAAAACCTAAAGCCAATTACTTAATATTTCTTATTACCTAAACAACAGCATGACATTTACAGAAAACTGCACCTGCATTTGAATTGCCAATCTCATTTTAATGAAGTTCTCCAAAAATGAAATGCAACCAAAAAAGGGTCAAACTCCAAATGAAAAGTTTGCAAGGCTCAGATTAAAACATGGAATGTTTCAGATGAAAGTAATAAAAATACTATTGGTTTTGTTCTTTATTAAAT
The DNA here is from genome assembly GCF_000001405.40 of Homo sapiens. NCBI lineage: Eukaryota > Metazoa > Chordata > Mammalia > Primates > Hominidae > Homo > Homo sapiens. The sequence continues at coordinate 72,661,046 of NC_000023.11, read as the reverse complement.
GGAATCAAATACTGACATTTCTTTGAAGCTTGGAACTGCTAAATTTCATTTTCCCAAATGGTTCTGCATTTTTTTCTTAGTGGTGCAAGTTGTCTTAAGTAGCTTACGAAGTCAATCTCTACAAATTACTTCTATAAAACAACTATTCATTAATCGTATGTATTTTTTTGCTATAACACTTAACACATGAACAGACATTATTTCTCCACCAAAACAAAAGAGTACAATAGTTTTCTTCTGTCAGTATTGTATTTAAAAAAGTTTAACATTAAACACAAAGAACCATTATTTTCTTTGAAACCCTTAAATCTTCTTGCACATCTTAAGTTGCCTTCTTCTGTCTGCATTCTTCTGCCAATTTATTCAGAAATTTATTTAATTTCTCATAATGAGGAAGGCTGCTGCAATGAGTATTCTTTGCAACTTCTTTTGTATAAAAGAGTGAACATAGCTTACCATAAAGCCCTGTTTTAGGTATTACATAGTCTATACCAACAGGAACATTGGGCTGTTATGGTCCAATTCTATACTCATCTGGGATTGTATAGTCCTCCTTGTTCTCATCACTTTGGCCATCTGCATTTTCACTTATGTTGATTCTTAGATGCATTTTACTAAGTGAAAAAAAGCCAAACCTCAAAGACTACATACTACATGATTCCATTTACATGACACTCTGGAAAAGGCAAAACTATAGGGAGGAAAACAGATCAGTAGTTGCCAGAAGTTGGGAGGACAGATTGTCTATAAAGATACAGCACTAGAGAATTTTGAGGGTGATGGAATGGTTCTCTATGGACTTATGCTGGTGGACACATGACTATATGTTTGTCAAAAGCTAAGGAATTGTATGCCACAAGAAGTAAATTTAAAGAATCAACCAGGGTGTGTCAAGAAAGATGGAATTCAGACTGAAAAATGAGTCTAATTACATTACAAATGAATCAAGTAACCACACTAAAAGGTATGGAAAAGAAAGGAGCTGACCTAAGTCTTGGAAAACAGTGTTTTGACTAGATACTGCAAGCCTAACCTAAAGACAAAAATAACTGTATACACACACTGTACTCTAGTTCAGGGGTTAGCAAATTACAGCCTGTGGGCTGGCCATCTGTTGTTATAAATAGAGTTTTATTGGAACACAACCATGGTGTATTTACATATTGTCCATGGCTGCTTTCAAGGTACAACAGCAGATCTGAGTAATTGCAACAGATGCTGTATGGTCTGCACAATCTAAAATATTCACTACCTGGTCCTCTATGAAAAAGTTTGCCAACCCCTGCTCTAGTTGATAAATTTGTTTCTCAAAGGGGTACTGGTTGGCAATTCTGAAACTACTTTATCTGTACAGTAAGGTTGACCAAATAAGTAAATATGTAGTAGATATAGTGGGTAATGAGACCTAGGTTTCTCACTGTTACACATAGGGAATGGGAAAAGCCTAGAATGAACCTTGTGATGTTGGATTGGAGAAGGTAGTATCAGTATGAAGTGTGTATGTGTGTGTGTCTGTGTGTCTGTGTGTGTTTAATATAGGGATGTGTGTCTTCCTATATGTGTTTCCTAACTTTGTCCACTGAGAGGGCCCAGAGGCAATGAGTACACCTAGTGTCCAAATGTTGGTTTCTAAATGTCATTCTCAATGAAAGGACTTAGGGCTCCTTGGAGAAGTGGTTGATTTGACTGGGGCAGGGAGGATACAAGGGGAGCCTGGAGTTTCATATGGTTCTAGAAAATAAAGAGGTACTCAGAAAAGTATGGAACATGTCAAAGGAACACAGGAACCATCTGAAAAGTGCTTCTAATGGCCAAAGCAGAAAAAATTTGAACAATAAAATAACTATCATAGTATTGGATTATAACCCAGAGAATAAATGAAATGTCCATAAGTCCATACTGATATAAATAAATAACTGAAAAATGAATAAATAGGAAAGAAGACAGATCTCCCTAATAGGAGAATGTCAATTAATAAATGCTAAAGGAATAAAGGAAATACAAAATTGCCATTAGACAAACACAAGAATAACAATTATTTCAGGAGAAATCTACTGATGGATGCTAAAACCAGTAGACAAAAGCTTAAGCATAACGAAGGTGTTCGAATAGTCTCACAGTATCTCCCCCAAAATATTTAATAGTTACAAATGGAAAATTACAGTGGAGAAATTCAGCAGACACCACTTTAACCAAGTGATCAGGGTTAACATCACCAGTAATAGGACACATTGACATCATGTACTCTCTCATACAATGCACTGAGAAGGGCACATCACTTCTGTGGTATCCTTCCCAATATGCATAACCGTACTCTGATCATGAGAAAACATCAAACAAAACCAAATCGAGGGGCATTCTACAAAATAACTGATGAACACTCTTCAGAAGTGTCAAGGTCATTAAAAACAAGGAAGGACTGAGGAACTGTCATAGATTGGAGGACACTAAGGAGACATGATGACTGAATGCAATATGGGATCCTGAATTGGGTCCTAGAACAGAAAAAAGGACAACTGATGAAATCCAAATAAGTTATGGGCTTTGGTTAATAGTATCGTACCAAAGTTTTTTTTTTTTTTTTTTTTGAAACAAAGTCTCACTTTGTCACCCAGGCTGGAGTGCAGTGGCAGGATCTCGGCTCACTGCAACCTGTGTCTCCCAGGTTCAAGCGATTCTCCCACCTCAGCCTCTTGAATAACTGGGACTACGGTCACGTGCCACCACGCCTGGCTAATTTTTGTATTTTTTTGTAAAGACAAGGTTTCACCACATTGGCCAGGCTGGTCTCGAACTCCTGACCTCAGGTGCCTCCCGCCTCAGCCTCCCAAAGTGCTGGGGTTACAGGCATGAGCCACTACACCCAGCCACCAAGGTTAATTTTTTAGTTTTGGCAGATTTCTATGGTTATATAAGATGTGACTATAACGGAATGGTGGTTGACAGGAATACTGGGATTCTCTGTACTGTTTTTGCAACTCTTCTGTAAATCTAAAATTATCTCAAAATGTAAAAAATATGTGTTTTTTTAAAAAGCTTATGGAGTCTTATGACTTATGAGCTGTATGTGTCTTATGAACAGGACCACATAGATTAGTAATTATGCTGTCAGACTTACCCTAGGTGGATAGCCATGGAGAGGATACTGTTAGGAACACTGCTTTAGTGAAGAGCCTGTCACTTTGCCTTCACTTGAAATCACATTGCTGAAATCTGTTTCTGCTGCTGGATTGATTTTTTGGTTTTAAGCATTATTATATTATTATAGGTTTTTTGGTTTTAAGCATTATGCCTTTATCGGTGATAGGTTGGTGGTACATATAGATGTTGCAAGGATGTATTTCTGATTAATTACATGGCCGTACCAGTGTACAAGCTGCTGACCTTTTTTCTTTGTATTCCCAGGGTCGTTATGGTTGCTGTCGCTTTCTACGAGATGGATATAAAACTCCTAAAGAGGTAGGTTTCTTTTCTCCAAAATGAATCCAAGGTAGAATGGCCACTTCTACCTGCAGCCTCATTCAGAGAAAATATTTACCTCACTGATGGTACTTATAGAGATCACTAAGTAGGATAATGATAACTGATGTTTGCTATATTTGTTGAACTTGGCTTAGCTGCCAAGTTCTCAGTTTGTAGGCCTTTCTGGATTAAGTAAAATAGAGGAAGGTGTAGTCCTTCCACCTCTTGCATTGGTTAGTTTCGGGAAAGAACTACAGATACATGGTAAAATCAGTGGATGAAAGCTTATACAGAAATAGTATTTGCATTGTCTCAAAGTATCTCTCCCAAAATATTTAACAATTACAAAGGGAAAAATCTTTCCATCAGTAGATCTTTCTGGCCCCACATTCCACCTCTTGTAGTTGGTTAGTTCTAAACAGTACTTGATTTTGAAAAGTTTACGTTCCCTTTATTCAACTAGTCAAAAGTTCACCTTGGAAATATCAATGAGAAAAATTCAGTATCATTAAAGGGATTGAACAGTCAATATGAAGCACTTTCACTGGTAATGGAAACATTGTTTAAAGCTTAGATTTGATGTTTGAGAGACATTATGGATTTTTTTAAATCATCGAGCTCAAACTCTTCTGGTCTACTTCCTCTTCCACTTTATTTTTTAGCCTTGAATTTGACTTCTTCCCCTATCAGTGTACTAAAATTATATGTTCTGAAACATCATCATAAGCTCTTAAATGACCAATCCAATAGCCTTTTCTGAATCCTTATTCTCCTTGACTTCTCTATGGTACCTCACTTTTTACCTAGCCCTAAATTCTCTTGAAATTCTTTTCCTATTTTAATTTTCCCACTAGATTATCCTGATTCTTCTCTTTCTGTTATTCCCTTGCCCCACTCTGAGGGTTTACCAAGATTCCATTCTTGAGCAGTTTGCTCATTTCATTTAGTGCTATTTCACAAAGCTCATCTGTAACTTGTACTTCATATGTCACCTCTAGGAAAATGATTCCCAAACCCTCATCTCTAGTTGCCCTTCTAAACATTTCTACTTGTATGTCCTATTATTACAAAAAACTTAACAAATATAAAACCAAACTGAACTTTATTGCAAACCAATCTTATTTCTTCATACACCCTCTTGTGATATCATTGCTATCCCAATTCCGCTAGTTAGAAGTCGCATCATAGAGTACTTGCTAAGGGAAGGGAGTATGTACATGCTCTGCTTCCTGAACACCTTCTCTAAAACAATCAGTAATGAAAACCCGTATTATAATACCTCTGAGCTAAAGATATACATCTAACCTCTGAGTGATGACAGACTTTATTGTGTTTTTACTAGGATCCCAATCGTCTGTACTATGAACCAGCTGAGCTGAAGCTATTTGAAAACATTGAGTGTGAATGGCCATTGTTCTGGACATACTTTATTCTTGATGGGGTCTTCAGTGGCAATGCAGAACAGGTAATAAGCTGGGGAAAGAGTTTTCAGCAGAATGTTTTTGTTATATCTTCTTACAGCTAATAGTATACCAACCCTGTGTCCAGTTGGAAGTCTTCCTAATAGGGGAGAGACAGTTGTTCCCTACAGGCTACTAGTTGAGGGCACTAAGAGTAAAAAGACCTGGATTATTTTTTTCTTCTTTTTAAAAAAATTTTGGTTTCGGCCGCGTGTGGTGGCTCACGCCTGTAATCCCAGCACTTTGGGAGGCCGAGGCGGGCGGATCACGAGGTCAGGAGATCAAGACCATCCTGGCTAACAGTGAAACCCCGTCTCTACTAAAAATACAAAAAATTAGCTGGGCGTGGTGGCAGGCGCCTGTAGTCCCAGCTACTCGGGAGGCTGAGGCAGGAGAATGGCGTGAACCTGGGAGGCGGAGCCTGCAGTGAGCCAAGATCGCGCCACTGCACTCCAGCCTGGGCGACAGAGCGAGACTCCGTCTCAAAAAAAAAAAAAATTTTTGGTTTCACTCCTGACCATTGAGTGCCCAACTATTATCATTGACTTCTTCAGTTTCTCTATACATAATGAAAATAGTTTTTCCCCATTCATTAAAGAATATATTCCTAAAAGTATTTGAATTTCACAGATAAAGACATATTGTAAATGCAACGTACAGTCAGTTCTGCTATAATGATACGTATGCAATCTTTTTTTGTTGTCATTTTTAAGACAGGGTCTCTCACTCTGTTGCCCAGACTGTAGTGCAGTGGCGTGATCATGGCTCACTGCAGCTTCGATCTCCTGGGCTCAAGCAGTCCTCCCACCTCAGCCCCCTGAGTCACTGGGACTATAGGCATATGCCACCACATTCAGCTATTTTTGTTTGTTTGTTTTTTGTAGAGACGGGCCTCGCTGTGTTGCCCAGGCTGGTCTCAAACTCCTGGGCTCAAGCTATCCCTCCTGCCTCAGCCTCTCAAAGTGCTGGGATTACAGGCATGAGCCACCACACCCAGGCCATATGCATTCTTTAAAAATCACCATGCTGGCCGGGCGCGGTGGCTCACGCCTGTAATCCCAGCACTTTGGGAGGCCGAGGCGGGCGGATCACGAGGTCAGGAGATCGAGACCATCCCGGCTAAAACGGTGAAACCCCGTCTCTACTAAAAATACAAAAAATTAGCCGGGCGTAGTGGCGGGCGCCTGTAGTCCCAGCTACTTGGGAGGCTGAGGCAGGAGAATGGCGTGAACCCGGGAGGCGGAGCTTGCAGTGAGCCGAGATTGCGCCACTGCACTCCAGCCTGGGCGACAGAGCGAGACTCCGTCTCAAAAAAAAAAAAAAAAAATCACCATGCTATGCATATTTAAGAAATAAAAACTACAGGGCTTATGAGAAAATGGGGTAAGGAGTGCAGCACATAAAATGTAACACATACAAAATGATAGGAACCTAATAAAAATAATAGTATCATGGCTTTATACATGGTAAATAGTTAAGAAATACATAAATACCACAATAGTTACCGTACTTTCACCTTAAAAAAGACCCAAAGTTTGCTTGTGCAAGTGTGTACCCAAGTTCTCACCAGCTCACCCACCTGGCTCTCATGCCCACTACATAATGTGCAAGAGGAAGAGAACAAAAGAGGGATTAAAAAGAGTGAGAGAAAACAGAGAAAAAGAGCATAAAACAGAGAGGAAAATTTTTTTAAAAGGCTGAGAGGAAAGAGGTAGAAAACTGAAGAGAGGGCAAGGCATGTGGTTGCATATCCAGGGTGGCCATCAGAGGATTGCAGCTTGTAAGTTCAGTAGTGGTGAAAGGAGTGTTATCTGAAATTGGACAGAAAGTAGTAAAAACAGATGTGAATAGGTACAGTTCATCATTCTCCTGAGATATATGCATGTGTGTTTTGTGTATTCTTACATGGCCCAGTTCAGCTGAGTACATTCTCAGTATGAAATTGTGCATAACCAAACATGAAATTCATGTTATACTCAAATTTTTCCCTAATATATCAGAAGCATTGGAACAAATTTGTTTACAAAGAAAGTGTTATAGCAGAACTATTTTTTTTTTTCATCATAAATTACAGTTTTGGGTTTTGTTTTTTTTTTTACATTTTATATATTGCTAAGCTTTAGCAAATGGTTAAGCACAGAACATAAACTTGACCATAATAGAACCTAATTTGGCAGGTAGAAATGCAGTTTTAAGACAATACATCCTCAAATCTAGAAGCTATACTTAAGATATACATAGTGGAACAAGACAGGCCTTTGGAAGCAGACTGCCATGGCTACACCCTGGACTCAACTGTGTACTTGCTCTGATCTTCCACAAATTTACAACCTCTTTGAGATAATTTCCCTGTAAAAAGGCCTTAATTACACATAGCTCCTAGGATAGTTTTTAAAGTTAAATGCATTAAAGTATGCAAAACTCCTAGCATAATATTTGGCCTATAACAAGCATTTAGTAAATACCCTTTCCTTTCTATTTTACTGGGTGAATAAGCTCCTTTGCAATAGGACCTTCTTTGGCTGCAACCTTCTCCTGGGTCCCCAAAGGGACTCTCTGTAAGTCTTTTTTTCCTGCCTTTCTTTTATCTGCAGGTTCAAGAATATAAAGAGGCTCTTGAAGCAGTCCTCATCAAGGGCAAAAATGGAGTCCCACTTCTGCCAGAGCTGTACAGTGTTCCTCCTGACAGGGTGAGTCAGACAGTGCCATAACATGTAGCTGATAGAGAAGAGGAGCAGTACCTTGATCAGACTACCTCATTTGAGTCAAATAATTTTTAATCTTATTTTGTTGTTCTGAAAGCTTGTCTTTAGGTACAGGACAACATAAGTATGATTTTATTTCTTCAAAAATAAAATTTTAAAGCAGTCTCAATGATGGTACTGTTGCACAGTCAGACAAGGACAAGACCAAACCTTAATCTTGAGAATGATGTAGAGATCACTAGGAAAAACTAGGATGATGTTCTGTGTGGACTCTCAAGATTTGGTATTCTCTATTTTTAGGCCAGTAATCCCGGATTGTTTTAATAGATCAGTCTTGGAAAATGAATATGTCTTGTTTTCAGACTGTCATTTTCCCAAAATGCCAGTCGGGTGTAACATTGTTCCTCTTCTCCACTGCAAAAGAGCATTAGACATGGAAGAGAATAGTCTTCCATTCCGGTGAGAATGAGTAGAATAAGCTCCCAGCAACATCAGCAGCACCACCTGAGAGCTTGTTAGAAATAGATTTCAGGCCCTACCTCATACCCACTCAATCAGAATCTGCATTTTAACAAGATCCTCAGGTGATCTGTATGCACATCACAGTTGGGGAGCACTGCCCTAGATTATAGTGATAGTGCTTCACTTTTCAGTGCATTGCATATGTAGCTACATAGGGTATAAATTACAATCCAGTCCACCTTTTTATTATCCAGTATCTTAAACCTTCTATTATTCCTCATCTGGCCTCTTCATCTTTTCTTTTAGGTCGATGAAGAATATCAGAATCCTCACACTGTGGACCGAGTCCCCATGGGGAAATTGCCTCACATGTGGGGTCAGTCTCTATACATTTTAGGAAGCTTGATGGCAGAGGTAAGAGGAATCTTCAAGGCTGTCCCACTTTTTTCTGCCTTAAGTCACCATAATAATCAGATTTTTAAGTAGCTCATTAAATCTGAAGGATGTCTTCTGCCTTTTGCACTTTGCCTTAATTATAGTTTTCCTCCAGGTCTTCAGAGTAGGGAGCATGGCCAACCCTCACAAAAAGCTCTTGCTGCCTGGCAACCATGTCCCTCCTGCTGCCCGGGGCTCCCTACTTTGGCACTGTATTTGGAACTGCTCAGGCCCCAGATCTATCCCTTTCAAAACTTCCCTCAGTGCCCTGCCTGGTGACTAACAGATGCATTTGTGCTTAGCTAGTTAATTACTGATAATGGATTAAGTGCTAATGCTTCCAAGCAACATGTTTCATTCTTTAACTAAATTAACTGATATTTTTAGGTGCCATGATAAGTGACTAGGAACATCATGACTTTTTTTTTCTTTGCTTGGGTTTTTATGTTTGTTTGTATTTTGTTAAGGGTCTCTCTAAATGTTCCTTATATCAGATTCTGTTGAGATTGCCCTTAATGAGGCATTTGGGAGTTTCTGACTTTGTGTCCACCTTCTTTGTGACATTTTGAGCCTGCACAGAGGCATTCTGTTTCTCAGAAGTTTTTCATATCATCTGGCAAGTCTACTTCCCCACTCTATGTTATTTTGATAAGATATAACCCAGGCTCCTAGAGGATCAAGAGTGGGACTTAACTATCCTATCTGAGTCAGACTCTTTGACCTGTTTATGTATAACCACTGATTTTTGCAGCTGTTTTGTTCATTTTCCTTGTGTGGCTGTGGCCATGGCTGTTTGATTACTCTTAGTCGACATTACTAAATGAGTCTAGCAAAAGTGGGCAGAATGGTTTGTTTAAGTAATCCTTACCTGGTGACTCTCTCATTCAATTAAAATAAAGTAAAGGCATTGATAAAAAGAATACCACAGTGATTGGTATTCTTTTTTTTTCTTTTTTTAAAATTTATTTTATTTTATTTTACTTTTTGAGACAGAGTTTCACTCTTGTTGCCCAGGCTGGAGTGCAATGGCACGATCTCGGCTCACCACAACCTCCGCCTCCCGGGTTCAAATGATTCTCCTGCCTTGGCCTCCCAAGTAGCTAGGATTACAGGCACGCACCACCATGCCTGGCTAATTTTGTATTTTTAGTAGAGATGGGGTTTCTCCATGTTGGTCAGGCTGGTCTCGAAAGCCCAACCTCAGGTGATCCGCCCTCCTCAGCCTCCCAAAGTGCTGGGATTACAGGCGTGAGCCACTGCGCCCGGCCAGTGATTTGTATTCTTAAGGAAAAAATAGGTGAGTTCATCCCATTTCATAAAGGGCAGAAACTCAAGTCAAAAGATTTCTGATGTGCAGAAGGCATAGTAGATACATGAACAAATGAGAATACAGCAGGACTAATGGCTTAAATTACTGATAAGCTGTGTGATCTAATCATCTAATCATATGTATATCCAGAGAAGATAGAGGAATAACCAGAAAACTTTGTTTATTTATAATTTATACCCAGCTGGGTGCAGTGGCTCATGCTTATAATCCCACCACTTTGGGAGGCCAAAGCGGGAGGATTGCTTGAGTCCAGGAGACCAGCCTGGGCAACATAAGTGAGACCTTGTCTCCATGAATAAACTAATTAGCCAGGCGTGGTGGCACACGCCTGTGGTCCTAGCTACTTGGGAGGCTGAGGTGGGAGGATCACTTGAGCCCAGGAGGTTGAAGCTGCAGTGAGCCATGATTGCACCACTGCACTCCAGCCTGGGTGACAGAGAAAGACCCTGTCTCAAAAAAAGAAAACAAATTATACCCTACATATTTATACCCTACCTAAAAAAGCATTTGTGGCAGCCAATAGCAATTAACTCTGGATAAAAGGAATTGTGGTGTGAATTTGGGAATTCAAACATTTTCATACAGTGAAGGCATTTGTTTCCTTTCTACACCTGTCTCTTGAATGTTATGGTGCAAGGTTATGGGCATAGGGATGTTGTTTTCCCTCAAGTATTAGTTTCTCTTTTGAGACTTAATAATCTGTCTTTTTATGGTTTTTCTTTAGGGATTTTTAGCCCCTGGAGAAATTGATCCCCTGAATCGCAGGTTTTCTACTGTACCGAAGCCCGATGTTGTGGTTCAAGGTATGTATTCTTATTCCCAGTGGAAGAAACTTTATATTAAAGGTCTGGTTATGGGCAGAGATCTTTAGGCTAGTAAATTATGACTTTATTCTATATGTTGCACTTTATTAGGCTTCAAAATGTATACAATGAACTTTGTTCGGTTTGGTTTCAAAATGCTGGTTATCTTAATAATAAACAAATGAATGATGTTCTATGTCAGATGACTCCAAAATATTATTTGACACCCTTAACCACTCCTTATATCTGGAAATTATTTTCTTTTCATTGTCATAACATTTTAGCCTCCTGGTTATCTCTGCTTTTTCTCTGACCACTCCTTCTGTGCTATTTCTACTGTACTTCTTTCTTTATATATCCTTCTAATGGTTCTGCGCTTAGTATTTTTTTTTTTTTTTGAGAGGGAGTCTCTTTCTGTCACCCAGGCTGGAGTGCAATGGGGCAATCTCGGCTCACTGCAACCTCCACCTCCTGGGTTCAAGCAATTCTCTTGCTTCAGCCTCCTGAGTATCTGGGATCACAGTCGCGCACCACCACGCCTAGCTAATTTTTGTATTTTTAGTAGAGACGGGGTTTCACCATGTTGGTCAGGCTGGTCTCGAACTCCTGACCTCGTGATCTGCCTGTCTCGGCCTCCCAAAGTACTGGGATTACAGGCGCGAGCCACTGCGCCCGGCTGCACTTAGTCTTATACTCTTGTCTTTCTGTATTTACACTCTGTATTAGGTAGCTAAGCCTGCCTCCTTCATAGTAAATTTGCTTCCATGGCCCCAACTATTACCTCTTTGGAGAATACTCCAAACTTTTGTTTTTATTCCTAACAATTTACTTAAATTTGGGGCATCTACTTTCTGCAGAACTCTAGGCTGAGTTCTATAAACATGTTAAGAATTCTAGTCCCAATATCTATAAAACTTCTGTGCCATTTACATTTCAAACACAAAACTGACCTCTTTTGTCTCCATCCCATCCTTTTCCTCTCCTAAGAAATGCAAATCGTTCTACCTTCCTTATTTCTCTCAATGATATCACCATTATTCTAGTCTCTTAGGGTAGAAGACTTGAGGTAAGTTTTTACTCTCTAACATCACAATCCAATGTGGTGTTGTGAAACTCCTTTGAGATGTCTCCAATCACTTGACTTTGGGGTTGGTTCTATATGGAAAATAATCTCGTGTGTTTTCTAAATTTTCTTATACTTGGCATCCCATGTGGTCATACAGGTAGTTCTTGCTTATCAATGTATATAGCAAACATTATATAAAAGTCATTACTCTTCCCTTCCCATGAGAGATCTTGTTCTCCTTTGAGGTTTATTCCACCTGTCTATGTTGATCTCCTGGTTGCTCTAATTCATTCTTTGAAGACTTTGAGGCCTGGCTACAGCCTTCCTCTTCCTCTCCAAATCCTGCCATAGAACTAGATTTTAGCATTGACGTCAGTGCAGTCTAACACTTCAGTCTCAAAGTTCTAGATATCCATAACTCTAGTGACCTTTCCTTCTACCTATACTTTTAGCCATTCACTCAAAGGACCAAACTTTAAGGCTCTTTCACTTCAGATACCTGAAATTCCAATATTCTACTCTGTGATCATAGTCATAACATTATTTCAAGTTTCTTTTTCTTCCCTTTACCCTTGTTTCTATTTTCCCCTAGTTTACCCTTCTCTACCTCATGGTTGTTCATCTAAATCTCCCAGTCACCAATGCACCATAATTTCTATTAGAACCACTCGAAAAATCACAGCCCCAGGTCAGTGTTACAGTCTGCATTTTCTGATCCTTTACCTGGCCTGCTAAAAAGCTATTGGGGAAAAAAAAAGACACAAATGAGCAGAGTGGTGGCACTGGAAATCGTGGTCTCCAACTCAGCTAGGTTTACAGTGCCTCCTGTTCATCCTTGTTCTTGTTAGTCAGCATTTTCATACTTCTCAACCACTATTCCACACCTTCTCTGTTTTCAATCCCCACCTCTTTTTTTCAGCCTAATTCTTGGCCTGCTGCTTCATGCCTGACAATATTCTGATCTTTGTCAGTGTCTCAGCCCTCCCCACCCCTACAGTCTTACCTATCCTTGCCTCATTTTCTGCAATCTCAGGAAAAGGGTTTCTTCTCCTATTCAAGGACAAGTCTTCCTTCTGATGTTTGATCATTATCTTCTTCCCCAGCATTCTCTAGAAACTTACTCTTTCCTGGAATCCTCAAACTCTCCCATTCTGTTGGTTCTATTTTGTTTAGTCTACTGACATGTTCATCTCCCTCTAGTTACACTATATAGCTTCTTTCTTTCTCATCCAAACTTCCACTTTTTTATCTTCCCTTTATTCTGCAGTATTTTGTAGTCTGGCTTACTACTATGAAAATGATCTTGCTTAAGTTACCAGTGACCTTTGTATTGCCAAATTTGGTAGGTACTTTTTAATCTGTATCTTACTGGAGTATTTAATCTGTATCCCATGTCTTCTATGATGCCATACTCTCTTGAATTTCCTTCAACCTAGATTAAGCACATTTCTTTCTCATTCTGGTCTTCCTCTTCTTCTTTGCCCCCTAACTATTAGTATTTATGAGAATTCTGTCCTTAGCCCACTGCTCTTGCTTATATAAATATTTCTTTCTGTTCCTCAGCCTCCTCCTATTCCAACCTTTTCCTTCTTCCCTTTTCCCTCTTTCCACCTTCTTACTTCTTCCCTCACTCTCAGAAGATGATCTCACCTCCTATACCATAGATGAAATACAAGCCATGATGTAAGAACTCCTCCACTTCACCCCCAGCTTTTCTTCATTTGCCCATGTCTTTTATGTTGGCATTTTCCAAGGTTATATTCTAAGTCCGCTTCTCCTTTTCTCTATGTATTCTCCTTGACCCATCTCATCTCTTTCTATGCTAATGACTCCTGAATCTGTATCAGCTTCCTTTAAGGTAGCCTCACTTGGGTGTCTCACTTGCCCTGTAAATTTATTCAACATGTCTAAAATTATTCAGCTATACCCTCCTAGTACTACATCACCCATACCTGCTTTTCCTCCTATATGCCTGTGTCATTAAATGACACACCATCCTCCCAGTTACACAAGTAAATACCTAGGGAATCCTCTCTCTCATCTCCTACATTCAACAGTTAACAAGTTCTGGCTGCTTTATTTCCTAAATAATTCTGAGATCCATCCAGTTTTCTCCAGTACCAATATCTTGATCCTAATGGAGGTAGTCAACATCTCTTCCTTGCATTACTGTAGTAACTTTTTTTTTTTTTTTGAGATGGAGTCACTCTGTCGCCTAGGCTGGAGTGCAGTGGCGCAATCTCAGCTCACTGCAACCTCTGCCTCCTGGGTTCAAGCAATTCTCCTGCCTCAGCCTCCGGAGTAGCTGGGATTACAGGCACGCACCTCCACACCTGGCTAATTTTTTTTATTTTTAGTAGAAATGAGGTTTCACCATGTTGGCCAGGCTGGTCTCGAACTCCTGACTTCAGGTGATCCACCCACCTCTGCCTCCCAAAGTGCTGTGATTACAGGTGTAAGCCACAGCGCCTGGCCCTGTAGTAACTTTTTAGCTGGTCTCTCTGTCTTACTACAGTCTATCAGTTTATTCTCTGTCAATCTGAATGTACTATTTTTAAGGTACAGGTATTAATATGGTATTCCTCTGATTATGCCTCTACAAGGGCTTCCCATTGGCAGTCTCCTTAATATGACTTACAAGACCCTTTAGATCTAGCCCCGACCCCATCTCCAGCTTCATTTTTTATCACTGCCCCTTTATGCTACATGTTCCTGTTATAAAGGGCTTTTTATAATTCCTAGCTCTGCCTTGTTTTCTGTTCCCTTGAGCCTTTGCCCATGCTATTTCTTCTGTCTGGAACAATTTCTTCCTTACCTTTACCATATCCTGTTGCAGGTTAACTTCTATTCAGGCCTCTAGGAGGACTCTATAGCCGTCTCATTTTTTCCATGTAGGGATCATGTCCTTAACATATGGCAGTGCCTAGCACATAAGAGGCACTAAATAAGAATTTTCTAAATATTTTATAAAACAAAAAAATGAGTTGCTTGGGTTGAAGGTACTCCTGGGGCCCCAGAGTATTGTTCACTTGACTGTCTTTCAGTCCCCTCTACTCTTACAACCAATTCCCATGAAGAATCCTAAGGCTCAGTAGAAAGCAGTTTGGAAAGCATGGCCCAAAGATGAAATACAAAATCCTTCAAGTGATGCATATGCCCTTCACGATGCTCTAACTCCTGTCTATCTTTCCAGATCCATTTCTTTTGCCACTATGCAAGGTATATTATGCTACAGCAATATTGAAGTGTATGTGGTTCTTCCCACCTCCCTCTATACATGCAGCCATGCTGTTTTTCATCTCTGTGCTTGATAAGTTCATTCTGGACTCTCTTCCTAGAAGGGCTATATCCTTCCTAATCCCTTGTTTCTCCTAGCTAACTTATTCATTATTTCAAACTCAGTTTAGGCATCAACACTTTGCAGAAGCCTTTCCTGATACTACTCCTCCCAACCCCACACTACCTAGGTGTCACTCCTGGATGGTCTCATAAAGTTTTGTGCACTTATCTCTATTTACCTAGCAGGTCATTTTACAATCCATGTGTATGCCACTTCGGTTACACTGTGAGCTCCTTGAGGGAAAGACTAATTTATCCATTTCTGTATCCCTAGTGACTAGCATAGCACCTCATCCATTGAGGTACTTAATAAATGTTTACTAATGAATGAATGAATTGCCAAATGTTTTTTCCTGGACTGTCCTCAGCCCCCTATCATTCTTCCTCTGCATATTTTTCCCTGAAGAATCTCTTTTATTTTCATGTTTTCAGTTAGAAGTAATCAAGATGGTGTTATGTCCAGGGGACTCTGTGATCAACATATCCTGCTATCCTGGCCCAGACAACAGCAGCCCATTAGCATGAGGTTCCCAAGATAGAAAAATACACAAAGGATAATGGCAAAGGAAGGCAAAGTAGCACTTTGTTAACTAAGCCTTTGCTTCAAAAACTCAATGTAGAAAATAATGGTAAGCCAAGCAGTGCATTCTTTTTCCTGTGAACAATCCATCACATCTACCAGCACTAGAGGAGCAGGAGTAGAGGGCACATTTGCCACAGTTGCTTAGTGTCAAGACAGCTAAAGCCTCAATTGGATTACTGGCCCCCAGCCAGGTGTCTGTTCCATATAGCGAAAGTGAAAAAAGAATCAGGAAGCTGGCCTAGCCTCCTCTCTTGTAGTTGGGCTTCCTACTTCAGTGACAGGAGTATAAGAGGAAGAAAAGAGAGCTGTCCAGGCTTGTCAGGCTCTGAATCTAGAGAAGTTTCATCCCCCATCTCTCCCCAGCACCCGCTACCTGCTGCCTAAAAAACACACAGTTTCAACTATAATACCTTCTATATGTTGATGACTCAAATTGTTATCCCCAATTCACCATGCCTTCTATCATTCTCTAGCTATAGGCAACTCTTGTCATTAGGGTGTTCTTTATTACCCCCACATACCTGGCTCTGACCTTAGGTTTACTGATACAAAAGAACTCGGGGAATCAGTTTTTACCAAAGCTATACCAAATCTCATGATGGATTTTTCTCCCATTTAAACATGGAATCTTAGATATAAAAAGAGTGTGGTATTCTCTAGGAGCACATAAGTATTTAGGCAAAAAGCAAAATCTAATGCTCTAGTCTTGAGATCTTTTCATTTTCCTTTTCCTTTTAGATAATATTATTTAGCATGATACTTATTTTATCAAAGTTCCTCAATAACTGTTCATTTCCTCCCATTTCCTTTTTTTCTCTTTAAAAGAAATTATATAACTTGAGAGATTGTTAAGTTGCTATTGAAATAAAATTTTCTGTTGACCTCATCTTCTTTGTCTCCTCTAGTCTCCATTCTAGCTGAAACAGAAGAAATCAAGACCATTTTGAAGGACAAGGGAATTTACGTGGAGACCATTGCTGAGGTATACCCCATCAGAGTACAACCAGCTCGTATTCTCAGCCACATTTATTCCAGCCTAGGTAAGGAGATTGGCTAGCCTGCTAGAATCAAAGCATTATTCATTATAGGCTGGTTTCCATCCTTTTTTCTTCTTCATGATTGTGTATTGCTTTATTAAGCTGGATCTGAGAAGGAATTTAGAGTCTCTAGAATCCAATTTTCTTACCTTCTCTATTCTGAGCAGGCCTGATAATTTTAGGTGTGTTTTATGAACCCTTTGGGTACATAAGGCATGACTATTATCAGCCAATATTGTATCTTTATTCCAAGTGTGTGCTTAAATAACATGTTCTCTCCTTTCTTGGAGCCTATACCTCTTTTTCAAATACTTGCTTATTTTATATGGAATGATAGCCAAGGAACTTGTTTTTAGGTCTTTTATACTTTGTCATTTAATGAACTAGTTGATAATATAAAAGATTCCTTAATATAATACTTATTTTTAATTAGTACTTATTTTTTTAATTAATTCACATATTAAACTTAGTGATAGATTTTTTGCATTAAACAAATTACTATATTGTTATCTAAAAGAAATTCTAAACTACTCTTGTGGAAGACTGAATAATGACTCCCCAAAGATATACAAGTCCTAATTCCTGGAACCTATAAACCTTAACTTATATGGCCAAATGGACTCATTTGAGATAGGGAGCTTATCCTGGATTACCCAGGTGGTCCCTAAATGTAATCACAAGTGTCCTTATAAAAGGAATCAGAGGAAGACCAGACTATAAAAGTAGGAGATGTGACAACAGAAGCAAGAGATTATAGTGATAAGGCTATGAGCCAAGGAATGCCCACATCATCTAGAAGCTGGAAGAGGCAAGGAATAGATTCTTCCCTGGAGCCTCCAGAAGGAATCAACCCTGCTGACACTTTGGTTTTGATTTTAGTCCCATAATGCTCATTTTGGACTCATGATGCCAAGAACTGTAGAAGTATAAATCTGTGTTGTTTTAAGCCACCAAGTTTGTGGTAATTTGTTATAGAACCAATAGAAAAGTAATACAATCTTAAACCACAAGGGAGTAGATTTGTAAAAGATTGGATCTTAGGTAGTGGATTGCCACTTACAAACCCAGAAGTTAGTTTGTATATGTGTGTGCGCGCGTGTGTGTGTGTGCGTGTATGTGTGTATGTGTACTTTTTTATCACCCAAGAATGGTATGTTAGTAATTACAGTTAAGGCAAGTATTCCCAGCTTAAAACCAGTCTCCTTCCCTTTTCTCTGGCACGTAACTCCAGTCACTTAATTTCTTTGTCTAAATTGAGAGGGAATCAACCAAGGAGGAAAGGACCAAGAGTCAGAGCTGACTTTTGTCTGTCTCTAGGAACATATATTTAATGCCAACAAGGCTTGAACTCCTTGCATTCCGGAGCTATTAACATGGCTTCTGGCTTTAGGAGTATATGGATTTCTTTCTTCCATCTTAGCTATGATGTAGGAATGTCCCTTTCCTAAAAATTCAAATATAACATGATTAGAATTTTCTAAAGAAACTTTGCTTTAAAAAGATAATGAAAAACTAAAATATATACACAAAGAAATTAACAAATTTGTTGAATATGTCTCAGATCCTAATAAATTTCTAAAATCTAGCCACAAATTAGCTTGAATATTATAAAATACTCCTGGTTCCCTCTATTTACTCAACCCTAACTGAGGTAAATACCAAGTCAAGGCTCCTGAAACTTCTGAGGCTGATTTGGGTGGATGCTTTGCTAGGTGGGTTACATACCTCACCCCTTCCCAGAACCTGCTTCCTGTTTTTATTTTTTTTGGCCATTCCCTGTCACCCCAGACCTATAATGCACTTCTAGTCTCCAGATACTAGTCCACTAGCACTAAATCCCTTGAGATAAGGAAGGTATTTCCCTATTTAGCCAACATCTTACCCACTTGAGTACTAGTTGATCTTACAGTCACCTTCTTTGTAACTCTTAGAAGTCTCTGCAGTAATGGGTTTATGCAAGTCCTGTTGGTGATTTTGACCTGATTCTCTCTGGCTCTCACTCAAAAGTTAATAGGTTAATTTTACCCATTGCCTCATTGCATCTATTATTCTAAATCGGCATATCTTACTGGGAAACAGGTAACTTCTAAGCTCTGGGCCATCATTTATGGAATCTGCCTGCCTCACATCAGGTCTCTCCAACAAATAGAAGCAATCTCCTTACTATTTACTTTTTCAAAACCTAGACTCCATCTTGGGCCTCTTACTAAGTTCTTATTTTCTAGCCAAAGGAAATAAAAACTTAATGATGATCAAACATTCCAAGGACTCAAGTGACAAGTGGACATTTATCTTCCTGATACGTTCTTTCATTTGCTTCATTCATTCATTGATAAGCATTTATTGCTCACTTATTATGTACCAGGCACTGGGCTAGATGCTATGGAAGACATAGCCATGCAACTAAATAATCACAGTACAATCTTATAAATGCTATGACCACGGTGTTACATATAAAACACAGAAGAAAGGGGATAGATTTGCCTGGGGAAGTCAGGAAAAGCGTGATAGATGAGGCAACATCTGATGACTTATCAGTCAGATGAGTGACTATTCAAAATTCTATTATTGCAACAGTTTCACAATAAAAAAATTGCCCTAAGGGTACGTCAAATGACAACCATAATTCCATGAAGGAAAAAGGGCTATTTCTTTAACAGGTGTATTTGTTTATATATGTTAACTAAACGGAGTTCTCTTTCTCCCCTCAAATGCTCAGTATTTCATTGTCAGTTCCAAAACATTTTTTTTATTTTTTTAAATTATGAGATTAATCAACTTTGTGAAAGTAAGAACTTAAAATATTAAGTTCAAATCTTTATGTAATGCTAATTCTTTTCTAATCTTAGTGCATATAGATACATTTTAATAGTTATCTTTAACATGCCTATATTCACTTGTGTTCTGTTTGTTTTCACTTATTCTCTCGTGATGCATTTCCACATATTGAAATAGCTATATAGTATTTCATCAAATCAAAGTAATTGTTTCCTGATTATTAGCTGAATATTTTCAAGAATTTTTATCCTTCTATAAATGCCTTTGTATAGACCACTGTTTTCTTAATTGTATATTCTCAGTAAAGGGATTCTGGATAAGCTTGTGAACAGCTTTTTAGCTCTTGTTACATGTTGCCAGATGATTATTTACAAAGACGAACTAATTCATAGTGACATAACTAAGATATAAAATATACCTTTCTTTTTTACTACCCCACTAACATTGGAGTTTTATTTATTTTTGTTAGATAAGTAGGTTTTAGTATGTATAAATTATTTTAATTTTCTATCTTTAATTCCCAGGGACCTGTACGTTTTTCTATTTTTGCTTTACCTCTTTTTTTGAAACTATGTGTCTACAATTGCTTGCTTATCTAATAGGGTCTGCACATTTCTGTATATATTTATCAATTATTTATATTTTATGGTAAGCTTTTATCAGTGAGACTTATATATATTTCCTAGTCTGTTACTTTCTTTTAGATAATTATTTTCTTGCCTGTGTACAAATCTTTAAATATTAGATACATCCATTTTATCAGATATATTTTTCAGTCCTTCAAGAATTATGAATTTATCTCCTAATTCTATCTGAATAGGTATGCTATTCTGGTTCTCTCCAAATTTCATAAGTTGTAAGTTATCTGATTACAAATTGGTATGTATGCATTGACTGCAGGGAACTGGAAAACAGACAAGCACAAAGGAAAAAGATAACAATCGCCTGTAATTCCACCACTCAGAGGAAGCCACCTTTTATTTTGGCATATTTGTTTCCAATCATTTTAAATAAAATAAGTACAAACATGTTTTTAGAAAAATGATATCATTAAGAATGGATTTTGCATTCTGTTTTTCTTGAAAAATAACAGTATATGATAAACTCTGTTACATTTTGGTAAGTAGCCACCTACAATCCAGTTTGATAGCTGTATTAACGTAATTTCTTCAAAAGTTATTTTCATAAATAGCCTTTTTCTGTTAATTTTGCAAATCGTCTCCTTATATTCTTTTGCCATTTTTCTACTGGATACTTGTTGATTTCTTACTGATTTCCATGAGGTATTTTTAAATATATTAGGGATACTGACACTTTCTCTTCCACATGTTATTGAAATATTTTGCTATTTTGTTATTTGCCCTTTAATTTTGTGCTGCTTTTCATGTATAGAAGTTTTATATTTTATGTAGTAAAATTTTCTCTTTTTTTGGATTCTTTCCTTGCTGTTACACTTAGAAAGATAGTCCCATCCCTAGGTCAAATACATTTTCACTGCATTTTCTTTGTTATTTATGGTTACAATTTTACATTTAAGTCTTAGGCTATAATATTAATTTTAGTTTATCCAATGAGGTAAAAATCTGACTTTTTGCCAAGTAACCAATCGTTCCAGCACTACTGATTGAATAGTTCATATATAGGTTGTTTTGAAGTTCCACCTTTATAATTTACTGTACATGCATATACTCACTCACATGTGTGGATACTTTTAATCTTACTTTTTGGTGCTGCTGATCACTGTTTCTTCTTTCCTAGTACTATATTTTTTAAGTTATCATAGTTTCAACCTCACCAATGATTGTGAAAATGTAAGATAAAAGAATAGTGCTATGTAATTTTTTGCCCATCAATTTTACAAAAAAAAGGTAAGATTGCCAATATCCAGTGCTGATGAATATGTGGAGATGTGGACACTCTCAGCACTCCTGGTAGTGTAAATTAGAGGCAGGTAGGCATTACCTATAAAAAAATGTAATGCACATGTCTTTGACCAACAACCTTACTTCTAGGAATCTACCCTTTTCTTTTTCTTTTTCTCCCCCCAAGATGGAGTCTTGCTCTTGTTGCCCAGGCTGGCTGGAGTGCAGTGGCGCGATCTCGGCTCACTGCAACCACCGCCTCCCAGGTTCAGCTGATTCTCCTGCCTCAGCCTTCCAAGTAGCTGGGATTACAGGTGCCTGCCACCATGCCTGGCTAATTTTTGTATTTTTAGTAGAGACGGGGTTTCACCATGTTGGCCAGGCTGGTCTCGAACTCCTGACCTTGTGATCTGCCCACCTTGGCCTCCTTCCCAAAGTGCTGGAATTACAGGCGTGAACCACTGCACCCAGCCCAGAATCTATCCTATATAACATTCGTACAAGTACACAAGGGCATATATTCAAGGATGTTCACTACATTATAATCTGTGGTGGCAAAACAACAATTAGAAGTACTATAATGTGTATAAACAAGAATGGTAGAATTATGTATATTGTATCATAGCTAAAAAGGTAGACTTTCAGCTTCCAGCTGTGATGAAATAGCTTGTATTGGGCTGTCATACTAACAATAACTGGAATGGCTGAATTTTAAAAATGAAGGTGAGTGAAGGCTTCAGAGAGTAATTACAACAGCCAGAACTTGAGAAACTAAAACCTTGGACAGAAGGGACACTCAAAGAATAAACTCACTATTCTCTGTGCAGTTTACCTTTGAGGCATTTGCTGATTCTTAAGTTTTGCTTGCATGAAGTAAGGGGCCAAGAAACTAAGCAGGAAGTCTCACTGTTCTACGGAGACAAAAATTGCATTTCAGGACCTTCCTATGTGGAAGGGGCTGTGATAAACACCTTGGGCTTTCAGTTGAAACCCCTAAAGAATGGACTACACCTTAGGAGTAAGGAAAAACCATAAATAGACGAGTTCTTAGAAAGCCTCAAATACAAATCCTAAAACACAATCTTCTTAATTCCTGATTGGGCTAAGAAGATCTGCTTATACTGTATCTGCCTACTAAAATAAACTGAATCTTCTCTGGAGGGAAATAATGTCATCCAGAGCCTCTACAATTCTTTATACACCGTATTCAGCATTGAAAAAAGAAGACATGACTTAGAAAACCATGACTTGTTATTAATTGGTAAATTAATAAAATTAATAAAAGACAAAAGAAAAAAATAAAACAGACACCCAGACTTCTATTCAACATAGCTTTTTTTTTTTTTTTTTTGAGAGAAGCTCTCACTGTGTTGCCCAGGCTGGTCACAAACTCTTGCGCTCAAGGGATCCTCCCACCTTAGTCTCTGGGACAACAGGCACACACCATCACAGTCGGCCATCATTGGAAGTTCTAGCCAGAGCAGTTAGACAAGAAAAAGATATAAAAGACATCCAAATTGGCAAAGAAAAATTAAAATGGTCTCCATTCACACATGACATGGTTTTATTTAAAAAACAAAAACAAAAACAAAAAAAACCTGTGAGAACTAATAAACAAATTCAGCAAACTTATAGGATACAGAATCAGCACACAAAAGTCAGTTACATTTTTATACACTAAAAATGAACAATTTGACAAGGAAATTAAGAAAACAGTTCCATTTATAATAGCATCAAAAAGAATAAAATACTTAAGAATAGGCTTAACCAAAGAGGTGAAAGACTTGTACACTGAAAATGGAAAAACATTGCTAAAAGAAATAGAGAGGAGACAAATAAATGGAAAGACATGCTGTCTTTGTGGGTTAGAAGACATAATATTGTTAAGATACCAGTACAACCCAAAGCTATCAACAGATTCTATGCAAGCCCTATCAAGAGCCCAAATGATGATTTCTGTAAAATAGAAAAATTGTTCTAAAATTTATATGGAATCTCAAGGGACCCTGAATAGCCAACATGAGGATGTGGAGACATGAAAACTCTTGTGTACTGTGGATGGGAATGTAAAATGTGTCAGCCCCTATGGAAAACAGTATGGCAGTCCCTCAAACAAATTAAACATAGAATTACTATATAATCCAGCAATTACACTTCTGAGTATATATCCAAAAGAAGTAAAAATAGGAACTTGAACATTTTCTACATCAATGTGCAGCATTGCCCACAATAGCCAAAAAGTGGAAACAACCCAAATGTCCATCAATGAATGGATAAACAATATGCAATGTATACACAAAATGTATACCCAAAATGGAATATTATTAAGCCTTAAAAAGGAAGGAGATTCTGACATATGCTACACATAGATGAACTTTGAAGACTATGCTAAATGAAATAAGCTAGTTACAAAAGGAAAGATATTGTATTATTCCATTTATATGAGATACCGAATTCATAGAGATACAAAGTAGAACAGTGGTTGCCAGAGGCTGGGAAGCAGAGGACATGAAAAGTTACTTACTGTTCAATAAATAGAGTTTCAGTCTGGGAAGATGAAAGAGTTTTGGAGATAGTTGGTGGTGATGTTTGCACAATGATGTAAATGTACTTAATGCCACTGAACTTAAGGTTATTAAAATGGTAAATGGTAAATTTTATGTTGTGTATATTTTGCAGTATTAAATAGAAACAAAAAGTAAGGAGTAGTGGGAAAACCTGGTTGTGACATCAATCTCAGGTAAAATGTGTGCTTTACTGCATGGACCCTGGAATATGACCAAGGCTTTAACAATTCTCTGATGCTAGCCCCCTAAGAGTAAAGCAACACTAAAACTGGCATATTTGATAAGTATAACACTTACGTAAAGCAAATGAAAAAAATTAAATTCCCAAGAAAAATGTGTTCTAGTCAAAAAAATAAAAAAGTAGTAGTCCTGTCAGTACTGACATGAAAGCATATTTAATACGTGTTTTGGGTAAAACAGTTTCAGAACAATATAAACAGTGTTATCCTATGATATAAAAGAAAAATGTGTGTGTGAATAAACTATTTTCTCATCGTAAGAGGTATTGATTTTATAACTCCCTTTTGGAAGACGAAAAGAAATTCAACTACATTTAACATAGATCTCAATTATAGGTTGGATTCCAATTTCAGAATGCTAAACTGTAAAAAGAAGACAATTTAAATTCAAGGAAATACAGTGGATGTGTGTGTGTGTCTATATGTATATACATACATTGTGTATGTGTGTGTATATATATATATGTAAAAATGTTTGCTGATTTGATTTGTGCTCTAGAAATATTTTTACCATTTCTCAATTCTGTATCAGGATGCAACAATAGAATGAAACTCAGTGGACGACCCTACAGACACATGGGAGTGCTTGGAACTTCAAAACTCTATGACATTCGGAAAACTATCTTTACTTTCACTCCACAGGTGGGTGAAATAAACTGGAATGTGCATTGAGATGAATGGAAATAAAAGAAAATCATTGGAGAAATAAAGCATTTACTGGAGTTGGGATAAGTGTCAAAGAGTTCCACCAGGCCTTGCACATAACTTACTCAGTTAATATTTATAGAGTTGAACTGAATTGAACTTCCAGCACAGAGTTTCACTAAGTGATTGTAACTGCCAAAAGTAACCCTGGGTATTGCAGAAACTAAGGATTTTACAAATGCTAGAGTACTTATAAAAGTAATCCTTACTTTTAAAAGTTAAAAATAAAACTGTATGTGTCCTTTATAAACAAAATACAACCTTTTTTATTCAGCTACTAAATTATGTTTTCTTTGTTTGGAGGAAGGGCCCTTTTTACATTCATAGAAATCTTCAGTATCCTCTTCTAAACAAAAATGTCGGTACTGTTTTAGCTGTTATTAAACACGTTGTTAGCCTGATGTTTATTAGCTACATGATAATAACAAACCTGATTGTATGTGTTTATGGGGAGGAGAAACTATTTTCTGGAAAGAAAGCTTAAACTCCCCATTTGTCATCTTACATTTGAAATAGTGCAGCTGAGGTAGGTATAAACAAAAGAGTAATGGATCATAGATTCTATTTCTGACTTTGTCATTTGCTAGCCATATGATTTCACTAATCCACGTATCATCTCTTAGCCTTATTTTTCATCTATTAAAAGAAGAAAAGCCCTCACTGGGGGGTTACAGGATTAAATAAAATTATATACTTAAAAATACTTCGTAAACTGCAGCATACCGTAAAAATGTCAGAAATTATTATATGTGCCAGTTAACCCCAGATACTTTGGAATGTATTAGACATTAAATGTGGGGGTATCATTGCCCTGTGACATCTTGGATACTCTTCTGAATATATGAGTAGTTTAAAATATTACTTGATAATTGTGAGAGTAAATTAATCTAATCTATTATTTTTATTTGTCTCAGTTTATAGACCAGCAACAGTTCTACCTGGCTCTGGACAACAAGATGATAGTGGAAATGCTTAGAACAGACCTCTCCTACCTCTGTAGCCGCTGGCGGATGACAGGCCAGCCCACCATCACCTTCCCCATCTCACACAGCATGCTTGGTAAGGGCTGCATGAGGCAAGGAACGAATGTATTTTGGAAATAAGTCATAGATTTAGCCCTTCAACATCTTGTTGTTTCTAGAGAGCTACTTCTTATAATTTATTCTTTCAGCAGTATTTATTGGCTCCTATTTTATGCCAAGCACTTTTCTAAGCACTGGGGACACATGGAGTGAATAAGGCAGATGAGGTTTCCGTTCTCATGGAGCTTATGCTTTAGAAGGTGAAGACAGACTATATGTAATACATAAATCAACATACAAGAGTAATTTCAGAGCTATAATTGAATAGTTTTCAGATAGTTTGAGAGCTATAATTCAAAAAATGTAGTGGAGGATAATTTAAAACTTGGTTGGTGGTTACTTTAGATAATTAGTTTCTAGGTCAATTTTCAGAAATTTTATTCATACAATTATTTTTAAAGACAGTAATACTGTATCTGCATATTTCTTACTCTAGTGGTACATCAAGATTTTATAGATAATTTCCCAGGCTGCTTCTTCCAAAGCCTAACGGAAGCTGTAAAATCTAGTAGGGGAAAAAGCCAAAAGGCTTTTGGCTTACGTTTCCTCTTTTTTTTTTTTTTTTGACTGGATTTCCTGACATTGCTTACTTGAAACTGGGTGAAAGGCTTTATTATTCTCTCAGTTCCTGGAGGACTAGAGCCAATACTGAAGCGACTGCTTCCTTTCTGTGTTTCTCCTGTTGCTTCCAAAGACCTGTTTGTACTGCCAAAGTATATAGAATTCCTTTTCATTAAAGAAAAATCCCTTATTATTAATCATTCAAAATCCAGACAGACTGTTAGGGATTTTGGTCACATCTCAAAAGTGCTTCAATATCACAGGATTTGAGGAAGTAGGGTAGTCTTTCTTCTCTTTGTCTTTCTTCATTACTTAAGACAGTTAACACAAGTACCCATTTAAAAACTACTATATTTGCAGAATTGTCTTCAGAAAGTATAAAGTCTAATTGGAGACGAAAAGCTAATATGCAAGAATGATAGAAACAACTTAAGACAATATATAAAGAATTACTAAACCATTAGGTCAGTATTTTACAGTGAAGGAGATCCAGTTGACAAAGAAAATTTCTCAACTGAGGTAGGACTTAACCAGGCTTTTTGGAATGGATAGTATTCAGATGACAGGAGAGCAGAAGGAAAGGTACTATAAGTGAGGAGGAAAATACCATGAGTGAGCCCTAGAGGCAAGAATGAACTTGACCTGTGAGAGGAGAATGAAGTTCTCCTGAATAGAGTGGAGTTTGTGTGTTGGAGTATAATTATAAGCAAAATGGGAAAAGTAAGGTAGGGTTCAATAATGAAGACCTTGAAAATAAGCAAAGATATTTAATATAGATTTTTCTCAGAAGTCTGAAACTATCAAAAGGTTTTGAGCAAGGAGTAATATGATAAAAATGATGTTTGGGGACTATTGGTGACAGTACACATTGTAGTGAGGAGAGACTGATGTCAAAGAAACTAATCCACATATGAGGTGAAGAGAAAGTACACTGGATTGGAGGTAATAAAAGTAGAATGAAAAAGAAAGATATGAGTCATTTTAAGCAACACCCAACTCAGATATTGGATAACTAGATATAAGGTATGAATTAAGATAGCTATAACAAAATACCAAAAAGTTGGTAATTTATAAACAATAGAATTTTATTTTGTACTATTCTGGGAGCTAGGAAGTCCAAGATCAAGGTGCTGACAGGTTTGGTGTCTGGGAAGGACCTGAAGTCTCTCCTTCTAAGATGGTGCCTTGTTGCTTCATCCTCTGCAGCAGACACACATGTGTTCTTACATTGTAGAAGGGACAGAAAAGAAGCAAACCCACTCTCTTAAGCCCTTTTATAAGGGCCCCGATCCCATCCATGATGGCTGCACACTCATGACTTAATCACACTAGATGGCCTACTTCTTAATGCTATCACATTGGTGATTAAGTTTCAACAAACGAATTTGGGGGCACATTCAGATCATAGCACTAGGTAAATGTTGCTGCATTGATAGAATCAGAGACATTTTATATGAAGAAGCCAGTTATAAAGGGACATGAATTTGTAGTGACAAAGAGATTTCAGAATTGAAATACCTGAGAGTTGGGATGAGATACATAGCCACAGCTTGGGAAGCAGAATAAAACTAAAGATCTAGGCTTAAATCAAGCATTTTTGGTACTTGATATGTGGTCACATAACAAAAACAACAATAACAATAGCAATAATAACTGTAATATTTACTGAATACTTTCTCTGTGCCAGGCACTGAGCTAAGTGTTTTCAATTAATTATTTTGAAATCTCTACAACACTCTTATTCAGGCAGGTACTCATTATCCAAAGTCACAAAGCTAGTAAGTGACAGAGCCAGGCCTCAAACAAGATCTTTCAGTCCCTGCAACATTACCAACAACAGTGTGTTTTTGCCAGTGAAAATTTTGTGCTGCTGAAAAGAGAATAAACATTAGTGATCACATTGAAATGTGGATTAGTTAAATTCTCATATTACAGACAAAGATTCCTGTAATACATAAAAGAGCAAAAATAATACATAAATGGCATCCAGGTGGATGCTATTTACAATAGATATCCCTAAAATAAAATCATAAAAAAAGATGGAAGAAAAGAATATGTAAAGATATATCATGTAAATGCTGACAAGAAAGCAGTGGTCGCAGTATTAATATCAAAAATAGCAAATAAAATTCAAGGCAAAAATCAGTAAATGGGATAAGAAGGATATTTTATATTGATAAATAGTACACCAACATGATATAACATATATAAAATTTTATGTACTCAATAATGTGAATTAAATGTATAAAGCAAGTATTTAAGAAAACTTAGGGACAATATCACAAAACTATTATATATTCATGATGGGAAACAACAACATACTTCTATCAGAATGTCACAGATCAATTATACAAAATAATTAAAGACATAGAGGAGTAACAAACTTGATTTTTGTATTTATGGGTGTATATATAACTATGTATCCAAAAAGGCAGAACACACAAAGAATGTTTATGGTTAAAAAGTAGAAATCATACAAACGATATTGCCAGATACGTGACATAAAACTAATTAACACAGAATAGTTAAAAAGAATCTAACTATAAAGGAATTATATTTTTTCCCAAATAATTATTAGATTAAAGAGAAAGTCAAATTTGAAATTATATGCTTCTTAGAAATGAAAAATGATACCACTACTTATAATTTATGAGATTTGGTCAAAATCATATTTAGAAAATTTCATATCCTTAAATACTTCTACTTTTAAAAAGTGACTTTTAGTTTTGAGACAAGATGGCATAGACTCACTTCTCCCTATTCCTCCTGCTAAGTGCAGCTAAAAATCCTTGACATATATAAAACAAACATAAGAAAACTCTGAAAGTTGGAAACCAGGCAGATCAGCTAGAGACTTTAAGACCTGAAGAACAGCAGAGCAGTAAATATCCTGGGCCTTATATGTCCTGGACTGGAAGCTAGAGAAGCTGACATCTCAGAAATACAAAAAGAAAAAAAAAAAAGGAAAAACAGGTTTTTTTAAAGACCCAAGGAAAATCTGCTTTGTCTAGCTGAAGGAACAGGAAAGGAGCAACCTAGAGAGACAGAAAACTTTTAGACCCTATTTTACTAGGCCCCACTTATGCCCCTGTCAGCAGAGACTGAGTGGGGACTCTAGACTTCCACGCTTGCACAGCTCTGAAGAGGCATCCCTCTCCCTCTTAGGAGTAGTATCAGAGAAGGGCTAGTGGGGAGCTTAAACTTTCATCCTCGCCCAAAAGTAGAGGAGCTCCTCCCCCTTCAGCCAGTGTGGTGTCAGTGATCAACAGATATCAACAAATGTTGGTGTTATCATGCAAAGATTTTAAGACAGTTATCATAAAAACACTTTAACACACAATTACAATCACACTTGAAACTAATGACAAAGTAGAATGTAAGTCTTAGCAAAGAAACTGAAAATACAAAGAACTGAATGGAAGTTTTAGGACTGAAAAATATAATAACTGAGATGGACAACTCACTAGATAGGCCCAGTAGCAGAATGGAGACAACAGAGTGAAGTTGAATACAGAACTGTAGAAATCACCCATTCTGAACAACACAGTAAAAAAAAAAAAAAAAAAAAAAACCTGAAAAAATATGAACAGAGCCTCAAAGACCTGTAGGACTAATAACAAAAGATTTAACATTTTTTAACATTCACGTTAAAAAGATCTAACATTCATGTTATAAAAGTTTCAGAAAGAGGAGAAAAAGTATGAGAGAAAATCAGAAAAAGCATTCCAACTAATAATGACTGAAAAATTGGTAAAAGACATAAACCTACAAATTTTTTAAAAAATGAGAAAATCTTAAACATGGTAAAATCCATGTCAAAACACATAATAATAAAGTTCTTGAACATTAAAGAAGAAATATCTTGAAAGTGGCCAGAAAGAAACAATACCATTTCTATAAGCAACAAACAGAATGACAGCAAATTTATCATCAGAAACCATGGACACCAGAGGGAAGTGACACAACATTTTTTAAGTACTGAAAAAAAAAAGAATTTTAAACCAAGAATTTTGCCCTATCCAGTGTACTTCAAGAATAAAAGGAAAAAAGACATTCTCAGATGTAGGAAAGCTAAGTGAATTTGTCAGCAGGAGATCTGCCCTAAAAGAATGGTTTGAAGAAAGTTCTTGAAACAGAAAGGAAATAATAATAGATGGAATCTTGAAACATCAAAAAGAAAAAATAAAAATAGGAGTGAAAATATGAGTAAATACAATAGACTTTCTCCACTTCAATTTTCCCTTTCTTTCTCTCTCTCTCTCTCTCTCTCTCTCCCCCACCCCCGCTCTTTTTCTTTTTCTTTTTCTTTTTCTTTTTCTTTTTCAGAGTCTCTCTCTGTCACCCAGCCTGGAGTGCAATGGCACAATCTCAGCTCACTGCAATCTCCAGCTTCCGGGTTCAAGTGATTCTCCTACCTCAGCCTCCCCAGTAGCTGGGATTACAGGCATGCACCACCATGCCCGGCTAAGTTTTTGTATTTTTTTTAGTAGAGACGGGGTTTCGCCATGTTGGCCAGGCTGGTCCCGAACTCCTTCCACTTCAATTTTCTAAATTATGCTTGATAAGCATTGCTTAATATAGTTCTCAAAGTATGTAGAAGAAATATTCAAGGCAAGTATATTATAAATGGGGAAAAGTAAGGACCTTAATGGGAGATAAGATTCTATACATCACTTTAATTGGTATAATGTTGACACTAGTAAAGAGTGATATATGCATCATGTTTGTATATATAAGACAATGCCTGGAGTAACCACTAAGAAACCTATAGAAGGAGATAACAGTCAAACCCAGTATAGGTAAATCAAAATGGCATTCTAAAAAATGTAAAAGTAACCCATAAGAAGGCAGGAAGAAGAAAATAGACAAATGAAGAACAGAGGTACAAATAGAAAACAATAAAATGGCAAACTTAATCCTAACATATCAATAATTACTTTAAATAGCCTAAATACATCAGTTCAAATATCACAATATACGTAGACTGAAAAGAAAAGGAAGGAAAAAGATATACCATGTAAACATTAATTTTAAAAAGCAGAAGTAGCTACATTAATATCTGGTAAAGTAGAACTCAGAGTAAAGAAAAAAACAGGTAGTAAAAGTGTTAGGAAAGACAAAGGAGATATAGCAACAGAAATAGAGGAGACTTTAAACACTGTAAAAGAATACCAACTACAATTTTGTACATCTAGATAAAATTGACAGATTTTCTAGAAAAGTAAGAATACAAGTATAAGCTGAATAGGAACACTTATAAAAGTGTATGAGAAAAACTATAAAACTATTGAAGACAATAAAATATTTTAATTAGTAGAGAGGTACACCATGTTCCTAGACATAAATAGTTAATATTGAGAAATTACCCACTTTCATTATATCAATTCAGGCAATTCCCAATAATAATAAAAACATAAATTTTTATGAACAAGCTGAACCTTGATTTCATATGTAAGAGAAAATGTAAATGAATAACCAGATTTTTAAAAAGAAAGTGAAAGATCCATTGTAATTAAAACAATGATGAAGATAGAATTTCAAATAGAGACAAAATTTAATATAAATACATTTGGGAAAATAATTCATTTAGGCTTGCTACTTTACTTTTTTTGCAAAAATACATTCTAAATAGATTAAAGAGCTAAACATAAACAATAAACCTGTGAGAGTCTTAGAAAAAAATATGGGAGGTTGGGCAGGGTGGCTCAAACCTATAATCCCAGCACTTTGGGAGGCTGAGGCGGGAGGATACTTGAGGTCAGGAGTTTGAGAGCAGCCTGGCCAACATGGTGAAACCCCATCTCTACTAAAAATACAGCCAGGTGTGGTGGCACGCGCCTGTAGTCCCAGTTACTTGGGAGGCTGAGGCAGGAGAATCACTTGAACCCGGGAGGCGGAGGTTGCAGTGAGCCGAGATTGCACCACTGCACTCCAGCCTGCATGACAGAGGCAGACTCCATTTGAAAAAAAAAAATATATATATATATATTTATATGGGAATATATATATATATATATATGGGAATATTTTTGTTATCTTAGGTTGAAGAGAGCTGTCCTTTGCAAGACACAAAAATAAAATATTGTCAGATTTTGAAACATGAAAATGAAATCTTTTATATCAAAAGCACTGTGGATGCGGTTGAAAGAAAAATAATAAACTAGATAAAGTATTTGTCATACATATGAGAGCGAAAAGGGTAATATCCACAAAACACGAAAAACTCTTGAAAGTCAATTGAAAAAAGATAAACTACCTAATGGAAAAATGGGAAAAGGACATGATCAGGCAATTCATAAAAGAAATACAGATTTTTAGTAAATACATGAAAATATGCATAATCTTATTGGCAATAAAATTAAAACAATATCTTCTTGTTTTACCTATCAGATTAAGAAAAATTTAAAAGATTATTGCCCATTGTTGTTAAAAGTGTAGGAAAGGCCTGGCGCGGTGGCTCACGCCTGTAATCCCAGCACTGTGGGAGGCCGAGGCAGGTGGATCACGAAATCAGGAGATTGAGACCATCCTGGCTAACACAGTGAAACCCCGTCTCTACTAAAAAAAACAAAAAAAATACAAAAAATTAGCCAGGCGTGGTGGCGGGCGCCTGTAGTCCCAGCTACTCGGGAGGCTGAGGCCGGAGAATGGCGTGAACCCGGGAGGCGGAGCTTGCAGTGAGCCGAGATCAAGCCATTGCACCCCAGCCTAGGTAACAGAGCGAGACTCTGTCTCAAAAAAAAAAAAAAAAAAAAAAAAGTGTAGGAAAAAGTCTTTCTATACTGTTGGTGGAAATATAATTGGCACAACTCTTATAGTGGGTAATTTGGCAGTCTCTGTAAATTTACTTAGTAAGTGTTTCATTTGTCCTAATAGTTCTACTTGTAAGAATTTAACCTAAGGATATAATAGAATAAGTGCATCAAGATGTAGGTACAATGGTCTTCATTACAGTGTTGATTATAATATAAAACAGTCTAAATTTAGTAAGAATTATTTTTAGCTATTACAAAGGTAAAGTTAGAAAGCAGATCATGAAAGAGTATATGTAGTATGATTACTTCCACATAAAATCAGGTAATTGTTAGCTTTCTAGATATTTTTTATGCCTATACACAGACATATGTGCCAAGGTTCTTTATATGAGATAATGTGTATAAAATGTTTAGCACAGTGCTTGGCACATAACATTCAACAAGTAGTGGCTACTGGTATTATCAGCATTCAGTAGTCATTCAGTGTTCTGCCATCAGACACTGTGCTAAGTACTTCTGACAAATAAGATAATGCTGACAAATAAGATAATGCCTTTGAGGAAATCTATCAGTCATCATCCCTTACCATTTACCCATTCTTAAGTGTTGTTGGCTCTCAGATGAATTGTTAAAATCAGGATGGTCAATGAGGAGTGTCTCATTTGTATTGTAACCACCAGAATGTTGATTTGAAATAATTACAAGATTTCTCCCTACTTCAGAGTTAAAACCACAAAGATTGTTTTAAAATTCTGTTCATTTCAAGATGAAGATGGAACAAGCTTGAATTCAAGTATCCTGGCAGCACTCCGAAAAATGCAAGATGGGTATTTTGGTGGGGCAAGGTAAGTGACCTCTATACACTCTTTAGTGAAATGAAATGAAATTAAGGGGCTGGATATAGTAGTGGCATACCTGTGATGCCTTTCTGTGTATGATAGTCCCCCCTTATCTACAATTTGACTCCGATATTTCAGTTACCCGTGGTCAACCTGTAGTCTGCAAATAGGTGAGTACAGTACAATAAGATATTTTGAGACAGAGAGAGAGACTACGTTCACATAACTTTTATTATAGTATATTGTTATAATTGTTCTATTTCATTATTATTTTGAGCTCTTACTATGCTTAATTTATAAATTAAACTATATCATAGGTATGTATGTATAAGAAAAAACACAGTATATATATAAGGTTCAGTACTATCTGCAGTTTCAGGAATCCACAAGGGGGTCTTGGAACATATCCTGCAGGAGTAAGCGGGGGCTAACTGTATCTTCGATAACATAATCCCATCCTACTTAGAGGAGTTTGATAGATTGAATCAAGGAATTTAATGTTGTAGAGGAAGGTTGGAAGTTTTTCCTACCCTGTTCTTTGCCTAGATCTCAAAGGATCAGAAAACCTGTTTTGTTTTGTTTTTTTAATGCCTACTGGATTATTTGATTCCAGCTGCTTTTCTTTTCTTTTTCCACTTAAGTTTTTATTTTGAAAAATTTCCAGCTTACAGAAATTTGCAAGAATACTACTGAACACCCATATACCCTTTCTCAAGATTCACCTGTTATTAACATTTTGTCCCACTGTGCATTCTCTATTTCTTCCCTTCCCTCCCTTCCTGCCTTTCCCCCCTTCCTTTCTCTCTTCCTCCCTACATCCTCCCATACACATACATATGCATATACACACACACACGTACATACTACATATACTATGTGTTTTATATATATATACATATATATACACACATGTACACACATGCTTTTTTGCTAAAATAATTAGCCATAGACATCATAACTCTTCAACCCTAAATACTTAAGTTTTCTTTGTTTTGTCTAGGAACAAGTGCATTCTTACATATAACTATAATATAATCATCACACTTAGTTTGGGAGGCCAAGGGGGGCAGATCACTTGAAGCCAGGAGTTCAAGACCAGCCTGGCCAACATGGCAAAAACCTCTCTCTACAAAAAATACAAAAATTAGCCAGGCGTGTTGGTGCATACCTGTAATCCTAGCTACTTGGGAGGCTGAGACATGAGAATCTCTTGAACCTGGGAGGCGGAAGTTGCAGTGAGCCAGGATTGTGCCACTGCACTCCAGCCTGGGAGACTGTGGAAAGCAGTTTGGAGATTTCTCAAACAACTTAAAATAGAACTACCATTCTACCCTGCAATCCCATTACTGGATATATATCCAAAAGAATATAAATCATTATACCATAGAGACACATGCATATGTTCATCACAGCACTAGACACAATAGCAAAGATAAAGATGGGCATCAACCTAGATGCCCACCTATGGTGGACTTGTTAAAGGAAATGTGGTATATAATGCACCATGGAATACTACAGTGCCATAAAAAAGAACAAAATCATGTCCTTTGCAGCAACATGAATTCATATAGAGGCCATTATCCTAAGCAAATTAACACAGGAACAGAAAACCAAATACCACATACCACATGTTCTCTCTTATAAGTGGGAACTAAACATTGAGTAGACATGGACACAAAAAAGGAAACAATAGACACCAGGACCTTCTTGAGGATGGAGGGCGAGAGGTAGGTGAGGATTGCAAACTACCTATTGGATACTGTGCTTACTATGGGTGATGAAATAGTTTGTACACCAAACCCCTGTGACATGCAGTTTACCCATGTAACAAATCTGCACATGTACCCCTGAGCCTAAAATTAAAGTTGGAAATAAATAAATAAATAAAGTAGAAGGAGAAATAAGAACAGTTACCCAATTATCCCAATAATGTTTTATCATAGCTGTTTTCCCACCAATCCAGGATCCAATCAAAGATCACATGTTAGCAGTTAGTTGTTATATCTCTTTGGTATCTTTTAATCTAGAAGAGTTCTCCAGCCTTTTGTCAATCTTTCATGAGAGTTTTCATTACATTTTTGAAGAATGCAGGTCAGTTATTTTGCAGAACATCTCACAATTTGGATTTGGCTGGTTGTTTCTCATTATTAGATTCAGGCTACATGTTTTTGGCAGGAATACTACCTGTGTGATGTTGGGTCCTTGTTTTAAGTTAGGATCTTTAAGATGGAGAGCACCCCTTCAATGGTTAGGAGAGGCACAAGATGGAAATAAAGATTTTATTACTTACAGGTCCTGCAGGTGAGGTACACAGAATACCTGGAGGCCACACACACTGAGGTCAGGGAGCATGTGGAGAGAGAAAAAGAGAGACCCATGGGCCAATGCCTTTATTGAGGTCCAGGGCATTATCCAAACAGATATTCCTTGGGGAGTTTTAATTGGTGGGTTTAAAGCAAGTAGGCATGACTTCCTGGAGGTCACACTGTGACTGAGAGGTGGTCACTGTGGCATATTGGCATAGTTCATGTAGGATGTGAGGATCAGTGAGGCTAGTCAAATAGATCATATTTAGCTGTCCCTTAGGGAGGTGGTTACCAGGAGGAAGTTGTATAAGGCAGATATGTGGACTGACCACAGTGAGGAACTGAGGGAGGTGTAGAACTGGAAACTGTCAAAGATTCCTGAACTCTGCTTCTGGTATGAGAAAGTTAAGCTTATATTCAAAAGAGATGCCAGGGAAACATACAATTATAAGAATTTACTACAGTCTCTTTCAGTGCATCATATCAGAGGCACATGAGATTTGTTTGTGACATTATTGGGTGATGATAACCTTGATCACTTGGTTAAAGTGTTCAACCTGGTATCTGCCAGGTTTCTGCATATCCTTTCTCCAACAGTCTTTGATCAAATCGTATTAGCTTCCGTTGATCCTTGCGTGAATTCACTTATTACTATTGGAGTTATTAAATGGTGTTTCTATCATTCTGTGTACATTTATTGGTTGAAATTCTTATGTTAAAAAAAAGAGCTTTCCCTTCCCCCCTTTTATTTTGTAGTTTAGTATCAGCACAGATTCATAGATTATTATTTTATTCAATATGCCATGATCCATTTCTGTTATTATTTCAATATTTTAATTATCCAAGGTGTGGCCATTGATAGCCCCTTCAAGTTGGCCTCTTTAGAAATTTGGTAATGCTGACTTTGCTTTTGGGTTTTGTAATTGTCTTCATAAGTAGGAGACGATATGGCTTACAGTCTACTATAATTTACAGAATTGTCAAGTACCATCCTTTATGTTCAAATGACCTTTGGGTATTTTTTTAATGAAGTGATGGGTTTGTGATGATTTATCTTCATTCTCTCCAGGCTTCTCCAGTAGCCAATGCAAATTTTTACCAGATGTTTGGCATAGTTAGCAACGTAATATATGGCAGTAGAAGAGAGCAAAACTGGTCTGCTGGTGGATTGTTAATCCATAATTGTAACCTTTATTAATACAGTCCCCTAACCATTTAAGATGTACACCATGCCTAGGAGTGCTGTAAAATTTTATTTTTATAAAATTTATATTAATGTATGCACATTAGTAATCCCCCAACAAAACATGTTAGGTGTCCTTTTATCACTAAGATTGTGTTGTTTAAAAAGGATCACCCCTGATTTTCTGTTTTCTATCCTCCTCTAATTTTTAGGGTTCAAACAGGTAAATTGTCAGAGTTTTTGACAACATCTTGTTGCACACACTTGAGCTTCATGGACCCTGGACCTGAGGGTAAGCTGTACAGTGAAGATTATGATGACAACTATGATTACCTGGAATCTGGCAACTGGATGAATGATTATGATTCAACCAGTCATGGTAAGGAGGCTTCATAAAGCACTGGCCTGGCTGGACAAAACTACAAAATATTGTTTAGCACCATCCTTAATAATTTATGCTGCCAGCAGTCTCACAGTGTTCTATCCTCACTCTAGATCTCTACTTTTGTTTGGCTTTACTTTTCCTCCCTCTACTTACCTTTGGTTTCTGGTCTAATATTCCTGCGGTAATTGTGGAGTATGGAGTTGGACAGTCCCTTACTAAGATTGGGGAAGATTCCTCTCCCAGGCATTTGAAGTGGCTGGTGATTTTGACATGGGAAGAAGCAGTGGTGAGTGAGAGATGATTAATCAAGTATGAAGTAGGAAAATAATACATATACAGTACTGCTTTTTGACATTAAAAAGCATAAAAATATGAAATTTAATTAGAGTCCTTTTCATATAATATTAGAGGAGCATATCGGAATCTCTGGGGAGGTCTGTGTAGTTTGAAAAAGCCTATTCAGTATGTCTGTTATTTTCATAGTACAAACTAGGCAAATACAACTAAGTCAAACTCTAATTGGCTTCTAGCAATACAAAGGTGATATAGTGAGAAAGCATTGCAGGGGCATGCATTGAAAGTGACTGAGCAACACTACCCTACAGTGTTAAAATACTGACTTAGGCAGAGCAGGCATTATGTTGCTTGAATTTCATACAGAGAAGGGCCAATAAGAAAGAATTATTTGTCTAGCCCTCTAAAATATGATTTGCCTGCTTTCATTGTCTGGGTATTTGACTGTTAGCCTGTATCTTAAGGCAGCCAATTTCTTTATCTTAAGAGTGGTATGTTGGAGAAAAGAAAAAAATAAATTTGCTGCCCTCAGTGAGGTCAGCCAGCACAATCTCATACAATAGGACAACACATTAGCAGTCAGAAGGACTATTTTCTTTTTTGGGCCCGACATTTACTCACTAAGCACCACTTCATTCATTCTGTGTTTGTTTTTGTAAGATCTAAAACAGTTGAATTTCTTTGTTGGAAAAGTACATTAAATACAAGGCTATTTACTGTTATCAGTAATAACAAAAGTCATGATGTCTTGGCATAAAATACTTTGAAAATTAAATGAGAAGATCATATATTGAGATTGTTTGCTCTTCTATGGGTAGTTGTGATTTTTATCTGTAGTACTCATTCCATTGGATTACTAAAATATATATTTCTAATGATACGTGTTACTGAATTTGACATTATGGCATTCTGAGTCACTTTCCTAGTTCCGGGTTTACTCATCAGTGTTCTCAAAATGAATGTATTTATTGCTTGCCAGCCCTTCTGTGGGTAAAGAGCTTCTCTCCATATTCTTCATAATCCTCCACTCAAGTCTCTAGATTGTATTCAAGGTTACAATCTTTGTCATTAGGATGTCACTGAATATGAGCTCCATTCTTACAGCTCTACTAGTTCGCATTAGTCACATCAGAGCACAGAAAGACATCTGGAGAGATCAGTAAATATCATCAAAAACCAGAAGACTCATGACTGATACAGCAGACTTTGGTATCGATCTGAATAGTGTGTTTTTCTAACTATAAACCTTGTGAATATTCATGTAAAGTCTGAAATATTAAGCTTCCACAGGATATATGTATGTTTTTCTTTCCATTACCCATACTCAGAGATAATGTTATAGAAGGTATATGGGAGAAGGGGAGCCCAAGAAGATAGGGACCATATCCATCCTCTTCACCACTGAAATGTCAGCACCTAGTACACTGCCTGGTACATAGCAGCCAACAAATATTTGCTGAGTAAACAAACGAGGTGACTAAGAAGATTTTTGCCCTTTCCTGGCCCTTCCTCACCAAAGTCCCCTCACATTAGTGTGACCTGAAGCTCCCTGTTCTGTTCCTCCTCCATCCCTGCCACCATTACTATCACATGCACACACACAAATACACAGATTGCTAAATGCTTGCTCCAATGTAAAACAAGCTCATACTGCTTTCAAGAACCCTGACCTTGTCTCAGCAAGTTGAAGAGGAGGTGGATCCTAGTAAATGGCCATGGTCACTGGATCTTAAAGTGATGAGGTTATATCATGATCACAAGCTTTTCCTCCATGAGCTAAAAACAACCTACTTCTGGTGCTGTGTTGTGAGCACAGGAGCCAATCATTCTCTTTGCTGGGGTAGATTGTAAAGTAACTAAAATATTTTCATTCTTTTCTCTTCCCCCTCCCCCCACTAACCTTGCAGCTCGCTGTGGTGATGAAGTTGCTCGTTATTTAGATCACCTTTTGGCGCACACTGCTCCCCATCCTAAACTAGCCCCTACCTCACAGAAGGGAGGGCTAGATCGGTTCCAAGCTGCTGTGCAAACAACCTGCGACTTAATGTCCTTGGTGACCAAGGCCAAGGAACTGCATGTACAGAGTGAGTAATGCCGTGACTCACCAGAGTCAGGCACAGGATGACGTGAAGCCCAGGATAGGGGCGGGCATTGATTACAATGTAAGCAGGAACTTTAGTTTTCTTCACTGCTTTATCCCCCGCATCTCAGACAGCACCTAGAACATATTAGACACTCAAATATTTGTAAAATGAGTGAATTGTGTATAGTTATGCTGCAGGTAGTGCTATGTAGTCTGGTTTAACTGGTAACATGGTAAGAAGAGGCAGAACAAGAGACATGGAGCATATTCAACTATAACATTAAAGTTTGAAATGGTAGAAAGGGTTTTTCCTTTGGGAAAATTACTTCTATGGAATTTTCTTGTTGTTCCAGCAATGTAGAGCTGTTTTGTCAAATATAATACTCATTCTTTACAACTTTGCCATTCTTCTCCCCATGGCCACTACCCTCCTTCAGTTGTATTCACAGTGGAGGGTGTCTTCTGCCACACATTGCCAGGAGTAGTCATAGTTCCTAAGAGTGTTCAATGTCTTTATAGTAGCTGGATATGAAAGGAGAGAAGGGCTCCTTGGCCACACCTAGAAGACCTGAATGTTAACATTTTACAGATGAGGAGAATGACTGAGATGCATGCTCTTGCTGTCTAAAACTTTATTGACCATTACTAACCAAATACATTAAACATGAACATTGGGAATCATTTAACATTTATAATAGGGAAAAGCTCAGCATACCCTCTGAGTATGCTTCCTCGAGAAAGGGCTTATATGAAGAGATGAAATTTATTGTTATACTTCTCAATTGTGAACCAGAAAACTTGGGCTTAATTCCCAGCTCTGCTACTTACTTGCTTGAACAGTTATTTGAGCTCTGTATCTCTCTTTCTGTATCTGTAAAGTGGTGAAAATTACAAATCTTTCCTTAGAAGTGATGGTAAGTATTTCAACAATGAACTGTAAGTAAAAAATCTTAGGAATATCTCAAAGTTGGTCAGCAACTACATTTTTCTTATTCCCTAGATAGGATCATCCATTCACTTATTCTTAGGGAAATTTAACCACTAGCAGCCAGATATTCACCTAGAAAAGTTCGGAAAATAGAAAATGCAACTGAGTTCTTTCTATTATATGTCGTATTCCATCAAAGTATCAGTGAACGCACCATCGTGGATTAATCACATTAGTAAATTTAA
The DNA here is from genome assembly GCF_000001405.40 of Homo sapiens. Classification (NCBI taxonomy): domain Eukaryota; kingdom Metazoa; phylum Chordata; class Mammalia; order Primates; family Hominidae; genus Homo; species Homo sapiens. Next base: position 72,619,552 of record NC_000023.11, on the reverse strand, counting down.
TATCTTACATGTCCAGCTAGTGCTATAATTCTAGAAATTCAATTCAAAATATACTTATTAATTGCACATTATTTAAATTATCTTATATTCATATTTATTTTCTTTGATATTACCAAGAAAGGAGAAATTTGTCATTCTTGTTCTATGAAGAACTGACTCACATGTGACTTAATTGTTGAAGTCAACTGTGCATTTCTATTAGTCTCCTAATTACCTAATATTTCCCATAAATGTCATATTTTTGCAGATGTTCACATGTATCTTCCTACGAAGTTATTTCAGGCTTCCCGGCCTTCATTCAACTTACTTGATTCACCTCATCCCCGACAGGAGAACCAGGTAAATTTGTGCAGGAGGTATTTCTATTAGCTTTTTGAAAAACTGCCATCTTTATGGGAAATAATAGGACTAGTCATTATGGTTCTTGTTACTAACTAGTGGTACGCAAAATGCTATTCTGGTGAAGATACATGTTCTTTTCAGTTCACTTTTACATTGGGCAAGTTTGTCTGGTCAGACTTTGGGAAAACTAGATTGCTGTATTATACATCTGGAAGGTTTCATTACTTTTGCTTTGCCTTTCATTAGTATTTAAAGAATTCCTTGGAAAAGGTTTAGAGGTGAAAATATGACTCATTCTAGGACATTATTTAAGTTGAGCACTTGTGAACTTAATTTCTTGTCATCATTTCTCAAACTAAAGGTTCCCTCTGTTCGTGTAGAAATACATCTTCCTAGAGACCAGTCTGGGGAGGTGGACTTTAAAGCACTGGTTTTACAGTTGAAGGAGACCTCAAGCTTACAGGAACAAGCTGATATCCTCTATATGCTGTATACTATGAAGTAAGTGGTGGATATTATCAATCTAGTTTAATGTTCATAATCAGAGGAATTATAGCATAATAAATAGAGCACAGCTTTTGGAGTTTCGCTGATCTGGAATTGAATATAGTTTAACAACCTATCCATCATGTGACTTCAAACCCTCAGTTGTCCTCATTTATAGAATTTGGATTATATATACCTCATAGAGTTATTGTAAAGATTAAGATATAATATCCATGAAGTCTCTAATACAATGCCTGGCACATGGTGGGTGATCAATAACTGATAAATATTACTGTCATTAGGTTATTTTTAAGCCTCCATTATTTGGTCAAATGTACAGATAAGTTTTTAACTCAAGAAAAGTAAGAATATAGAGGTTTATAGGAGAAAGAAACTAACATTTTTGTTTGCTATGTGTCAGGCATCCTGCTAGGTACTTTGTATTAGTACAAACTCAATATGTCCAAATTGAACTCCTCTCTCCTAAACCCCACAAGCTTACACAAAAATAATCTGTTCTCCCTCCTTTTCCATGTTGTAGTCACCATGAAGAGGCAGGATGGACTTTCTTCCCCTAAATTTGGTTTGGATGTTGAGATAGATGGTGACATACACATACCAAGAAGGTGTGGAATATTTATTACTCACATAATAAGGCTTTCTAGGAAGAGCAAAGAAGGTTCCCAGCTTGCTCCCAAAAAGGCTTGAGAGCCCAGGGAAAGGAGACTAAATTGGGGGTTTTATAATCATTACAGGATGAGCATTCTCACTGGCTTCTAGTTTTCTTTTTTTGTTGTGTCCTTGTTTGGTTTTGGTATCAGGGTAATGCTGGCCTCATAAAATGAGTTCGGAAGAACTCTCCCCTTTTCCTTTTTTTTTTTTATTTTTTTTATTTTTTGGAATAGTTTGAAAAGAATTAGTATTAGTTCTCTAAATATTTGGTACAATTCAGCAGTGAAACCATCTGGTCCTGGGCTTCCCTTTGATGGGAGACTTTTTATTACTGATTCAATCTCCTTTGTTATTGATCTATTCAGATTTTCTGTTTCTTCATACTTCAATCTTGGTAGATTGTATGTGTTCACAAATTTATCCGTTTCTTCTAGGGTTTCCTACTTGTTGGCATATAATTGTTCATAACAGTTTCTAACAATTCTTTTAATTTCTGTGGTATCAGTTATATCTCATCTTCTTTTTTTGATTTTGAAGTGAGGTCTCGCTCTGTTGCCCAGGCTGGAGTGCAGTGGCATCATCATGGCTCACTGCAGCCTTCACTGCCCAGTCTCAAGTGATCCTCCCACCTCAGCCTCCTGAGTAGCTGGTACCACAGGTGCGTGCCACCATGTCCGGCTAAATGTTTTTTTAATTATTTATAGAAATGAGGTCTTACTATGTTACCCAGGCTATATATCTCCTTTTCATCTCTCATTTTATTTATTTGGGTATTCTTTCTTTTTTTCTTTGTCTAGCCAAATCTTTGTTGATTTTTGTTTATCTTTTCAAAAAAACCAACTTCTCATTTTGTTAATCATTTGTATTGCTTTTTTAGTCTCTGTTTTATTTATTTCCACTCTGATGTTTATTGTTTCTTCCTTTTACTAATTTTGGGTTTAGTTTGTTCTTGTTTTTCTAGTTACTTTAGGTGTAACATTATGTTGTTTATTTTAGACCTTTATACTTTTTGATATATGCATTCATTGCTATAAACATCTCTCTTAGAATAGCATTTTCTGTATCCCATATCTTTTGGTATGTTGCATTTCCTTTTCATTTGCCAAAAGAAATTTTTGTAATTTCCTTCTTAATTTGTTCAGTGACCCCTTGGTTGTTTAGGAGCATGTTTAATTTCCTTGTATTTGTAAAGTTTCTGTGGTTTCTCCTGTTATTGATTTCTAGTTTTATATCATTGTGATCAGAAAAGATACTTGATATGATTTTGATCTTCTTCAATTCATTAATACTTGTTTGTAGCCTAGTATATAATCTACCCTGCAGAATGTTCCATGTAAAGTTGAGAATAATGTGTATTCTGTAGCTTTTGGATGGAATGTTCTGTAAATATCAATTAGGTCCATTTGGTCTAGTGTGCAGTTTAAATCCAATGTTTGTTTGTTGATTTTCTGTCTATGTGATCTGTCCATTACTGAAAATGGGCTGTTGAAGGCCCGTACTATTATTGTATTGTAGTCTATCTCTTCCTTTAGGTATGTTAATATTTGCTTTATATACTTAGGTGCTCCAATGTTGGGTGCATATACATTTACAATAGTTGAATCCTCTTGCTTAACTGATCCCCCTTATCATTATATGGTGACCTTCTATATCACTTTTTAGTGTTTTACTTAAAGTCTATTTTTTTAAGACAGTCTTGCTCTGTCAGCCAGGCTGGAGTGTAGTGCCATGAACATGGCTCACTGTAGTCTCAAACTCCTGGGCTCAAGTGACCCTCCAACTTCAGTTTCCTGAGTAGCTGGGACCACAGGTGCATGCCACCATGGCCAGCTGATTTTTAATTTTTTTTTGCAGAGCTGGGGTCTGGCCATGTTGCCCAGGCTGGTCTCAAACTATTGGGCTCAAGCCATCCTTCTGCCTCAGCCTCCCAGAGTGCTGGGAGTTCCAGGTGTGAGCCACAGCACCTGGCCCTGAAAGTCTGTTTTATCCAAGTAGAGTTACGTCTGTTGTCTTTTGCTTTCCATTTGCATGGAATATCTTTTTTCCATCCGCTCACTTTTAGTCCATGTATGTCCTCACAGGTGGAGTGAATCTCTTTTAAGCAGCATATAGTTGGCTCTTGGCTTTTTTTATTCATTAAGCTACTCTGCTTTTTAATGGGATAATTTAATCAACTCACATTAAAGGTAATTATTGGTAGGTAAGGGCTTACTACTGCCATTTAATTAATTGTTTTCCAGTTGTTTTGTAGAATCAATCCTTCCTTCCTTCCTTCCTTCCTTCCTTCCTTCCTTCCTTCCCCCCCTCCTTCTTTCCTTCCTTCCTTCCTTCCCCCCTCCTTCTTTCCTTCCTTCCTTCCTTTTTTATTTCTCTCTTACTATCTGTCTTTATGGCTAAGTGATTTTCCTTCATAATATGTTTTGATTTTTTGCTTTTTATTTTTAGCATATCTATTATATGTTTTTGCATTGTGGTTACCATGAGGCTTACAAAAAATCTTAACAATTTAACTATGATTACAGTAAAAGAGAAGAAAAATCTCTTTAACTCAACCTCCCAACATTTTGAGTTTTTGATGTCACAATTTAAAATTTTTATATTGCATATCCCCTAACAAATTATTGTAGTTACTATTTTTAATGGTTTTGTCTTTTAACCTTCATACTAAAGATGTAAGTAATTTACACACCATCGTTAGATTAATAGAGTATTCATATGACTGTGTACTCAGTGACATATATCTTCAGATGTTTTCATATTATTCATTAATGTCTTTTTCTTTCATCTTGAAGAACTCCCTTTAGCATTTCTTGTAAAACAGGTCTGATGGTTATATATTTCCTCAGCTTTTGTTTGTCTGGAAAAGTCTATGTCTTCTTCATTTCTGAAGTATTCTTGGCTGGCAGTTTTTTCCCTTCAGCACGTTGAATACCTCATCTCACTATCTCCTGGCCTATAAGGGTTCTGCTGAGAAGTCTGCCGTTAGGCTTATTAAGATTCCCTTATATGTTATTTGCTTCTTTTTTCTCACTGCTTTCAGAATTCTCTCTTTGTCTTTGATCTTTGACATTTTTATTATAATAGGTTGTGACATAGTCTTATTTGGAGTAGAATTTATTTTCAAATATATATCTTCCTATTGAACATGTCTAAAGTCAAATTCACTGTCTTTACTACAAACCTACTGCTGTTGTCTTTCCTGACTCTATTCTGGGTATCATCATTCCTTCAAGTAACCCAGACTTGAAATTGTGTCATTGTCTTCAATTCCTCCCCATCCCCTGCCTCTCGCTACAGCATCAACACTACCACAGGGAATCATTGGCCAAATCTAAATCCTCTATGATTTGACTTTCAACTTTTATTTACCATTGCTCTTCCCTTACAATGTGAATGCTGTCACCAAAACAGTCTATTTATCATACCCAAAGCACAGCCTCTACATGCCTACCTTCATACCTTGATTCTTATTTTTTCTTCTGCCTAGAATATTCTCCTTTACCACACTCCATTTCTACTTCTTGCATTTCTCTCTGTCAAGGCCTAGGTCATCTGTCACCCACATGAAACTTCCTCCAATCTGTAATAGTAAAAATAATCTTCCACTGATTCTGAGATCTCATAGCACTTTTTTCATATCTTTAAAATTTGACAGTGTCAGACTTGGAGAAAAGTTGTGAGGATAGTACAATAAAAATTCTGGATAGCCCTCCTTCAGATCCATCAGATGTTTCCACTGAGCTTTTAATCTCTCTCTCTCTCTCTTTCACGTTGATGTCATCATCTATACTCAATCACACACGCATATTATTTTTTTCTGAACCATTTGAGAGTAAGTGGCAGACACGATCCCCATCTAACCCTAAATAATTCAGTGTTTATTTCTGAAAAATTATGAACTCTCCTACATAAGCACAGTATAATTGCCAAAGTCAAGGAATTGTTTAACATTAAACCAATACTATTAACTATCTACAGATACTATTAAGATTTGTCATATAGCCCAATAGTGTCTTTATAGAAAAGAACATCTAAAATCATGAATTTTATTGAGTTCTCAGGTGTCTTGAGTCTCCATTTATCTGGAACAGTTCCTGAGTCTTCATTTTTCATGTTGTTAACATTTGTGAGGAATACAAACCAGTTATTTTGCAGAATATCCCTCAATTTCAGTTTATGTGTTGTTTTGTCATGATTAAATTCAGATTATACATTACTAAGGTAATGCCAAGTTCTTTTCCATGTGTCATATCATAGTGTTGATTAGTCCCATTGCTGATACTGTAAACTTTGATCGCTTGGTTGGATCATTTGGTTAAGGTAGATTCTTCCATGTACCTACACTGTAAAGTTATTATGTCATCTTTTGTAATTAAAAAAGTATCCTGTAGAGATGTACTTTGAGACTACGTAAATATACGGTTACTCTTCAAACTTTTGCTCACTGATATTTTTCATCCATTAATGACTCTTCCTATAGCACATTTTATTTCATGTTTTTTAATTTAATATATTGAATAGATATATTCCTATGGTTCAAAAATTTTTAAGTACAAAAGAATATACAGTGAGAGGGTAAAATGTCTTTCTCCCATCTCTGTTCCCCCAGATACCCTGTTCCCCTTCTCATGGGCAGTCAGTGTTGTGTGTGTGTGTGTGTGTGTGTGTGTGTGTATCCTCCCATGGACATTTATGGATATGTAGGTAAACACAGACATATATGGGGATAATTTTACCCCTATTTATCCAAAAGGTAGCATAGTATACACACAGCTCTACCTTGCTTTCTTTCACTAAAACTATATATCTTGATGATAACTACATATATATTCCAATTATCTATTGCTTCATAACAAATCACTCTGAAACTCAGTAGCTTAAAATAACAAAAATTTAAAAATTTTTAAATTATCTTTCACAGTTCTGGGACTTGCCTGTGTTCAGCCAGGCAGTTCTCACCTGAGGTCTCTCATTTAGTTTTGGTCAACAATTTCTGGGGCTGGAATCTTCACAATGCTTGCCCACTCATATGTCTAGGGGTTGATACTGGCTGTTGGCTAGAACCTCAGCTGAGGTTACCTACAGCTGGTACACCCACAGATGACCTCCTCATGTGTCTCTCCACATCTTCACAGCATGATGACTAGGTTCTACTAGTAAGTGTCCCAGCTGGGAGCTCTATTACTTTGTATAGCCTAGCCTCAGAAATTAGGTAAGTCACTTTTGCCTTAATCACAAGCATGCCTGGGTTCAAGGGAAGGGAACACAGAACTCATCTCTTCATGGGAGGAGTGCGAGAGTCACATTGTAAGAAGAGTAGGTTGGATAGGAAATTGTTGCAGCTATTGTTGAAAATATATTACCACAATCTAGATCTACTTCATATTTTCTGAATAATTGTGTCATTCCATTATTTGAATATATCATAATTTACTTAGCCAGCCTCTTATTGATGAACATTTGAATTGTTGCCAGAATTCACAATCACAAAAATGCTATGGCAAGTACCCTCATAGCATACAGCATTTCACGTGTGTGAAATTTATCATGCAAGTAAACCAGAACTCGAATTGATAGATCAAAAAATAGGTATTTTTTAACTGTACAATTAAATGGCTTTGAATGTATTCACATTGTTGTGCATTCTTCACCACTACTCATTTTAGAACATTTGCATTACCCCAAAAAGAAGCCCCACTTCCTTTATCCATCAACCCCCAATCCCTCCATTCCCCCAGCCCTAGGCAGCCACTAATCTACATTCTGTCTGTATAGATTTGTTTGCTTGGGACATTTTATATAAATTGAGTCTTGCAATATGTGGTCCTTTATGACAGGCTTCTTTCATTTAACATGATATTTTCAAGATTCATCCGTGTTGTAACATGTATCAGTACTTCATTCTTTTATTGCCAGATATTATATCCTGTATAAATATAACACATCTTATTTATCCATTCATCAGATGATGGACATTTGGGTTCTTTCTACTTTTTGGCTATTATGAATAATGCTGGTATAAACATTCATGTACAAGTTAATGTGGACATATGTTTTTATTTCTATTGACTGTATAACTAGTAGTGGAAATGCTGGATTATATGGTAATTCTGCATTTAACCATGTTAGGAATTGCCAGGCTGTTTTTAAATATTTTCAATACTGATATATATTTCCAAATAGCTCTCCAAAGGAATTGTCCAATTTTTATTCCGATCAGCAGCATATTGATGGTGCCTGTTTTCTCAAAGCCTCACCAAAATAGTGTTATCAACTTTAGGGACTTTTGACAATCTGATAGGTTAAAAATGTTATCTTGGTATAGTGCTAAGTTAAAGTTTTTCTAGGAGTGAGGTTGAGCACCTTTTCCTATCTTTAAAAGCCATCTATTTGTTTTGCCAGCAGTATTTGTTTTGCCAGCAGTATTTGTTTTGCCAGATTTTCTTTTGTTTTTAATTTTTTAAATCTACATGTTGGAGTTCTTTATATATAAGGGAAATTATCCTATGAATTGCAAACATTTTTTCCTAGTTGGTAATTTGTCATATGACTTTCCTTACAGTGATTTTTGAAATAATTCATTTGTTAAATCTTTGTCTTTAATTTCAACTATATTGAAGCCCATGAATAGGGTAAAAGAATGCATTTTGTCAAAAGCACAGCTAAAACTAAGACTTATTCTTGTGTAGGTACTGGCTTTCAGAGCTGACTGTTAATCATAGTTTTATAAGGATTCTTAGTAAATTACATTGATTTCCTAGTGAGAGAGACCTATCAAAAACAGGCATGTTCATTATAACACTGAAAGAAAAGATGATTGCCAGAAGCTTTACTTAAAACTGATGTAGTCCTGTCGTTAAAATTCTAGAGGACCTGACTGGAACACTGAATTGTATAATGAACGGAGTGCTACAGTGAGAGAGCTTCTTACCGAGCTGTATGGCAAAGTGGGAGAAATTCGTCACTGGGGCCTGATCCGATACATTTCTGGGATCTTAAGGAAGAAAGTGGAAGCACTTGATGAGGTACTATAAATTCTTGAATTTATACCAAATCTAAATAAGCGTGCTTTTTAAAAATTGGTTTCTATAATTGTTTTTTAAAACAACCATAGCCTCTAACCATTTGAGATGTCTTTTCCACATAAAATTTGATATTCAGTTCTTTTAGTTTGTGAATGACAAGTAAGAATTGTAGATTTATAAAATGTTATAAACCATAACATCTTTATAATGATATTAAGAATTCTATATCTTAAGAATGAATTTACACTAGGTTCCTACCTCCTAGAAAGGGAAACATCCATACACCATTAGTGGGAATGGAACTTAGTATAGCTACTTATGTAAAACACTATGGAGGTTCATCAAAAAACTAAAAGTAGAACTACCATGGGATCCAGCAGTCCAACTGCTGGGTATATATCAAAAAGAAAGGAAATCAGTATATGGGAGAGATATCTACAACTCCCATGTTTATTGTAGCACTATTCCCAATAGCAAAGGTATGGAATAAACCTAAATGTCCATCAGAAGATGAGCAGATAAAGAAAATGTGGTATATATACACAATTGGATATTATTCTGCATCAAAAATAGTAAAACCCTGTCATTTACAGTAACATGAATGGAACTGGAGGGCACTATGTTAGGTGAAATAACCCAGGCACAGAAAGACAAATACCACATGTTCTCACTCATATGTGCGAGCTTAAAAAGTTGATCTCATAGAGGTAGAGAGTAGAATGATGGATACTAGAAGCTGGGAAGGGTAGTCGGGAGTGGGGGATAGAGAAAGTTTAGTTAATGGGCATGAAAATACAACTAGATTGAAGGAATAAGATCTAGTATTTGGTGTCACAATAGGGTGACTATAGTTTACAATAATTTGTTGTAAATCTCAAAGTAACTAGAAGAGCAGATTTGGAATCTTGCCAACACAAAGAAATGATAAATATTGAGGTGATGGATGTCTCAATTACCCAGGTTTGATCATTACATGTTGTATGCTTGTATGAAAATATCACATGTACTCCATAAATATGTATAACTCTTATTTATCCATAAAAATTGAAAACTTAAAAATTTAAACAAATTTTTTAAAAAGAAAGAAAAAAACCCCATAAACCAACCAAACAAAAAAGTTCCTACTTTCTAGGAGATAGATGAAAAGACCTCATTGTTTCTTCCTAGAAATCCTTCTTTTCTGATCTTCATGGTATTTTCTGAGGAAGAGAGTTCAGTGTGTCATTATGTTAAAGAGGAGCAAAGGTTTTTCAGCTGAAAAGAGAAATGTTTGTGGAAACCTGAGGTGTTACAGAAACGATAATATTATGCTATCTCTTGTTAGGCCTGCACAGACCTTCTCTCCCACCAGAAACATTTGACAGTAGGACTTCCTCCAGAACCTCGAGAAAAGACTATCTCTGCGTGAGTATGGCTGGGTTTGGTCAGGCTTCTCTGAGAAGGAGTGGTGTGGACTTAGAATTCCCTTGCCCTAATCTGTCAGTGGATGATAATGTCCTACATATGTTCACCTCTATCAGAGACACCTAGTGGAAGAATGTTGGTAATGGTAGGGCAAGAGTAAATGAAGGAGAAAACTCACAGAGTAGTACTCAAACTCTTTTTACTTGTTGGATTTTCCATACCTGCCATTCAAAAAACAAAACAAACAGGGTACCCTGAATTAGCAACCACAAAATGTCAGCCATACTCTGGAAAGAGCAAGTGAAAGAAAGTGGCTAGAGCACAGGGCTGACCATGAAACTCCATGCTGCTCATGGGGAATAAAGGGGATGGAGGTCATAGTCAAAGAGGAAAAATGGTTACTTACAGAGCAATGTGAGGTAGCACCCCTCCAGGAACCCTGTAATCAGAGTGCCACTGTCTGAGGTCTGCCACAGCCTCCAATTGGAAACAGTACCCTAAGATAGGCTTGGCCTGGAGGGAGATGTAAGTCAAGTGATGGGGCTGGGATGGAAAATTCAGTCTTTATACATGAGTCTTCCTTTTGCCATTGGCCATGCCAGTAAAATTCATCTGCAGTAAATGTGTTTAATTTCATATCACACCAGTGCCAAAATTTAAATCTTGCAAACAGTCTGTATCTCCAAGAAATATTTTTAGAGAGATTCTAACTTCATTCATAAATGATCTGAAGAATCTGTTTTTCTACTAGGAGTAATTTTTAAAAAGGGTATTCCCCCCTGCTTGCCAGTTCTACTTCTGTAGCCAATGTAGTTAAAAAAAAACTTTTGTCAATATTTCTCCCTCATTTTTTCCTGGTTAAACTCTATCCAGAGCATGTTTTTTGTTTACAAAATTTTTTTTACTACATTGGCTACAGAAGGGATACTTTTGCTGATGTCTGCATACTCCTTCCTTCCTGGTTTATGTCCATGATTTCTGTTACCCTTGAGTTCCAGTTCAAGCTCCCATATGAAGGCTTAGAGAAACAAAAGTTCCAGCAAGCTTCACCACCGCGGGCTTAAAGTGCTCTGGGTACTAAATAGACTCAAAAAGCAGTCTAGGCCACAAGGACTGCAATTCCTGGGCAAATCCTTGTGCTATGCTGGACTCGAAGCCAATGGACTTGGGGTGCATGCGGCCTAGTGAGACATCAGCTAGAGTGGGCAAAGGAGTGCTTGTGCCACCCCTCTTCCAACTCCAGATAGTGCAACTCTGGGAGAGAATCCTTCCTTCCACTGAGGAGAGGAGAGGAAATAGTAAAGAGGACTTTATCTTGCAAGTTGGATACCAGCTCAGCCACAGTAGGATAGGGCACCAGGCAGAGGCATCAGACTCCCATTCCAGTCCGTAGCTCCTGGATGACATTTTGACACATACCTTGCACCAGAAGGGAACCTGCTACTTTGAAGAGAAGTACCCAGTTTTGGCAGGATTTATCACGTGCTGACTAAACAGCCCTTGGGACCTGAACAATCAGCACAGTGACCAGACATTCTGGTTCCAAGTGTGACCAAACACATGCCCAGCCGTGGTGGGTATAGGGAGAGACTCCTTCTGCTTAAGAAAAGGAGAGGGAAGAGTAAAGGGGACTTTTTCTTGCAGCTTAGGTACCAGGTTGGCCACAGTGGGGTAGAGCACCAAGCAGGTTTTTGAGGTCCCGGATTACAGGCCTGGCATTTGGCCTAGGAACTGCTAACAAATGTACAGTGCAGTGGTGGTTCAAGAAGTTTTGCAAAGGAGATGAGAGCCTTGAAGATGAGGAGCATAGTGGCCTGCTATTGAAAGTTGACAACGACCAATTGAGAGCAGTTGTTGAAGCTGATCCTCTTAAAACTGCATGAGAAATTGCCGAAGAACTCAGCATCGACCATTCTACAGTCAGTCATTCAGCATTTAAAGCAAATTGGAAAGGTGCAATGGGAGAAAATATTTACCAACTACCTATCTGATAAGGGATTAATAACCAGAATGTATAAGGAGCTCAAACAATTCTATAGGGAAAAAAATCTAATAGTCTGTTTTAAAAATGGGCAAATGGTCTGAATAGACATTTCTCAAAAGAAGACATACAAATGGCAAACAGGCATATGAAAAGGTGCTCAACATCATTGATCATCAGAGAAATGCAAATCAAAACTACAGTGAAGTATCATCTCACCCCAGTTAAAATGGCTTTTATCCAAAAGACAGGCAATAACAAATGCTGGCAAGGATGTGGAGAAAAGGGAACCCTCATATATTGTTGGTAGGAATGTAATTAGTACAACTACTATGAAGAACAATTTGGAGGTTCCTGAAAAAAGCTAAAAATAGAGCTGCCATATGATCCAGCAATCCCACTGCTAGGTATATACCCAAAGAAAGGAAATCGGTATATTGATGAGATATCTGCACTCCTGTGTTTATTTCATCAGTATTCACAATAACCAAGATTTGGAAGCAACCTAAGTGTCCATCAGTAGATGAATAGATCAAGAAAATATGGTACATATACACAAGGGAGTACTATTCAGACACAAAAAAAATGAGATCCTGTCATTTGTAACAACATGGATGGAACTGGAGGTCATTATGTTAAGTGAAATAAGTCAGACACAGAAAGACAAAGTTCACATGTTCTCACTGATTTGTGGGAACTAAAAATCAAAACAATTGAACTCATGGAGATAGAAAGTAGAATGATGGTTACCAAAAGACTGGGAAGGGTAGCAGGGTTTATGGGCGTTGGGGGTGGAGATGGTTAATGGGTACAAAAAGTAGTTGGAGAGAATGAATAAGATCTTGTATTTGATAGCACAATAGGGAGACTATGGTCAAAATAATTTAATTGTGCGTTTTAAAATAACTGAAAGGGTGTAATTGGATTGTTTGTAACACAAAAGATAAATGCTTGATGAGATGGATACCCCATTTACCCTGATTTGATTATTATATGTTGAATGCCTGTATCAAAAATCTCATGTACCCCAGAAATATATACACCACTATAGACCCACAAAAATTAAAAATTAAAAAAAAATTTAAAGAAAAGAATTTGAGGAGAGGACATAATTCAATCCATAAAATCTTGCTTCTGGAAAAACAATCTTTTTTGTATCAGTTTTGTGACACTGTAGGTAATCCAAAGAAGATGGCATGGTTCATGCCCCAGAGTGCTTTGTGTCAGCAGGAGAATCAGAAGTGTGTGAGGATGTGTGTATACGTGTGTGTGTGTGTGTGTGTGTGTGCATGTGTGTGAATTGAAACTATAGAAAATCAAACAACTCTGTCAACTGTGATTGTAAAGTAATAAAATGGCTTCAAAAAGGCACAGCTAGTATTCCATTGTAGGGGTGGGATGCTGAAGAGATGTTGGTTAAAGAAGGAATACATTCTAATGTTCAGTAGCAGAGTAGGGTGACTATTGTTAACAACAATGTATTGTATATTTCAAAATAACTAGAAGAGAGGACTTGAAATGTTCCCAGCCAAAAGAAATAGTAAATGCTCAAGGTGATGGATACCGTAAATACCCTGACTTGATCATTACACATCCTATGTATGTAACAAAACATCACATGTACCCTGTAAATATGTAGAAACATTGTGTATTACAAAAAAAGCACAGCTTAAAATTAATTTAGTACTTTGTAGCCATAATAGTTACTTGTCAAATGTTCAAAGCTAACTATGAAAGACTAGTCTAGAAGAACATCATGGTGTGAGTTTTAAATAAATTTTGAAGGAGGAAGAGAATCCAGATTTAGAGAGAAGAGAGCAGAGCTCCTCTAAGTTGATATGGGCCAGAGTGGTTTCAGGAGGCAATGAATGAGCTTTGAAGTTTGAAAGAATCAGAATGCTATTGGTAATGATGAAATGTTGAGGCAGTGACTTGGACTTGGATAAAGCTTCTTCATTTTTTCAACATATTTAAGATTAAGTGGTTGTAGAATATTGTCTTTCTTTGCTGTCTTTTTCCTTAGACCTCTGCCCTATGAGGCGCTCACTCAGCTGATAGATGAAGCCAGTGAAGGGGATATGAGCATTTCAATCCTTACACAGGTGAGAAGAATTGTAAAGGCTAATCTGGTGACTGATATTTTAAAGTTTGTTTTCAATTGATCTAGCAATTTCCAAAGACAACAAAATAGGCATTGTGAGACCTAGGCCATTATTTTTGTCTATATCTACTCTGTGTGCAGGAAATAATGGTATATCTAGCCATGTATATGCGAACCCAGCCTGGCCTCTTTGCTGAAATGTTTCGACTTCGAATTGGTCTGATCATACAAGTTATGGCAACAGAACTGGCCCACTCCCTTCGATGCTCAGGTACTTAATTCAGTAACTATTTTAGGTGGAATTCACTTTTGATGTAAGTTTATAGAGTTTGGAATAAGGAAAGAAAGAAAGCTAAAACATTTTTATCCATAGCTCAGAAGCTGGATATGGCAACCTTGTTCCCCTGTTGGTCACTATTTATGCAAGTCAAGGAGCTGATATGATGACACATTTGTGTATCAGTTCGCAGCTTCAGAATGCCATCTCCTGTGGGCTCTTCACTCCAAATCCCTCTTGACTTATCACTCGTTGCTAACTTCATTTCTCTAACTCTGGAGAGTATTTGAGTGTGACAGACAGAGTTGGGTTAAGATTTAGGCAGTGGAGCGTCTGTACACCAAGAATGAGTCACTACATCAGTGGATCATGGTGTCAGTATTCTGTCTAGTCACCATCATGACTGAATAAAGGAAGATGACATTTTCATTAACATCTATCTGACAAGACTCTCTTTGAAATTAACTATAGGTGTATTTGGCAAGATAAAAGTTTTAGTTAGAAGAATAGTTGGAGCCTGTGAAAGCTGTAGGGCAAAATGGTATAAAGTGTGAAGGGGAACAATGGACCCCTATGACATGACTCCTTATTCCATTAGTATTTGTTTGATTTCAACAAGAATTGCAAAATAATACAGATAGGGATGGCATAGAAAAATAAAATCAAAGTTGTAAAACTCAATTTTAGCCATTCTTTCTGTTAAATTTCCCCCAAAAGACTTTTAATCAAGCTGTTAACAAGTAGCTAAATTTATCAATTTGAGTCAAACCTAACTCAAACACATGAGATAATTTATATTTAAGTAACCCTTTGACAGAAGAGAGCTAACAATTGTTTTATACCTACCATATGCCAGATACTGTGCTTTTTGCTTTAAGTTTACATATATTGTGTCATTTAATCCTTTCAAGAATCCTCTGGAGAAGAAGGTATTATTGTGTCACTTTTACCAATAAAGAAACTGAAACTCAAGAAGGTTAACTAACTTCCCCGAAGCAACATAGCTAGTAAATAGTGGAATTTGAGTCTGAGTCCACCTGATTGCAAATGATTTCTAGTTCAGTACATTGTTATAGATAAACATTATATAGTATAATGTTGTTTTTTTTTTTGCGAGAGAGTGTGATTGCTCAATAATAAACCTCAATAAGGGATAAGCCCCTGAATATTCACTTTTCCTTAATTTAGCCTGTTATATTTCTTGTTTTCCTGTGGATTCATGAAAACCATGGCTCTTTATTCCTTATAGGATAAAGTCAAGATCCCTGGGTCTGATGTTTAATACCCTCAACAGTCTGGCCTTTATCTTCTACTCCCACAGTACTTCCCACTAATTTTGTCAGTTCCAGTCCTTGGAGATTGATGTCTCCATTGATTTCAAAGGCAATTATTGTCTATACCTCTCATTTGGCACATAGAATATGCAATGTTTTATTGTTTATCTTGTTTTCATGTTCCATCACTCCCAAAGAGATAGTCAGACTCAAGATTAGGTATCATGTCGTCATACCTGCTTGCACAAATGTTACTTAAAATGATGACCTGCATGTAGTCTACTTTTAATAAATGTGTGATGCTGATTAACATGTTCAAGTTATCCTCATATATTCATAATTTCATGGATTCAAATCTATCTCTTTTAAGTCTCTATTATTTCCAGGCTGAGAAGTTTTAATTATTTTAGTTTATCTGCATATATACATTCATTGTCTTTCTCTGAATGGCCTCCAGTTCCATTGTTCTTCTTTCATTCTTCCCACCTTCAAATAAAGATTTTACTAAGTACCCTAATGGTCTGGAAGCAGGGTGAAGAAGAAATCAATTACCTCGCTAATCCACAAACTGGATAGTCAGTCCTTAAATAATTAAGAATCTATGGAAGTAAGAATACCTAAGCAGTAGGGTGCTATCAATTTATTTTGTAATTCTGTTCTTCCAATCAAGTGACTCAGAAATTCTAAGCAAGAAAAGAAATAGAGAAAATATAGAGAGGGCATGGCAGGCAAATTAGAAGTCCTTCTGTTCTAACATTTCTGCTGACTAGCTGAGGAAGCCACAGAGGGCCTGATGAATCTCAGTCCTTCGGCCATGAAGAATCTCCTGCATCACATTCTCAGCGGCAAGGAGTTTGGAGTGGAACGAAGCGGTGAGATTGAATAACTGCATTTTCATTTCATACTGTTTGGTTTAAGTGTCTCATTGGTTTTAAAATGTTTTTCCTTCATCACAGAAACCTTTTTCCCCAAATAAATAAACTCCAATATATAAAACAGAAACCAAGCTGTCTTCTGGAACAAGATTTGGAAACCACTATATTTTTCCTTAAATGGTATATCAACTAAGTGGATTGATTACTATCATGTTTCATTTTTAACTGTTTAATGCATTCCCTCACATTATCTTAAGCCTCCACTTTAGGACAACTAGCAACCCATATCATCTGAAACTTTCTTGTATTCTAATTGGCAATAATTCAGTAGCTCTTACAGTATTGTATTATGTGTATAGCTGCTTACAGTACTTCTAATGTAACCCTTCAACTTTAAACTCACAAATTAATAGTCCACCTACATTTGTGGTTTTGGTTGGATTTGGCATTGCGTACCTAAAGCAGCAGAGCAAATGAAAAGTGGTCATCTCTCATGCTCAACTTTCAAGGTTAGGGTAAGTAGATATATATGGTCAGATGGATGGATGTCAGACCTTAGAGTGGTAAAAGAAAGTTGAAAAGCAGTGCGTTTCAAGAAGGGTATCTTGCTAAAATGCACATTTTGATTCAGTAGATCTGGGGTGGGACCTGAGATTCTACTAACAAACTTGTAGGTGGTACTGATGCTGTTGGTCCATGGACCACATTTCAAATAGCAAGGTTATAGTTTTTAAATTAAGTTAAAAATAAGGATATATATGAAAGTTTTTTTTAAATGTGATGGGGAAGAAATTGAACCTTATTATCCTCTCTCTTTCTCTGTAATCTCTCATACTACATAGTTCGTCCCACTGATTCAAATGTCAGTCCTGCTATTTCTATCCACGAGATTGGTGCTGTTGGAGCAACCAAAACAGAACGAACTGGGATCATGCAGTTAAAAAGTGAGATAAAGCAGGTAAGATACTACCTGGGAGATTAGCTGGGATATTGCCATGTTTCAGAACATTCTTTTGGAATCAGACTTTGTTGGGTCATTTATTTTGTTTCACATTCTGAGTTTAATTTGAGCCATTTATGTTTCAGGTGGAATTTCGTAGACTGTCAATCTCAGCTGAGAGTCAGGTGAAACAACTAGGGATCATTTAACATGGTTTAACTTACCTTTAGTTCTGTATAACATGCATGAGCTCATGGCCTTTTTACAAATAAGATAACAAGTCATGGAGTAGATTGTTTGAATCGCCTTTATAACAGTCATTTTGCAGATAGCTTTCCTTTTTCTGGACCAAAGTACTTTGTTAATTTTAGAAGGAAAGTAACTTGCATCTGATAATAAGAAATTGAAGTTTCTCTTATTAGGACTGATGTAATTTTGGAATTAATTTTCTTTATAAAACAAGACTTAGACTTCAAGCAAAGAGTCTTTGCTTGGCCAGAGTTTAGGTGGGCTTCTCAACCTTTTCCTAGGCCCATTTGTGCACTTCCTTGTAAAATCCAGCTTTAGCAAGAGAACCCTGCTAAGTCAGTTTAGCCAGAAACTCCTATCCTCGATATCTTATCATCCTTGACATCTGATCAGGCTCCTCATCTTCTACCACCCCCAGGTGATGTCCAATCACCCTGGCCTGTCTTCAGCAAAAATCCTGTTAAGATGGTTTAGCCAGAATCCTCCCTACCTCTGATGTTTCCCTCTTAGTAATTTTCCACCACTTGGCTATAAATTCCCACTTGATTATGTTGTATTCAGAGGGGAGCCCAATCTCTCTCCCTTACTGCAAGACCTCATTGCAATGGTTCTGTACCTATTAACAATGGTCCTGAATAAAGTCTTCCTTACCGTGCTTTAACAAGTATCATTGAATAATTTTTTCTTTAACAAGATGTAGAAAAGGTGCTGTGGACACAGAGGGAGAAACATCTAAATCAGTCTGGGAGATAGTGGGAGTCACTAAATACCATGTTGTAGCCTCTTAATTTTTCCTGCAGGTGAGAATAGAGAGCGGTTGCTTTATACAAGGAAATAGTTAACAAAAGCTTCCATAGCTTCTTTTTAAAACTCTAGGAAGTCATGTGGTTTCAAGATCTCCAAGTTGAGAAATTACTGATTTGGCCTCTCCTAGAAGCACATTTTATGAAAAGCTTAAAACTACTCCTGTTTTCAGAATAGAATTATGATAGCTTGCAGTATTGAAACCCCCAGAAGAGGAGTGGTGAAATGGAAATTTGGAGTTTTGTTTTTAGTTTTCGTTTCTTTTTTTTAGCTTTTTAGCACTGGGGTCTCACTATGTTGTCCAGGCTGGAGTGCAGTGGCTATTAACAGGCACAAAATCCTGGATTCACGCAATCCTCCTACCTCAGTCACCAGAGTGGCTGGGACTAAGGCATGCCACCACCTTGCTATTTGGTTTTTTTAAAAGGAATTAGAAACCATTTAGGAAGACAATGAGCCAGTGCTTGAAGCTTAATTTGAGGTAACTTGAGTACACTCATCAAATACCCTATGGCATTTATATTTATGCAAGAATAAGTATGAAAATGGAGTAAGAAAGGGCCTTGTATTCACTTTACAGTTTTCTCGAATAATTTGAATAATCTGAATATTTTCCTATTTGAAACGTGAAAGAACTACATTCAGTACTGAATAGTTAGTTACATTGGCATTATCTGTAAATAATCTTTGATTTGGTTGAGAGTTATTGGATAAACATTTTATAATTGTTGATAGTCACTCAGTATTACTTATAAGTTCATTATATATTTACAACTTGAAGTACATGTTCCCAGCTACATTAATATGATGTTGAGACTTGATCTACCCAGCTACATCATTTAAGTTTTTTCTAAACATTCACTACCTATAGGTTTTCAAGGGAGCCAAAATCACTAGGACTATAATTTAGAGGATTGAGAGTCCTAAATTTGCATTACTTTCTTATTTCTAAATATTAACTTCCATCCTCACCTGCCTGTCTGGTATTTTGTATTGTTCTAAGCCATTTTTTCCCTATCACTCAAGAATGCCCTCTTTTCTGATTATGAAAAAAAAAATTATAAGGGTATTTTTATTTCTTTTCCCTTCACCATGGCTTCTAGGGTAAAGCTATTTCATCAGCTTTTTAATGATTATGTGCTGACTACATACTGAAATAGTCTGTATTTTTACTCCACTAGTGACTTAAAAGTACAAATAATTGTTTCCTGGCCTCATATCTTTTAAAATTTTATTTTCTCAATTTGTTCTCATAGTCCAATGGTGGTCATCCCCTGGGTATAGATTTGATGTCACCGTCTTTTATGGTAACTGCTGTGATCTTCTCGTATATGCCATTCACATGTGCTTTGAATATGCTCTTATATAAATCATGACATATACTGGTTGATTAAAAAAAAAATTAATCAAGAATTAAAATAAGTATAAAGCAATTTCATATATGGGGGTGAATCTTTTCATTTATTTTCCAATAACATAGGGAAGGGAGTTCAACTCCAACCTCTTTGCGATTTCAGAAAACAAAATTCAATTTGCTAAGTATTGGTTAAGTATAAATTCTTGGTCCCACCCTAAGTACACAGAGTCAGAAAGACTGCGGATGAGGCCCAGTAATCTGTTTTATTTAGATGATTCTGATGCATTTTTAAGTTTGAAAGCCACTGGGTTAGCTTTTCTTCTGATTATGAATTCATTTAGTAAATATTAATTGAGTGCCAGTTTTGTGCCAGGCACTGTGAACAAAATGGATGTGGTCTTTGCCCTCGTGAAGCTTACAATTTAGGAGGACTGACCTCTAATTAAATTTATTTGGTTTAAATCAAAGACTCATAATGGCCTATGATTTCAGATTTCTCAAGCTGAAGAGATTTAGGCTAGACAATTACCAAACAAAAAATGGAAAATTATTCGAAACAATATTAGTATTTAGGTTAACCTAAATCAAATACCCTGTAATGAACTAATAAGACTTGGCCAACTCTATCATATCCACACTAACATAGGACAGGGGTATAGAAGAAAATTTAAAAACTCAAAATGATTGATATTTGGCTTTGGAAAACAGTCTGAATTGTACTTTATCAGATCTATACCCTTTCTGGTTTGACCTCACAATCAACAGCCTAGGATCTTGGTGGTATAAACAAGACAATGAAGATAATTAAATGGCAGTTCATCTACTCAATAGATCAGTGCGATAGTCACTTGCCAGTAGAAATGTTTGGGGGCTCTTTTCTTTTTTACATTGCATTGGTTGGTGATTTAGGCATTTGGCCCAAATTAAAACGTGAGAAGTTATTTTCTCAGAAAATATTTCTATTATCTTCTATCTTATATTTATTTCTGAATTTAAACTGTTAACCACTTTGCCCAATGTATTTTATCCTTTACTTAGTATAAGTTTTTCAAAGTTCATTATGTTTTAGCATGTATCAAAAGTTTATTTTTTTCATTGCTGAATAATATCCTACTAAATTAATGTACCACATTTTATTTATCCATTCATCAGTTGATGGACACCTGGATTGTTTCCACTTTTTGGCTGCTATGAATAATTCTACAATGAACCTTCATGCACAAGTTTTTGTATGGACATATGTTTTCACTTCTCTTGGATATATATCTAGGAGTGGAAGTCCTGGGTCATATGGTAACTATGTGTCGCATTCTGAAGAACTGCCAGACATGTCCAAAAGGGCTGCACCATTTTACATTCCCACCAGCAGAGTATGAGAGTTCCAATTTCTTTACATCTTCACCAACCCTTACAATTGTCTTTTTTATTATAGCCATCCTGATGGGTGTGAACTGGTATCTCGTAGTGGTTTTGATTTGCATTGCCCTAATAGCTAATGATACTGAGTGTCTTTTCATGTGCCCAATGGCCATTTGTTTATCTTCTTTAGAGAAATGTCAATTCACATTTGTACCTATTTTAATTTTTTTTGTCTTTTTATTGTTGAGTTGCAAGGATTCTTTATATATTCTGGATACAAGTCCCTTTTAAGATATAAAATTTGCAAATATTTCTCCCATCCTGTGGGTTGTCTTTTCACTCAATACCATTAAGTATTCTTCAAACAACAAAAATTTTTGATTTCCACAAAGTCCAATTTGTCTATTTTTTCTTTTGTTAATCATGATGTTTTTGGTGTCATATCTAAGAAGGCTTTGCCTAACCCAAGGTCACAAAGATTTATTCCTATTTGTGTTCTAAGGGTTTTATAGAGTTAGCTGTTTTATTTAGGTCTATGATTATGTATGGAGGGATCCCCAAGATCACCCTCAGATTTAATGATTCACTAGGAAGACTCATAGATCTCAGCATATAGTCATACTCACTGCTACGGTTTATTACACCTAAAGGGTACAAGATGCATTGGGCACAGTGTAACTACAGTCAACAATAATTTATTGTACATTTTAAAATAATAAAAAGTATAATTGGATTGTTTGTAACACAAAGGAAGGATAATTGCTTGAGATAATGGATACCCCATTTACCCTGATGTGGTTATTATGCATTGTATGCCTGTAACAAAATGTCTCATATACCTCATAAATATATAAACCTACTATGTACCTACAAAAGTTAAAAAAAATTTAAAAGAGTCATTGGTCAAAGTCTAGGGAAAACAGACACAAGCTTCCAGAGTACTCTGTCAGTAGAGTCACCCTGCAATGAGTTGTGACAAGATGTCATTGCCAACCAAGGAACCTAATAAAGACTCAGCACCCATTGTTCTTGTTGAGGGCTGGTCACGTAAACAGCCTCTGTCTGGCGTGTATCAAAACTCTGGACTCCCAGAAAGAAAGCAAACGTTCAACATAAACCATAGCGTTTGTACAGTTTAGGCATGGTAAGCCACTGTTATTAGTTCTGGGAATGGTGAGAACTCTCCCAGAATCCAAGTTTCTAAGTTTCTAAATGCCAGCCAAGGGCCAACCTTGTAAGCAAGCCTTTCCAAGAATAGCAGTTCTGGCCTACTGTCTTAACTCTTTTCTGCACAATGGGCTTAATTTTTGTGTGTGGTATAAGGTAGAGTTCAACTTCATTCTTTTGCATGTGGATGTCACTGTTCCAGCACCATTTGTTGAAAAGGCTATTTTTCCCTCATTTAATTATCTTGGCGTCCTTGTTGAAAATTAATTGACCAAAATATAATGGTTTATTTTTGAACTCCCTGTTCTATTCCATCGATCTATATGTCCATCCTATACCAATATGACACAGTTTTGATAGTTTTGTAGTTTTGATAGCTTTAGAGTAAATTTTGAAATCAGGAAGTGTGAGCTCTCCAACTTCAGTCTTCTTTTTAAATATGAATGTTAGGATCAGCTTGTCAGTTTCTGCAAAGATCCCAGCTGGTATGTTGATAGAGATTGTGTTCAGTCTGTACATCAGTTTTTGAAATATTGCCATCTTAATGATGTTAAGTCTTCTGACCCATGAATATGGAACTATATTTCAATTTATTTAGGTCTTTAATTTTTTTCAACATGTTTTATAGTTTTCAGAGTATTTGTTTTGGACTTCTTTTGTTAAATTTATTCCTACATATTTTGTTATTCTTAACGTTATTTTTTAATGGAATTGTTTTCTTAATTTTATTTTAATATTGTTCATTGCTGCTGTTTACAAATACAACTAATTTTTTTATTATAGTAAGACATTTAACATGAGATCTATCCTTTAAAAAATTTTTAAGTGTACAATATAGTATCATTAACTATAGGCTTGATGTTGTACAGTAGATCTCTAGAACGTTTTCATCTTACATAACTGAAACTTTATACCCATTGAATAGCAAGTTCCCATTTTCCCCTCTACCCAGCCCCTGACAACTACCGTTCTACTCTCTGCTTCTATGAGTTTGGCTGTTTCAGATACATTACATAACTGGAATCATACAGAATTTGTTCTTCTGTGACTGGCTTATTTCTCATAGCATAGTATCCTGCAGGTTCATCGACACTGTCATATTTTGCAAAATTTCCTTCGTTTTTAAAGTCTGAATAATATTCCATTTTATGTATTACCAGATTTTCTTTTGCCATTCAGTTGTTAATATATATTTAGGTTGTTTTCATATCTTGACTATTGTGAATAATGCTGCATTTGAACATGGGCATGCAAATATCTCTTCAAGATTCTGACTTCAATTCTTTTGGATAAATATCCAGAAGTGGGATTGCTGAATCATATGGTAGTTCTATTTTTAATTTTTGAGGAACCTCCATAATGTGTTCCATAGCGGCTGCAGCATTTTACATTCCCAGCAACAGTGTACAAGGGTCCTAATGTCTTCACATTCTCACCAATACCTGTTATCTTTGGGTGTTTTTTTAACCACGGTCATCCTAACAGGTGTGAGGTGATAGCTCATTGTGGTTTGATCCGCATTTCCATGATGATTAGTGATGTTGAGCATCTTTACATGTGTGTGGTGGCTATTTGTATATCATCTTTGGTGAAATGTCTACTCAAGTAAAATTTAATTGATTTTTGTTATTGATCTTATATCATGAAACTTCACTGAACTCATTTATTAGTTGTAGTTGCTTGTTAGTGAATTCCTTAGAATTTCTATATACAAGATCATGTCATCTGCAAATAGTTTTTACCTCTTCTTTTCCAATCTGGATGCCTTTTATTTCTTTTCTTACTTAATCTCCCTGGTTCAGGCCCCCCATAAAATGTTGAATACAAGTGATAAGAGTGGACATTCTTGTCTTGTTCTGATCTTCGGGGGGAAGCCTTCAGTCTTCAACCACTCATTATGATGTTAGCTGTGGGTTGTTGTAGGAAAAAAATCTAAACTTTTATTAGATTGAGGAGGTTCCCTTCTGTTCCTAGTTTGTTGAGTGTTTTTATCATGAAGGTGTGTCGAATTTTGTTATGTGTTTTTTTCTGTATCTATTAAGATGATGCGTTTTTTATCTTTTATTCTGTTGATGTAGTGTATTACATTAATTGATGTTCAGATGTTAAAACAGCCTTGAATTTCTGGAATCAGTCCCACTTCATGTTGTATAATCCTTTTAGTATATCACTGAATTTGGTTTTCTAGTATTTCCTGGAGGATTTTCGCATCTATATTCATAAAGGATATTGGACTGTAGTTTTCTGGTGACATCTTTGTCTGATTTTGGTATCTGGGTAATATTGGCCTCATAGAATGACTTGGGAAGTGTTCCCTTCTCTTTTCTGGAAGAGATTGTGAAGAGCTAGTAATAATTCCTCTTTAAATGTTTTGTAGAATTAACCAGTTAATCCATCTGTGCATGGGCTTTACTACTATGTGGGAACGTTTGTTTATTTGTTTGTTTGTTCGTTTGAGACAGAGTCTAACGATATCACCCAAGGTGGTCTCAAACTCCGGGGCTCATGCAATCCTTCCGCCTCAGCCTCCCGAGTAGCTGGGAATACAGGCACAAGCCATATGCCCATGCACCACGAGCCAAGAACCCATACTTTGAAGGAAGTTTTGTACTTACTAATTTGATATATTTGTTTGTAATAGTTCTATTAAGATGTTATCTTTCTTTATGAGTTGGTTTGGGTAGTTTGTGTCTTTCTAGGAATTTGTCTGTTTCATTGAGATTATGTAATTTGTCCGCATATGGCTGCGGATGGTATGCCCTTATAATCCTTTTTCTTTCTGAAGGTCAGAATTGAGGTCTTTATTTCCCCTTTTTTTCTTGGTCTTTCTATCTAATGATTTGTCTATTTTGTTGATATTTTCATAGGAAAAAATTGGGGATTCATATGCTTTCCCTATTGTGTTTCTAGTCTCTATTTCATTTCTTTCCACTCTAATCCTTATTATTTCCTTCCTTCTGCTTGCTTTCAATTTAGCTTGCTCTTCTTTCTTTATTGTCTTCAAATGGAAAGTTTGTTTATTGATTTGAGACATTTATCCTTTCTTTAATATAGGCATTTATAACATAAATTGTTCGTTAAGTGCTGTTTTAGCTGCATCCCATAAGTTTTGCTATGTTGTGCTTTCGTTTTCATTCATTTCATTATTTTCTAATTTTGCTAGTGATTTTTTTCCTTAATGCATTTATTATTTAGAAGTGTGTTAATTTCCACATTTGTAAATTTCCTTAATTTATTTCGATTACTGACTTCTGTTGTGGTTAGAGAACATACTTCGTATGATTTCAATTTTAAATTTATTATGGCTCATCTTATGGCCCATGAGGGCAACAAACTAAACCATGGACGAGCTAGAAGTTTAACAGAGATAATCAGGTCAAGAGACAGCTAAGAATGTCCCAAATCATCAGTATTTTTATGACTTTTCTCATGTATCACCAGATTGCTTTCAAAAAGGATTGTACCAGCGTACAGCACTGCTAGCTACATATAAGTCTACTAGCTTCACTATAACCTCTTTGTCTTGGCTGCTTCACTTAATATTTGGTTTATAATTCTGCAGAGTAGGTTTATTGTTCACTATAAAGTTCAAAGACTTGGGCCGGGTGTGGTGGCTCACGCCTGTAATCCCAGCACTTTGGGAGGCCCAGGCGGGTGGATCATGAGGTCAGGAGATCAAGACCATCCTGGCTAACATGGTGAAACCCCGTCTCTACTAAAAATACAAAAAGTTAGCCGAGCATGGTGGCAGGCGCCTGTAGTCCTAGCTACTCGGGAGGCTGAGGCAGGAGAATGGCATGAACCCGGGAGGCAGAGCTTGCAGTGAGCCGAGATTGCGCCACGCCACTGCACTCCAGCCTGGGCGACAGAGCGAGACTCCATCTCAAAAAAAAAAAAAGTTCAAAGACTTCATCATAGAAACAGAGATAACTTTTGATTTATGTTCTTTCCTCTCCTCTTCCAAGTCACCTGGAACCTCTATGACTCCAAGTAGTGGGTCCTTTCCTAGTGCATATGATCAGCAGTCATCTAAAGATAGTCGTCAAGGTCAATGGCAACGCCGAAGAAGGCTGGATGGGGCACTGAATAGAGTTCCAGTTGGATTTTATCAGAAAGTATGGAAAGTTTTGCAGAAGGTGAGCATAATACATTGTTGATGTCTCATTTTTGCCCCTTGAAATTCTCAGTCTCCTTGGCAGAGATATGACATGACTAATATAATCACTGCAATTATGTAAAAGTCATAACTCAGATAGACAAAACCAAGAAGAAAACATAAAAATGAAACAGTTGATTTGTTATTGTGGCATTATTAATAATTTAGTCTCTTTCTATTATTGTTGCCATAGTCTTGTTTCTAAATTAGACTTTTAAAATCATCACCTCTCTGCTTCTGGCCATAGTTGGACATTGTGATACATTTGCTGCTAATCAAACGAATTTGTTACTAAAGAGCTAACTTTCTTTGTAGCTGTGGAGGGTTGTAAATGTTATTTGTAGCAACGTGCTATCAGTAGAGTAAAACAAATGTATCAGTAGAGTAAAACCAAGTATCAGTAGAGTAAAACAAATGCAGTACTTGGGGAGTTTGTGTTAGGAGTTATTACCTATATTTTTTCTTGGATGAAAACTACTAAATAAATGCAAAGTCATAATGATGGTAATAGTTCGGAGACTCTTTGATGTGACCAATATTTATTTTTCTTTTGAAGGCCTATTTGGCCAAAGAAATTTAAGGGCATGCCACACTATTATGGTGGTGACAGTTTTAGAGGGCCAAGAACACTATTATGCTCAGCATAGGTCTCATTCATAGTCTCTTAGGTGCCACTTTCTGCATCACTGGCTTTAATAAGGACCTGAAGATCACTTCATCCAGGACTTAAAACCCTTCAGTTATGTTTTTTCCCCTTTGGGCATGGATATTCTTCCAAGGACAGAATCAGGTGATCTTTTGGAAAGGTAAAAGTTGGTTCCTCAGACTATGGGCTCTGGCAATCTTCCTTTAAAGAGTACTGATAACTTGCTTTTTTTGCAGCTAACTTCTATAGCACAATGGTGACAAATATTATTTTATCTCTTCAGTTATGCATGGATTATGGCAATGTTCTATGTGCTCATACAGCAAAGAACAAAACAGATAATAATCTTCATTCTCCTTGAACTTATATTCTACTAGGGAGGAACAAATTATAAATAATAAACAGTAAATAAGCAAAGTATCTAGAATGTTAAAAGATGATAAGTACTGTGTAAAAACAAGAACAGGGTATGAGTATTTATGAAGGGATGGGATGCTTAGCTAGCAAATGTAGTAACAGTACATGTCCGATAAATGCATGTCTTGATTTCATTTTCAAATTAAGACTTTATGTTCAAAGAAAAGCACTTAAAATTTAAATGAAAATATATTGTTTTAAATCATTCATAAACCAATATCTCTCATATACAACATGCAGTGTACAGTAATTAAAATTGGCATTTCTGAAAGCTTTGTTATAAAGATATTTAGAGTTATACCCAGTAACAGATAGCTTTGTTGAATACTGTAATATGGAACAATAGCCAGTTCTATAAATGACTTTAAAATTCTAAAACTATTGGTGTGCTAGGAATGACAAATTTGATTTGTGTGAATACTCTTTAAATTCTGTAAAGGTTTTTTTTTCTTTTTTTTTAATTATACTTTAAGTTCTAGGGTACATGAGCACAATGTGCAAGCTCGTTACATAGGTATACATGTGCCATGCTGGCCCACTGCACCCATCAACCCGTCATTTACATTAGGTATTTCTCCCAATGCTATCCCTCCCCTCGCCCCCCACCCCATGACAGACCTGGTGTGTGATGTTCCCCACCCTGTGACCAAGTGTTCTCATTGTTCAGTTCCCACCTATGACTGAGAACATGTGGTGTTTGGTTTTCTGTCCTTGTGATAGTTTGCTCAGAATGATGGTCTCCAGCTTCGTCTATGTCCCTGCAAAGGACATGAACTCATGCTTTTTTATGGCTGCATAGTATTCCATGGTATATATGTGCCACATTTTCTTAATCCAGTCTATCATTGATGGGCATTTGCATTGGTCCCAAGTCTTTGCTATTGTGAATAGTGCCGCAATAAACATACATGTGCATGTATCTTTATAGTAGCATGATTTATAATACTTTGGGTATATACCTAGTAATGGGATTGCTGGGTCGAATGGTATTTCTAGTTCTAGATCCTTGAGGAATCACCACACTGTCTTCCACAATGGTTGAACTAGTTTACACTCCCACCAACAGTGTAAAAGCGTTCCTATTTATCCACATCCTCTCCAGCATTTGTTGTTTCCTGACTTTTTAATGATCACCATTCTAACTGGTGTGAGATGGTATCTCATTGTGGTTTTGATTTGCATTTCTCTGATGACCAGTTATGATGAGCATTTTTTCACATGTCTGTTGCCTGCATAAATGTCTTCTTTTGAGAAGTGTCTGTTCATATCCTTTGCCCACTTTTTGATGGGGTTGTTTCATTTTTTCTTGTAAATTTGTTTAAATTATTTGTAGATTCTGGATATTAGCCCTTTGTCAGATGGGTAGATTGCAAAAATTTTCTCCCATTCTGTAGGTTGCCTGTGCACTCTGATGGTAGTTTCCTCTGCTATGCATAAGCTCTTTAGTTTAATTAGATCCCATTTGTCTATTTAGGCTTTTGTTGCAATTGCTTTTGGTGTTTTAGTGATGAAGTCCTTGCACATGCCTATTGCCTAGGTTTTCTTCTAGGGCTTTTATGGTTTTAGGTCTAACATTTAAGTCTTTAATCCATCTTGAATTAATTTTTGTATGAGGTGTAAAGAAGGGATCCAGTTTCAGCTTTCTACATATGGCTAGCCAGTTTTCCCAGCACCATTTATTAAATAGGGAATCCTTTCCCCATTTCTTGTTTTTGTCAGGTTTGTCAAAGATGAGATGGTTGTAGGTGTGTAGTGTTATTTCTGAGGCCTCTCTTCTGTCCCATTGGTCTATATCTCTGTTTTGGTACCAGTACCATGCTGTTTTGGTTACTGTAGCCTTGTAGTATAGTTTGATGTCAGGTAGCGTGATGCCTCCAGCTTTCTTCTTTTTCTTAGGATTGACTTGGCAATGCGGGCTCTTTTTTGGTTCCATATGAACTTTAAAGTAGTTTTTTTCCAATTCTGTGAAGAAAGTCATTGGTAGCTTGATGGGGATGGCATTGAATCTATAAATTATCTTGAGCAGTATGGCCATTTTCATGATATTGGTTCTTCCTATCCATGAGCATGGAATGTTCTTCCATTTGTTTGTGTCCTCTCTTATTTCCTTGAGCAGTGGTTTGTAGTTCTCCTTGAAGAGGTCCTTCACATCCCTTGTACGTTGGATTCTTAGGTATTTTATTCTCTTTGAAGCAATTGTGAATGGGAGTTCACTCATGATTTGGATCTCTGTTTATTATTAGTATATAGGAATGCTTGTGAATTTTGCACATTGATTTTGTATCCTGAGACTTTGCTGAAGTTGCTTATTAGCTTAAGGAGATTTTGGGCTGAGACGATGGGGTTTTCTAAATATACAATCATGTCATGTGCAAACAGGGACAATTTGACTTCCTCTTTTCCTAATTGAATACCCTTTATTTCTTCCTCTTGTCTGATTGCCCTGTCCAGAACTTCCAACACTATGTTGAATAGGAATAGTGAGAGAGGGCATCCCTGTCTTGTGCCAGTTTTCAAAGGCAATGCTTCCAATTTTTGCCCATTCAGTATGATGTTGGCTGTGGGTTTGTCTTAAATAGCTCTTATTATTTTGAGATATGTTCCATCAATACCTAATTTATTGAGAGTTTTTAGCATGAAGGGCTTTTGAATTTTGTTGAAGGCCTTTTCTGCATCTATTGAGTTAATCATGTGGTTTTTGTCGATGGTTCTGTTTATGTGATGGATTACTTTTATTGATTTGCATATGTTGAAGCAGCCTTGCATCCCAGGGATGAAGCCGACTCGATCATGGTTGATAAGCTTTTTGATGTGCTACTGGATTCGGTTTGCCAGTATTTTACTGAGGATTTTCCCATTGATGTTCATCAGGGATATTGGTCTAACATTCTCTTTTTTTGTTGTGTCTCTGCCAGGCTTTGGTATCAGGCTGATGCTGGCCTCATAAACTGAATTAGAGAGGATTCCGTCTTTCTATTGATTGGAATAGTTTCAGAAGGAATGGTACCAGCTCCTCTCTGTACCTCTGGTAGAATTCGGCTGTGAATCCCTCTGGTCCTGGACTTTTTTTTGGTTGGTAGGCTATTAATTATTGCCTCAATTTCAGAACCTGTTATTGGTCTATTCAGAGATTCAGTTTCTTCCTGGTTTAGTCTTGAGAGGGTGTGTGTGTCCAGGAATTTATCCATTTCTTCTAGATTTTCTAGTTTATTTGCATAGAGGTGTTTATAGTATTCTCTGATGGTATTTTGTATTTCTGTGGGATTGGTGGTGATATCCCCTTTATCATTTTTTATTGTGTCTATTTGATTCTTCTCTCTTTTCTTCTTTGTTAGTGTAGCTAGCAGTCTATCAATTTTTTTGATCTTTTCAAAAAACCAGCTCCTGGATTCATTGATCTTTTGAAGGGTTTTTTGTGTCTCTGTCTCCTTCAATTCTGCTCTGATCTTAGTTATTTCTTACCTTCTGCTAGCTTTTGCATTTGTTTGCTCTTGTTTCTCTAGTTCTTTTAATTGTGATATTAGGGTGTCAATTTTAGATCTTTCCTGCTTTCTCTTGTGGGCATTTAGTGCTATAAATTTCCCTCTACACACTGCTTTCAATGTCCGAGAGATTCTGGTATGTTGTGTCTTTGTTCTCATTGGTTTCAAAGAACACCTTCATTTCTGCCGTCATTTCGTTATGTACCCAGTATTCATTCAGGAGCAGGTTGTTCAGTTTCCAT
This sequence comes from Homo sapiens, assembly GCF_000001405.40. Lineage (NCBI taxonomy): Eukaryota > Metazoa > Chordata > Mammalia > Primates > Hominidae > Homo > Homo sapiens. The sequence continues at coordinate 72,588,296 of NC_000023.11, read as the reverse complement.
GTAGTTGTGCAGTATTGAGTTAGTTTATTAATCCTGAGTTCTAATTTGATTGCACTGTGGTCTGAGAGACAGTTTGTTGTGATTTCTGTTTTACATTTGCTGAGAAGTGCTTTACTTCCAACTATATGGTCAATTTTAGAATAAGTGCCATGTGGTGCTGACAAGAATGTATATTCCGTTGGTTTGGGGTGGAGAGTTCTGTAGATGTCTATTAGGTGTGCTTGGTGCAGAGCTGAGTTCAAGTCCTGGATATCCTTGTTAACCTTCTGTCTCATTGATCTGTCTAATATTGACATGGGGTGTTAAAGTCTGCCATTATTATTGTGTGGGAGTCTGAGTCTCTTTCTAGGTCTCTAAGGACTTGCTTTATGAATCTGAGTGCTCCTGTATTGGGTGCATATATATTAGGATAGTTAGCTCTTCTTGTTGAATTGATCCCTTTACCATTATGGAATGGCCTTCTTTGTCTTTTTTGATCTTTGTTGCTTTAAAGTCTGTTTTATCAGAGACTAGGATTGCAAAACCCTGCTTTTTTTTGCTTTCCATTTGCTTGGGAGATCTTCTTCTATCCCTTTATTTTGAGCCTATGTGTGTCTCTGCACAAGAGATGGGTCTCCTGAATACAGCACACTGATGGGTCTTGACTCTTTATCCATTTTGCCAGTCTGTGTCTTTTAATTGCAGCATTTAGCCCATTCACATTAAGGTTAATATTGTTATGTGTAAATTTGATCCTGTCATTACGATGTTAGCTAGTGATTTTGCTCGTTAGTTGATGCAGTTTCTTCTTAGCATTGATAGTCTTTACAATTTGGCATGTTTTTGCAGTGGCTGGTACCGGTTGTTCCTTTCCATGTTTATTGCTTCCTTCAGGAGCTCTTGTAAGGCAGGCCTGGTGGTGACAGAATCTCTCAGCATTTGCTTGTCTCTAAAGGATTTTATTTCTCCTTCACTTATGAAGCTTAGTTTGGCTGGATATGAAATTCTGCGTTGAAATTTCTTTTCTTTAAGAATGTTGAATATCGGCCCCCACTCTCTTCTGGCTTGTAGAGTTTCTGCCGAGAGATCAGCTCTTAGTTTGATGGGCTTCCCTTTGTGGGTAACCCATCCTTTCTCTCTGGCTGCCCTTAATATTTTTTTCCTTCATTTCAACCTGGGTGAATCTGACAATTATGTGTCTTGGTGTTGCTCTTTTTGAGAAGTATCTTTGTGTTGTTCTCTTTATTTCCTGAATTTGAATGTTGGCCTGCCTTGCTAGTTTGGGGAAGTTCTCCTGGATAGTATCCTGCAGAGTGTTTTCCACCTTGGTTCCATTCTCCCCGTCACTTTCAGGTACACCAATCAGACGTACGTTTGGTCTTTTCACATAGTCCCATATTTCTTGGAGGCTTTGTTCGTTTCTTTTTACCCTTTTTTGTCTACACTTCTCTTCTCGCTTTATTTCATTAATTCAGTCTTCAGTCACTGATATCCTTTCTTCCGCTTGATTGAGTTGGTTACTGAAGCTTGTGCGTGCGTCACGTAGTTCTTGTGCCGTGGTTTGCAGCTCCATCAGGTCACTTAAGGTCTTCTCTCCACTGTTTATTCTAGTTAGCCATTCATCTAATCTTTTTTCAAGGTTTTTACCTTCCTTGTGATGGGTTCAAACATCCTCCTTTAGCTCAGAGAAGTTTGTTGTTACCAACCTTCTGAAGCCTACTTCTGTCAGCTTGTCAAAGTCATTCTCCATCCAGCTTTGTTCCGTTGTTGGTGAGGAGCTGTGATCCTTTGGAGGAGAAGAGGCGCTCTGGGTTTTAGAATTTTCAGCTTTTCTGCTCTGGTTTCTCCCCATCTTTATGGTTTTATCTACCTTTGGTCTTTGATGTTGGTGACCTACAGATGGGGTTTTGGTGTGGATGTCCTTTCTGTTGATGTTGATGCTATTCCTTTCTGTTTGTTAGTTTTCCTTCTTGCAGTCAGGTCTCTCAGCTGCAGGTCTGTTGGAGTTTGCTGGAGGTCCCCTCCAGACCCTCTTTGCCTGGTTATCACCAGCAGAGGCTGCAGAACAGCAAATACTTCTGCCTGATCCTTCCTCTGGAAGCTTCGTCTCAGGGGGCCCCTGCCTGTATGTGGTGTCATTCAGCCCCTAGTAGGAGGTGTCTCCCAGTTAAGCTACACGAGGGTCAGGGACCCACTAGAGGAGGCAGTCTGTCCTTTCTCAGAGCTCAAACACTGTGCTGGGAGAACCACTGCTCTCTTGAGAGCTGTCAGACAGGGACGTTCAAGTCTGCATAAGTTTCTGCTGCCTTTTGTTCAGCTATGCCCTCCCGCTAGAGGTGGAATGTACAGAGGCAACAGGCCTTGCTGAGCTGAGGTGGGCTCTACCCAGTTCAAGCTTCCCAGGCAGCTTTGTTTACCTACTCACGCCTCAGCAATGGCGGACACCCCTCCACCAGCCAGGCTGCTGCCTTGCAGTTCGATCTCAGACTGCTGTGCTAGCAGTGGGCAAGGCTCTGTGGGCATGGGACCTGGTGAGCCAGGCATGGGATATAATCTCCTGGTGTGCTATTTGCTAAGACCACTGGAAAAGTGCAGTATTTGGGCGGGAGTGTCTCTATTTTCCAAGTACAGTCTGTCACGGCTTCCCTTGGCTAGGAAAGGGAAATCCCCCAACCCCTTGCGCTTCCCGGGTGAGGTGATGCCCCACCCTGTTTTGGCTTGCCCTCCGTGGGCTGCACCCACTGTCCAACCAGTCCTAATGAGATGAACCAGGTACCTCAGTTGGAAATGCAAAAATCACCTGTCTTCTGCATTGATCACACTGGGAGCTGCAGACTGGAGCTGTTCCTATTTGGCCATCTTGAAATGGAGACCCAAGGTTTTTTATAAACATCTTTTTTATTAATCAATCATAACATGGCAAAATTGCACACTTGCCATTTCTGAAAAGTGATCCAAACTCTACATCCACAGATGAAAAATTCTTATAGAATTTTGTGAAAAGCATACATTTTGAGTTAAAAAAATTTTATAGCTGTTGGAGTGCCATGAAATTAATACTTGCATTTTGGACTGCTGTAGTTTATACTTTTTATATGTTTCAAATCAGGTGTGCACCATTTGTACTTAGAACACCACAAAATGAAGTATCTAAAATCCCTTGATTTTAATATGTGTTTTGGTTTATTAACAAATGATAGTAATTTCTTACACATTTTTGGAAATTACTTGTATAAGAATATATGCATCTGCTTATGGATACAGTGTGTAAATAAAACTTGTGCTCACCAAACTATCGCAAGGACAGAAAACCAAACACCGCGTGTTCTCACTCATAGGTGGGAATTGAACAATGGGAACACTTGGACACAGGATGGGGAACATCACACACTGGGGCCTGTCATGGGGTGGGGGGAGGGGGGAGGGAGAGCATTAGGAGATATACCTAATGTAAATGACGAGTTAACGGGTACAGCACACCCACATGGCACATGTATACATATGTAACAAACCTGCACGTTGTGCACATGTACCCTAGAACTTAAAGTATAATAATAAAAAAAAAACAAGTGTTAAAAAAAAAAGGAAAACTTTTGCTCACTAAAATATAAGTAAATAAATAAATGCATGTCTTGAGTTTTTTCCTATGGCCTAAAATTTTTTCTAAGGCCTGTTTGTGATGGCCGTGCGACCTAGTATGATATCTTTCCAGATAGTCTCTGAATATTTGGGACTAGTCTATCCCAAAAGATAGAGCTTTCCTACTCATTCCATTTCCCTAAGTAGAGGATGAACCTTAGGTCTCCTATAGTCCAATCCTGCATCTTGGCACTTAGGCATCACAACTCCATGGCAAGGGCACTTGGACTGCAGAGCCCCTTGCTAGTCTGTGATTACTCAGCATATACCACATGAGGCACACTTAGAAATACAGCGTCTCCTCATAGCCTCCCCGTTGTTTGTCTATCCTTGGTGATATGGTTTTTGGTGATATGGTTTTTTTTCTGTTTTGCAGTGTCACGGACTTTCTGTTGAAGGGTTTGTCCTTCCTTCCTCTACCACTAGAGAGGTAAGAGTCTCTTTCTTGCACATTTATGTGACTGATAACTTTGCTGGCTAAAGTATCCCAGTGATCACTTACTTTTCAAAGTGACAGATCCATGCTTTTATAAATCAACTGAACATGAAATGCATTTGAAGAAAAGACAATTTTTTTAATGGAAAGAGAATATTATAGAATAAGTATGGATTACTTTATATGAAGACAAATTCTTTTAATGGTTGATTAAGTTAGGCCGGCTTATGTGAGCGTTGTGAGGGTTAGACAAGGCAGAGGGATCAAAATCTATGAATGCATGACTTCTCATGTCTCCCGTCCTTCACATTCCTACCTTTCTCTAGTAGGATGTTTGTAGACCATTAGAACATAAACCAGTGGTTGTTAGCTACAACTATATGTTGGGGTAACCCGGGTTCCAATTTCCAATTTAGTGGATTAGAATCTCCAGGGATGGGACGTGAGCATCTGTATTTTTTTTAATCTATAGAATGATTCTAATATATAACCGTGGTTGGAAAATATTACCATGAACCACAGACATAGATTATCAGATGCTTTTATATTTTCCTTTTTGTCCAAACTACACAGAAATTATAAAAACTAGCTTTTACACAGAGTCAACAAAGGAGCTAGTGTTAGCATGATTGAAGTAGTAAGATTCAATAGTAGAAAGTTCTCAAAAATGCTGGGGTTGTTTCAGATAGCATCTTGGGGGACAGGTACAGAAAGCTAATGTTATGCTTCAGGGCTTCACTATTGCCTACAGGCCTTTTCTCTAATCAAGAATGCCATGTCCCCCATTTGTCTTTTCTCTACCTTTACGCAAGAGTGAAATGTTCATATAATTAATAATACATACCTGAATAGTACCTTTAAGAGTCTTCAAACATTATTTTTACATTTTTAAATTTGGCCTTAAACACCATTATGTAAAATAGGTAAAGAAGGAATTATCATTCCTAATTTATGGATAAGGAAACAAATTTAGAGATTAATTGTCTAAGGTTGTATAACTAGTAAGTAACAAAGATAAGACTTGAACCCAAGTCTTTATACTCCAAATCTACATTGCCTCCCTAGAGGATATACTCAATACAAGTTTACCAAAGTATACTTCTCAATCCCCTTCACCCCAAAATAACTTTACATTTCTTAATGCCCTTTTTAATCTAATAGTATATGGATGTTTTACATAATTCTAATTTTTATGTATTATACATACAATTTTAAGTTTTACCTCAGTTTTTCCTTTATTTACAGTGATCAGATTTTAATAAACAGTCATGTAAAAACTCATGAAGTTGCTATGCCATGATATGCCGTTCCCATGTTTAGGTTACCTCTAGTTTTACACTTGTGACTAAAGCTACTATAAGTACTCTTCTATATGGAGCTTTCTTCCTCTTTTGAATTACTATCTTAGGATGAACTCTCAGAAATAGGATTATGGGTTAGAGGGCATGGACACTCTTATAGCTCTTGTTATGCGTTGCCAGATTGCCCTCCAAAAAGATTGAAGCAGTTTACTCACTCAGTTATTTTGAAGGGGGCTGAATCAATGCTCATGGCTACAGTGTTTTTACTGCCTTTCAGAGCAGGTGATTGATGTTTCTTGGATGATGGACTCTTAGGAAGTGATTTTCTTTTTCTCTATCACAGATGACTCCAGGTGAGATTAAATTCTCTGTTCATGTGGAGTCTGTCCTGAATCGTGTACCTCAGCCAGAGTACCGTCAGCTGCTGGTTGAAGCCATCCTTGTCCTCACCATGCTGGCAGATATTGAAATTCATAGCATCGGAAGCATCATTGCTGTGGAAAAAATAGTGCATATTGCCAATGACTTGTTCCTTCAAGAACAGGTAGGCAAACCTGTTGTTTTCTCAATAGAGAAATGTTTTTACTCCAACCTGATGACATTCAGAGGTCTTTGAGGAGCCACGGTCACTTTCTTGTGCCCTCTTCCTCATACTTCTTTTTTGGGCCCCCTTTGTAGCGGCTCTGAGCTCTGTTTGCAAAAGAAGTAGGCCGCAGGAAGACCTCTGTCTTTCACCATGTGTTTTTGGTTTGTGTTAGAGGGTAAAGTTGCCTGGAACTCAGGAGGCTTTATGCTTTTCCCTGAAAGGCCCTGAAGCATACCATTAGCATCATATTTCAAATTTCTGATCACAGTGCTTTTTGTAGCTTTAAGGACTTAATAAGAAACTATTGGATGGCATATCCTTTCTGAACTATTGAGGAAAAGAGATTTGGTTTTAGTTTTACTTTGCTTTTGCTATTCACCTATAGGAAAATAAGAAAGTGAAACTTTTACTCCTACATTTTTCTTATTTTCTTAATAAATCTTCTTCCAGGAAATTATCCACATTCAAAAATACAAACTATTGAAAGTGTCCCAAATGTTGCCCGTATTAACAGTAGGAGCACATAAGTGAAGGACAGGCACTGTTGGCAGTAAAAAAATTTTCAAAACATATAATAGCTGTTTTCATTCTGTTAGCCACTGGGAGGAGATGCAAAAGAAAAATATCCAGGGCTTTCTAAGAAGATTCTAATTTTAAAAATTATGGATTGCTGTCAGTCCATGTATCTAAAAATGTGTTCCCTTTTAGGCATAGACCTCTAGCCTCAGAAAACTTAGTCTATTTGAATTAAGTCGCCTTAGAAAGAAATCATGATCAAATGCAGGATAAAAGAATACAAGCTGAAATTAGTAGTACTAGAAGGAGTCAGACCAAAGCTCTACTACGGTGATTTGTGTTAACATTTGTCTATTAATAGGTATGACTCAATAGATGAATGATTATATTTAACTTTTAGAAATTGATCATAATGGGGAAAATTCTAAACAATTAATAATTTTTAAATAATTTACATGATTTGGGGACCTAGTGAAAAATGCCTGCATACAAACTCATATTCACCCTTTTGTCCATAAACCTATTTCTTCCTGGATAAACAGTCTAGGGCCCAACTAATTGGTGTTGGGGAGGAGGTTCTGAATTATGCTAATCAGGACTTTACTTAGTAAGATTGGTAATTTTTCCTTTCCCCTATGTTCTTCTACCCTTAAAAACCAAACAGAAAACCCTTGGCGCAGATGATACCATGTTGGCAAAGGATCCCGCATCTGGCATCTGTACTCTTCTGTATGACAGTGCACCCAGTGGCAGGTTTGGCACCATGACCTACCTCTCCAAGGCAGCCGCCACCTACGTGCAGGAGTTCCTGCCCCACAGCATCTGTGCCATGCAATGAGGGCTTTGGTTCCTGGCTTCTGGGAGCCTTTTGACAGCTGGTCCCTGCCTCGGTTGATTGTGCATGGAACTAAAATGTTATTGCCTAATCACTCCAACCCTGCCCCTTTCTGTCCCATCCTTCCCAAGAAGAGAGAACTTTTTCGATAAACTAACTACTGTAGAAGAAGTGAACACTTACCTGGAGGCTCACCTTGCAGAACCAGTGACAATCTTATGAGTATAATGAACACTCAGCCAGGCCTGTCATGATTGGCTTTATTTCTTTCATCATTCATAAAAGTTTGCATGTGTTTTTATTCTCTAGATCTGTTACCAATATAGTTTTCTAACTCCTGTTTGGGGAGCAAGTGTTAATAATAACTTATTCCTAAAGCTTGGTTTTTCTTTTTTGTGATTTTATTGTGTATATGAGTGGTGGGTACTTTGGGACATTATTTCAAATGAGTAAACTCTAAATTGTTAAATATTTATGCTGCTATAAATTAGAATTACCTATTCTACGTGCCTTTTCTTAGGAAAAGAGAGTACTGGATCATGGTTTTCTTCCTTACTTACAGGTTGCTTCACACTGAGTGATAATTTAAAATTGTTTCTATGTAGAATCATTGTCTCTACTGTTGCCCTCTCTGTGTCTGCACACATAATGCCTCTCTCACTTTGGTGAAATATCAAAAAAATGCAAGTACAGCATGCATATTTAAGAATTTCTGAACTAACACTTGAAATCACATTTTATAAAGATTGTTGGTACTCAGAGTTGTATTTGCAGCAGAAAATGCAGAATAACCCAGAAATGGAGCCCGGAGCCCAATTCCAGAGAGGAAGGGAAAGAAGAGACGATGCCTGGACAATGTCTTATACATAGGGAACAGAGAGGGAATCAGAGGTGGCTTAGTTCCCTGAAGACAGCCTTATGCGCTTAATCCCTGCCTTTGAAAAATGGGCCAATACACAACACAGACAATAATTTGAAGCGTCTGTATTCAGCAAAGATAAATACAGCAGTCCAGTCTATAGGTGCTCTACTTAGCATTCTTTTCATGTGCTCCTGGTCTCTGTCTCACTCACCTACTTTCTACTACATCCAACTCAACTCCCTGACACCCTATCCCCCCATCTATTCTTAAACTCTTTCATATATATTTTCACTTCCTAATTCTAGTGTACATATCCCTGTATATCATGGTATCTGTGGGCATATGTCTGTTTCTTATAAAGACACATATTTGTGTGTGTATGTGTGTGTGTGTGTGTGTGTGTGTATAAGCATACATGGGAATTTTTCTGAATGTAAGCAGTTTTGATGTGTCTGTATATCAATCTGTATCTACATTTGATGGACTGAGTAAGAATGTTGCATGTGAGAGAAGGGATGTGACTGTGGACTCAGATTGACACACACAGATTGGTGGAAGAATAGCTTCAGTCCTCTTCCTTCATCCCATATGTAGGTAGCCTTGCTTGACAAATGTTTCTTCTAACTCTCCTTCTTCTGAATTGTGCAGAGACTCTGTTAACTTCCCTTTTTGCACTTAGATAACTTCCTACTTCAACCCCCTCCTTTATCTTGGATTTCTAAAGTTTTTCCCCAATATTGGGAATGGTGAGGGTGGGGATGAGAGACTCTCTGAACAATTCTTGCAGAACCAGTGACAATCTTATGAATATAATGAATAAGTAAGCATATAGTAGGGTGATAGAATACAGATAGTAGAAACAAAGAGAGGACAGCAAACCTTTTCAGCACTTCTCTCAGAGCAAATGGAAACACACAGTAAGTAGCTTTCTGACTACATTATTTTCTGGTCACTTTTAAAGAAAGTTTACAACCTGTTCTGAAACTATTTGTCTTTTCACTGGTTGTAAGTGTACCCCAATCTCAGGGAGTATATCTGTAGTGCCACAGGCAAAAGATCCACTCCTTCCCACACTCATTTGCCTGAACTTACTCGAAGGGCTGCATTTCTCTGAGTTTACGAAATTGTGTCATTATGGTCCCCATACAGTGGTATTTAACTTTTAAAGCAACTTTTAAGAAAACTCGACTTGTTTTTTGTTCATTTTAAGTGTGTGGTACTAAAAAGACATGTTAGACTTTTTTTAAAAAAGCACTTATGTTTTGAAAATAGAATAAATAATAAGAATTTCCAATTAAATCATGTCTGGTGCCAATGTGCAAAACTTCACATGTGTTTTTGTGATTGGAGTTTATTTCATGGCTTTATTCTACATACTCTGCTTAATTATACAGTACAGTCAAAGCTCATTCATTGGGTTGAAGTAGAATAATATTAATATATTAATACATATATAATATATTATACATTTCATAATATGTTAGATAATATATGTAAAGAAATGCAGTTTAATCATTCAAATACATACCCACTCAAACAAGGCTTACTAAATTCAAGCGGGCTTATTGACATCTGTAGGGAACATTTTCTTTTCTTTTCTTTTCTTTTCTTTTCTTTTCTTTTCTTTTCTTTTCTTTTCTTTTCTTTTCTTTTTTTTTTTTTTTAAGACGGAGTCTTGCTCTATCGCCCAGGCTGGAGTGCAGTGGGGTGATCTCGGCTCACTGCAACCGCTGCCTCCCGGATTCAAGCGATTCTCCTGTCTCAGCCTCCCGAGTAGCTGGGATTACAGGCATGCGCCACCACACCCAGCTAATTTTTTTTGTATTTCTAGTAGAGACGGGGTTTCACCATGTTGGCCAGTCTGGTCTCAAACTCCTGATCTCAGGTGATCCGCCTGCCTCAGCCTCCCAAAGTGCTGGGATTACACTCGTGAGCCACCGCGCCTGGCCTGTAGGGAACATTTTCTGATGAATGAGTAAAACATTTTTACTCAGCCTTTCAATTGTGTACAAATGGTGCTTCTTCCCTAATGAAGGGTATTTTAAAACAACTTGTTTTTCTAAATATTAAAAATATTTGGCAGAATCTTGTTTGTTTATACTATTCATTAGCCTTTTCTATAACAGGATTTATCCAGCAAGGATGAACATTGTCTCTACAGTTCCATCCTGGTTAATGAAATTTTACTACATTCTGGGAATCTTACACAACTGGTGGGGCAAAAGTTGTTCTTCACCACAGCTGGCAAAACCTCTGCCATTCCTTTTTCTACTTACCAAGTACCTAGTGTCTGCACTAATGCAGTGGAGATTATTTTCCACATGTAGTCTTCATTTCCTTTTTATTTATTTAATTTTAAAAAAATACAGCCATCAATTTTTATTCTTATATTTGGTAGACATTCATTTCCTTTTTAACTTGAGTAACCTCAGGTGTTGGTTTGTCCAGGGCAGCCCCCATTTATGCCTGTTTTACTGGCATAATTATCAATAGCACTGTGTCACTCTCAAAAAATGTCTCAGTTTGAAAGATATGGTCACCCTATATTTAGCAGATGTGTGATTTCTTTTAAGGCTAAGCCAAAAAACCAAGAACTTATTCTCAAACCACTAGTAGTACTTGTGCAGTAGTGGTATGGGGGTAAGGATGACAGTAGGGGGAAACTCCCTTCCCCACCAAATATAGAAATATTTGGCATAATGGCTCTTAAATAACCAATATTTGAGCACATACCAAATGCCATTGTTATATAGGCACTTAGCGTGAGCCATTTTATCTTCACAATTGCCATGTAAGATAGATACTGCCATCTTACAAGTAAGCTACCTGAGGCACTGAGGGTTTAAGTAAATTGCCCCAAATCAATCATCTAATAAGTGATAGAGCTGGAAGTTGAACCCATGCAGTCTGACGCTAGCGATCACATTCTCAACAATGACACTCTCCAAGGAAAATGACATTAAGGGGGTGGTGTGACAAGGGTCAGTTGAAGACAGTTGAAGTGTCACTGGACAGATAGTGAAATGAGCAGAGAAGACTCTGCTCATTCACTGAAGGGTGGTGCCCTTGTAATGTGTTTGCCTCCCCTTCTGGGGAAAAGCAGGGGAAAGCACCAAAAAAATATGGCACAGCCCAACCTGAACTTACCGGTTCGAATGTTACTTTTAGCAATAATGATTGAGGAAAGTGAGTCAAGTAACTTGCCCTGGGTCACCACCCTAGCAAGCTTTGAAGCCAAGATTCAACCTACTTCCTGTGACCTCAAGTCCTCCAACTGCAAATAAAGTGCATTGAGAAGGGTTTTCTTCCCAGTTTAAGAACCATATGGGTGTTACGAATGTGGAAAATTGAGGTGAGGGACCTGTGGCATGATGTGTGCTCTTTCTTAACCATGAGCAAGCGTCTAGCCGCCCTTTGAGATTAGCTGCAGGAATAGGTTGCCAATTCCAGAGCATTGTGCAACAATTTATCTTTCTCCATAGCTGAATCATCTTGCCACATTGCATGGGGTACTTGGATAGTGTTTCCAGTTTAGAGCCATTCAGCTATTTGTTACTAGATCAGAAAGGACACATGAAACAATACCTTTTCATGTCATCCAAGAAGAGTCCAGAATTTAGGGTATCAGTTGGCCAGTCTATCTCCTGCCCTCTTTCCGCTGCCTATCCCTGAAGGCCCAGAACAAGTCTCATTTCTCCTTATGTTGCCCGTCATCATGATCTCACCTTTCAGTCAACTCCTGTAGCTTCTCCTGTCTATAAACATGTGCAGTTTTCTCTTATCTTAAAAAAATTTCTGGGCTCCGACGTCCCCTCAAGCTGTTAGACTAACTCCTTCCTTTCACAATCACATTTTTTCAAAGAGGAAGCTACACTTAACTGTGTTGGCTTCACTTCTTAAACCCCCACAATCTGGCTTCCTCCCCACCTCCTGTTTTGTTTTGTTCCATAGGGCACCAGTGAATTTCTAATGACAAAAAGGGGTCTTTGACCATTCCTTGTCTTCTTTCTGACATCTTTTTCTCCTCTAAACTCTTACACACAGGCATTTCCAAAAATGACACTCTTCTTCCTAGCTCAGAGGTCTTCACCAGAGTCTGGGGCAGGTTTTGTGACATGATCTGATTTACTTTTTTTTGGAGGTTCACTCTGGTGGCTGCAAAGATAATGGGTTGTAAGGCAGCAAGAATGGAAGCAACGCCCAGGTTGATACTGCAGAAAGTCTAAGTGAGAGATAATAGTATCCAGACTAGAGTGGTGGCAGTACAGAGTGAGAGAAGTGAATGTATTTAAGGCATGTCTTGGACATAGAACCAATGGAAATTTCTGATGGACTGGATCTGCAGGTGAAGGAAAGGAAGAAACACAAATAACTCCCAGGTTTCTGACTTAGGCAACTGGATAGATGTTGATATCTTTACTGAGCTATGAAAGATAGAAAAGGAGTGGAAAGAACTTGGGTGGGGAAATTGGGAGCTTGGTTTTGAAAATGTTGTTGGATATGACTGTTAGGCATCCCAGTGGAGAAAGCCACATCCCTTGCCTAGCTCAGCCACTCTTATGACTTCAGTTTTCTCCTCTTTATATGGAAAAGTGTGTGTGTGTGTATCACTGCAATTGTTTAACCCACTAATTTCTGAAACACTTTTCAACACTTTTAAAATCAGAATCTATGTCTATTCTGCCCTACTGTATGAGTTCTTCCTCCCGATTGCCCTCTTTCTTATATTGCTACCTCTAGTCTTTTCTTTACCCAGAGTTTACATTTAAGAGTTTTCAGCAACCCTTTTCCATCTTCCTCCCTCTCACCAATATCCAAGTAATAAAAAAGTCCTGTTGAACCTACCCTGTACATTATTTCTCCTTTGTTCCCATTGCCCCCACCCTAGTTTAAAATCATTATCACTTCTTATTTGGACCATTGTGGCACTCTAACTGCCCCTAGCCTTTTAATGACTAATCTTTCCTACACACTGCTGCTATAGAAATCTTTTTTCCTTACTATTTCTGTCTAAATATGTTTTCCCATTTCCCACAGAATGTAGTCTATTCTCTTTAGCCTGGTATTCAATGTTCTTCATGATCTGGCCCTTTTAGCTAAACTCGACTAGAAATTTTCCCTTTTGTGTTACTGTTTATGCTGTTCATTCTAGTCAGCATGCCCTCTCCTGGCTCCCATCTTCACCAAGCAAAATCTTGCCCACCTCCTAAGACCCTCTCAAATGCCATCAAAGATGAATTCTAGTTACCATTTATTAAATGCCAGTTATTTAGTACTTAATGCTTATTTATTAAGTAGGCTAAGCATCCTACATTCATTGACTCTGCATTGCCTTTGGTTTCTTGTGTACTTGCCCCATCTTCTGTATAAGAATGCAAATTCTGGCTGGGCGCGGTGGCTCACACTTGTAATCCCAGCACTTTGGGAGGCCGAGGCGGGCGGATCACGAGGTCAGGAGATAGAGACCACGGTGAAACCCCGTCTCTACTAAAAATAAAAAAATTAGCTGGGCGTGGTGGCGGGCGCCTGTAGTCCCAGCTACTTGGACAGGCTGAGGCAGGAGAATGGCATGAACCCGGGAGGCGGAGCTTGCAGCGAGAGGAGATCGCGCCACGGCACTCCAGCCTGGGCGACAGAGCAAGACTCCTCTGTCTCAAAAAAAAAAAAAAAAAAAAAAAGAATGCAAATTCCTTGAGAGCAGAGATCACATCATAATTTACCTTTGAATCCTCAGCTGTACTGTACACTTAATATCAGATAAATGTTTGATGAATGAATGACTGCAGAGCTTTTAACTAGTTACTATGGGAAGACATAAATTAAAGAAACATAAGATCTTACATTCTAGTTACAGAGCACATCACCAAAACACCCCCAAGATTTTCAGAATAAGTATTGAAGGGATACAAAATGGAGGGTGAACAAAGTTATATCATAACACAAAGTCATCCTGGACGAATCAAGTTTATATAATAAAGGGAATGTTCAAAGGCTTCAGTGTCAGGCTGACCTAATTTTGAATTCCTACTTATCTGCTTGTTAAGTATGTGATTTTGAATGTTGTTTCTCTAAACTGCATCTGTAAAATGGGTGTATTGCAACCTCCTTTATAGGACTGTTGCAAGGATGAAATGAGATAATATGGCCAATGTGCATGTCACAATCTTCAATAAATGTTTAAAGTCTAAAAAGCAAGCCAGACTTTAAATATAGTAAGGATATTAGGTTGTCCCAGTGGTGTTAGTCAGTCAGTTTAGGTTGCCATGAGAATTAAGATCCTGAGCACTGGCCAGCTTGTATCAGATCATAGGGGCCTCCAGGAACCTCCAAATGCTGATGGTAATTCTAAAACCGCCTCAGATAGTCTTAAACTGGACCCTCACACCAAACCTAAAATATTTCCCTAATCTATGTTTAGCTGCAGAAACAAGAGGAGGTAGGAGGAGAAGAGCTGCAGTTTCCAAACACCACTGCTTGCAACCTTCCTACCACATGAATGTTCAAGGAGTTACATTTGACATCATTGCTTGATCGGAATCTACCAAGCAATTTCCACTGCACCAGCCAGTCTCTTGGGAAAGTACTATCAGATTTGCCAGAGTAAATTATTGAGATTGTTAACTCTCATGTGGACATGGATAGTTAATGATGAAAAGAAATGAACTATAAAATTGCATCACAGAATTTACTGTGTAAACTTTTCAAACCATTTGTGCCATTAAATAGCGCCCCCACCAAAAAAAAAAAAAAAAAAAAAAAGCCTATCCTTAGGATAGGCAGCTGATGTAGCTGGATGGTGGGGGCTCTAGGTGGCCACGTTCTATCTGTGTTTATATGGTTAAATGGATGAAATGGATGTGTTTGCAGATTGAAACAATTCATAAAGAGTTGAGGCTACTTTTTTTTTTTTTTTTTTTTGGTCTTAGCGCTGAAACTAAAAATCGCGGTTATTTTAGTGTTTAGCCCCGGCTCTTCCGTTGCTCAAACCTCCGGAAACTACATCTCCCAGCATGCTGTGAAACTGGTCTGACTTCATCTCAAATGGCCCCGTAGGGCAACAAGGATGGTTAGTTTTGACCCTACTTATTTGTGCCATAAAAACAATCGATCCTAATTGACAGCTATTTGGACTTTTACATCTGCCAAACCCTTTTCCTTGAACTGTGGTCACTAAATGAGGGGAGTCTGGTCTGGGAAGTCCCATCCATTCCTTCAATAGGATGGGGAGCGGTGATAGTGTCTCCGGCGATCTCAAGAATAGGAGGGAATGTTGACCAGGGAGCACCGCTGCGGCCGATCAGAGGAGCAGGAACTGGAACCCTGGCCGAGTCCGAAAAAAGCCAGATCTGGAAGGTGGCTGCGGAACGGTTTTAAGCGGAAGATGGAGGAGCCGGAGGAACCGGCGGACAGTGGGCAGTCGCTGGTCCCGGTTTATATCTATAGTCCCGAGTATGTCAGTATGTGTGACTCCCTGGCCAAGATCCCCAAACGGGTAAGGGAAGTCGGGATGAAAGACCATGGGCTTTGGGGGTGGGGGTGGGGGCGGTGGACGAAAGAGCGTTAGGAAGCGGAGAGGACACTGGGCTGGGGGAAATCTTCAGAAATTTCGAGTAGCTGTATCAGATACCTAAAGCTGTATCAGAAGGAAGTGTTCTCATATCGTTTCTGAGAGCGCAGCATGTCTCTTCGGGACGTCCAATGGACAGGTAGGAGTGGGGGAGGGGGTACGGAGGAGGGGAGAGGACGCAGTTTCCACTCATAGGGGACCGCTGAAGTCGTGGGAAAACAAGCTGCAGGGGGAAGGTGTTCCATCACCTGCCTAAGGCCCGGTAGCTTTCACCTTAGTGATTTTGATACTTTGTATCTGTATTGTCTAAAGTGTATTGTAACTGTTAACAGAAGGGAAGCCAGTTGAAACAAAATTAATCCGTTCCTTTGTTCAGGATGGTGAGATTGACGGGGATTTTGCTGAATTAAACTTTAAAGAGACTATTTCTGCTTTTCTTTTTTTTTTTTTACGCTGATGTTTTTAGGCCAGTATGGTGCATTCTTTGATTGAAGCATATGCACTGCATAAGCAGATGAGGTAAGTTGTCTTTCTTGAACATAGCCCTGAAGCTAGGTGTTCGTAGCCTTAATATCCTGCTTCACAGTGGGGCAAGGAAAAGAATGGTCTTTTGAAAAAATTATTTTAGCTTTCTGTGAAAGTATTCACAGTGTTTGTAATCTGCCTGTAATCCCAAGAAAGCTCTTGAAGAATTAAGAAAACTTGGGGGGCCGAGAGCATGGCTCACGCCTGTAATCCCAGCACTTTGGGAGGCCTAGGTGGGTGGATCGCCTGAGGTCAGTAATTTGAGACCAGCCTGCCCAACATGGCAAAACCCCGTCTCTACTAAAAATACAAAAAAATTAGCCGGACGTGGTAGCGGGCGCCTGTAATCCCAGCTACTCGGGAGGCTGAGGCAGGAGAATCGCTTGAACCCCGGAGGTGAAGGTTGCAGTGAGCCGAGATTGCACCATTGCACTGCAGCCTGGGCAACAAGAGTGAAACTCCGTCTCAAAAAAAAAAAAAAAAAAAAAAAAAAAAAAGAAAGAAAGAAAGAAAAAGAAAAGAAAACTTGGGACAGGGGAGTGGAAAGTGCAGGAAGCAGTTAAGGTTCATTAGAAATACAGCTCGATTGCTTGGTTAAGTATCCCAGGGGTAGGTGCAGTGCATTGTGGAGATTTTGAGTACATTTGGGTATTAAAACCTGTCTCATACAAAAAGGTGTTCAGCTAGGAGGTGTTCCATTTTTCTTTTGATTTCGTTTCATTCTAAGCCAGATTTGAGGGTGTGAGTTCAACCTAAGACTTTTAGACAACCCACCACCAGCACCAAACTTTAATGGGTGAGGCTGGAGACAGATCAAGACCAAAGAAGGCCGGGCGTGGTGGCTCACGCCTGTAATCCTAGTACTTTGGGAGGCTGAGGCAGGCGGATCATGAGCTCAGGAGATCAAGACCATCCTGGCTAACACGGTGAAACCCCGTCTCTACTAAAAATACAAAAAATTAGCCGGGCGTGGTGGCAGGCGCCTGTAGTCCCAGCTACTCGGGAGGCTGAGGCAGGAGAATGGTGTGAACCCGAGAGGCGGAGCTTGCAGTGAGCCGAGATTGCGCCACTGCACCCCAGCCTGGGTGACAGAGTGAGACTCCGTCTCAAAAAACAAACAAACAAAAAAGACCAAAGAAAACTGCCAAGACTGCGCCAGAACTCAAGAGAGAGCTAACTGTTTCTTCCAAAAACATGAACTTGCTGTTTATTGCCATTTCTGTATTTGATGTCGTTATAAGAGCAAATATAACCCTGCCACATATAGGATTACTTATGACAATTTCTGGCCAAATAGGTGAGTGCTCATACCAACTAGTGTGCTATGCTTCATTTATCTCCCAGAAGGTAGTGTAATAATAGGCTTTCAGATTTTATCCTTATTATTAACAAAATCATTTTGTACCTTTTAAAGGGAATTTTTAAGCCTTTTTTTTTTTTTTTTGATGGAGTCTTGCTTTGTCGCGCAGGCTGGAGTGCAGTGGCGCGATCTCGGCTCATTGCAACCTCCGCCTCCCAGGTTCAAGCGATTCTCCTGCCTCAGCCTCCCGAGTAGCTGGGACTACAGGCACGTGTCACCACACCCATTTTAAGCCATTTTTTAACCCATATGGTTTGGTTAACATAGTAACTATATGCCTTCCATTAAAGTTATTTAACATTTCAAAAAATTATTTTATGACAAACAAGATATCAAAGCAAAGCAAAACTGTCCAGTTTGCTTACTGTTAAATAGGGAGGTTTTCAGTAAGTGTTTTTTAACATTTACCAAAATAAATGGAAGGGTACTAGAAGAGGGAGCTTTTAGGACTGGGAAATACGGTCCGAGATATTACAAAATTTTTATTTTAATGGGTAGATTTTTCACCTCTGGTGGTATAGATTTGTCTTCTTTAAGAAGAAGCAAGAATTCTTGGGTCTTGGCTATGTATTTCACTTTTGAGGCCAAACCACAGGATTTCTTCCAGCTACCTTGGTGATAGTAGTAGCCTGTATAGTCGTATTCATTCATCGTAAACTCATGGCTGTGTTCCCATTCAGCAGACATTTAAAACCACTGCTGCCTCCCTGTGGCCCAGGTCAGGGCTCCTTCAACTTGAATGTGTATATGAATCACCTTAAAATGTGTCATCTTGTTTAAAAATCATCATGTTAAAATACAAATTCTGACTCAGGTCTGAGGCAAGTCTGAAGTTCTGCATTTCTAACAAGCACCCAGGGAATGCTGATGCTCCTGGTCTATGGACCACCCTTTAAGTGGCAAGGGCTAGAGAACAGTAGTGGCAGCTGTGGGGTCAAGAAGAGGAAATGGGGAATAGGCAGCTAGAGGTTAGATGTGGTAAGGCCTCTTATTGGGTTAGCTCCCTTTATTCCCTCACTCGCTTCTATTTGTCATTTTTCGTGAGGAGTAGGTTGAGAGGTTCTGAGTGAAGTCCGGTTCCAACCATTTTGCCCCTTCTCGCCTCGCTCTCAGAGGCAGATAGGAGGGTCCAAGTCTAGAAACATTACATTTTGGGTTGCCCATTTTTTATCTGTTAATAGAATGATAGTTATCCACCAAGCATTTTTGTATGTGTTATCCTTTTATCTTCACATAAGTCCCATAAAGTTCCCCATTTTACAAATAAGAAAACTGAACTACAGAACAGTTGACTTATCTGAGGTTATAGAGCTAGTAAGTACAGAATTAGGACAGGAACCCAATTCTCTGACTCCAAATCTGACTCCAAATTCAAAATGCATGATAACATAGCTGCCTATTAAAATAAAGATATAGCTGAAAGGATTAGATAGCCCAATTCGCAACTGGTTCAAATGAAAATATCCCTGCCTACTAGTTTGTCCTGAAAGTTGTAACTCACAGGGTAAAGTCTGTCTGATACCTGATTATTTGTTTAACTTGAATATAATTACTTTTGTTTACTTACCTATAAACTCAAGGGAAAATCTATCTTCTTGCCCCTTATTAATAGAGTCACTACTGTAGATGTGAGGCAGTGAAGACCGCACAGTGCAGTGGAAGAACAGAATATGTTTATTACTCCAGCCTATTGGAACCAGAAGTTGAGACGTATTTTCTTCTCAGACTGCTGGCTTCTGTTTCTAGCTTCTGGCATACGCTGGGTCTGACTCACTGACCTCTCTTTGTTCTCTCTGTTATTATTAGGATAGTTAAGCCTAAAGTGGCCTCCATGGAGGAGATGGCCACCTTCCACACTGATGCTTATCTGCAGCATCTCCAGAAGGTCAGCCAAGAGGGCGATGATGATCATCCGGACTCCATAGAATATGGGCTAGGTAAAGTCATTACCAGGCAGTGATGGGAGATGGACAGACTAATTTTTTTTATAACTTGTATGATTTTTTTAATATTTTTCGTTAAGAAATCATGTGTTAACTGTCAATCTTAATCTTTTGGTTTAGCCACATATAACTCACTAAACAAGCAAACCATATGAGTTGAGCAAAACCACATGAAGGGTTAGATGAAAGAAAACCTTTCAGTTGCTTATGCCCTACTGGCAGTGCTCAGATCTGGTCTGGCTGTGTATATGCTGATTTAGCTGTCCTGTGACCTTATATTTTAACTGGAGTACAGATTTATGTTCTGGCTAAGTTTTTGTACCTCACCCCTCATTAAACAGCTGCATTTTTTAAAACTGTAAGTGACCTGCAGGATAGTCTAGAAAAACAGCATGGTTTAGCAGAGGAACATTGAACTGGGGGGTCAACAGAGCTGGGTCCCAAGCCTGGCTCTGTGTGACCACTGACAAGACACATCACCTCTCAGGCTTGGTTTCTCTATCTGTAGCCTGTGACTAGTTCATCAGGAGGGTTTATCCTTTCTAGCTCTAACCTTTTAAAATATTATATCCCCAACATTGGAGTTGTTTCTGTCTCAGTTGGAGCTGATATTAGCACAGTGGCTTTTTAGTAGGTTAGGTTGTTGTCACACCTCAACCTATTCCTCCTCTTTTTCCAGTTCACCTTTTAACCAGCTCTTCTGATTTTTGCCCTAAGGTTATGACTGCCCAGCCACTGAAGGGATATTTGACTATGCAGCAGCTATAGGAGGGGCTACGATCACAGCTGCCCAATGCCTGATTGACGGAATGTGCAAAGTAGCAATTAACTGGTCTGGAGGGTGGCATCATGCAAAGAAGTAAGAAAATGACCTTTCTGTTTTCTGACTCTTTCCTTGAGTCAGTTTCTCAGTTATGTAAACTCTTATGCTTATTGTATTGACATTTACAGAGAGACGTGTGTGTATGTGGCACTTTACAAGGCATTCTGAAGAAATCCAAGTGAAATAGAAAAAAGATTACCTAATATAGTGGAAAGCACACTGCTCAAAGTCAGGACACCTGGGCTCTACACCTAGTTTTTCTAACTTGGCTAACTGACTTGGACTGATTACCCTCCCTAGGCCTCAGTTTCTTCATCAATAAAATGAACAAAGGATACAACTAGACAGTCTCTAAATTCCTTTTCGGCTTTCTAGAAATTCCCCTGTCTTCGAGGGACTTACAGTCTAGAAACATTAACAAAATTAGAATAGAGAACAACATTAGTTATGGTACCAATGGAATATATGTATGAGCTGAAGAGACTTATCAGTAGAAAGAAATTAATCATGGAAGTCTTGGCAGAAGTGAATTTTAGAGCTAGTTCTTAAAAGAAGTGGCAAACAGATTTTTAAAAAGGTGGAAAATTGACGCTAATAGGTTTAAAACAAAAGGCTGAAGAATCAAGAAGAGGGCTCATGCTCCTCTAATGAAAGTAGCAACCCAGAGGTAGATGTCTCTCAAAGACAAAGGGCTTGTGAAAAGGCTCTTCCTAGGTGCTTCTTGGAGTTAGAGGAGAAGTCCTTTGGAGTGTTTGTTTGTTTATTTGTTTGTTTGTTTTTGAGACAGAGTCTCGCCCTGTCGTTCAGGCTAGAGTGCAGTTGCGCGATCTCAGCTTACTGCAACCTCCTCCTTCCCAGTTCAAGTGATTCTCCTGCCTCAGCCTCCTGAGTAGCTGGAATTACAGGCACCCGCCATCATGCCCAGCTAATTTTTGTATTTTTGTAGAGACAGGGTTTCACCACGTTGGCCAGGCTGGTCTTAAACTCCTGACCTCAGGTGATCTGCCTGCCTTGGCCTCCCAAAGTGCTGGGATTACAGGGGTGAGCCACCGCGCCTGGCCACCTTCTAGAGTTTTATGTTAACATGTCAAACTGCAGTAGTCTGTCTGAGAAGGATTGCTGGGCCCTCCTTCAGCATTTGGGACTTTGTTTGATATTTCTGTAGTACTTAATCCACATTGAAGAAGAAGGATTTTTTAAACTCTGAATTTATCGATCCTCTGTCTGAGAGAAATGAAGCCACTGTGGTAGTAACTGCCAATGCCTCACTCAGGAATCAATTGTTCATGCAATCAACCGTGACCTTAGGTGCTCTTAGGTCAAGAGAAAACAACACTTTGTTTTTCAGAATAAAACACAGCACAACTTCAGCATATGCAGGTTAAGATAATAACAGAATTTTTTCCATCAAATTGACAGATTTTGTGGCCAAGGAAGTCCTTGAAAAAGTTTACTGCTAGAATTTACTAGTTGGGCAACACAGCAAAGGAAACCAATGTTTTAGTAATGAGTCTTACATGGTTTTAAAAACAGAGACAAGCTGCCTTTTGTTAGCTTTTGCTTGCTTGCCTGCTTGCTTTTTTCTTGCTTTGTTTGTTTGTTTGTTTGTTTTTTGTTTTTTGTTTTTTAATAAAGACAATGTCTCCCTATGTTGCCCAGGCTGATCTTGAACTCCTGGGCTCAAGGGATCCTCCATCCTCAGCCTCCCAAGGTGCTGGCATTACAGGTATGTGCCACCACACCTGGCCTCTTTCTTTCTTTCTTGTTTTGTTTTTTTCGAGACAGAGTCTCTCTCTGTCACCAAGGCTGGAGTGCAGTGGTGCAATCATAGCTCACTGCAGTCTCGAACTCCTGGGTTCAAGGGATCTGCCCACCTCAGCCTTCTAGGTAGCTAGGACTACAGGCACGTGCCACCATGCTTGGATAATTTTTGTATTTTTTGTAGAGATGAGGTCTTGCTATGTTGCCCAGGCTGGTCTCAAATTCCTGGCCTCAAGTGATCCTCCCACCTTGGCCTCCCAAAGTGCTGGCATTACACATGACAGCCACTGCACACCGCCTGCCTTTTTTTTAAATTCAAAATAAAGACAATGACTGCTAGGAGAAAAAAAATGACCCTCTCCCCTCCCAGGTGCAGAGTGAAAGGAGAAAGCTAAGCTTCTCTGAACGAAAGACTTCTAGGTCCTCTTGGGCTTGGCAAGTTGAGAAGAAAAGTAGTGTGGCTTCATAGAAAAGGCTTGCTTCTATGAATGACATCCAGTTTATTATGCAATTAAATTAACTGCAGAAGGCCTACTAGGGCCTGGGTCATTTTCCAGTGGAGTACTCTGCTTCTTATTACTGTTTTGCTGCCAAAGGAAGTACACTCTGTCTTGACCCAATCACGACTGCTTCTGGGCTGCACACAGACATGGGGATACCCACATATATCGCCTTAACTGTTGTAGACATCTTTCAGCTGATCCTGCATGGAAACGGACATGCCTGTGATAAATATAAATTACAGAGTCTCTAGAGATTGCCCCAGTTTAGGTCTGAATTCCAAGGTGTTCTTGGCATAACTAGAACCTCTCTGTAGATGGACTACAGGCATTTAGGCCACAAACTTACATCTAGCCAACATTTACCTATTATAATCACAATATTTGCTTAAACTTCCCATCTGCAAATATATGTACAGATTCATACATGCCATTTATTCATTGAACAAGCATTGATTAGGCACCTACTACATGTCAAATGTATGTTTATCATCACCAGTAAGCAGAGATATAGAAATTGAAGCAAGATATATTGTTTCCCCTACCAAGTTTGAAAAAGATTCTTTATTTCAAAATATCCAGGTGGTAGAAGGATTACAGTGAAATTAATACAACCCCTTTTGAAAACCTTGGAAGTGTTAAGAATGGGAAAAAATGTTCATACCAGTTGGGCCAGTAACAATATTCTTGGCAATCTATTCTAAGGAAATAAACCAATTCTACCTGCAAGAAATTTATATCTTAGGAGTAAGACAGCAAATAATTGCATTTGAAAGCTAAAAAAGGATGATTTTCAAAGAATATTCTACAAAAGAAGAGTAACGAAGGACTAATACTATTAGATATTAAGCATCCAAAACTACAGTAATGAAAACACTGGTACAAAAATTAGACAGATAGGTTATAGTACACCCCCCACCCCAACAAAGAGACCAATTATATAGAATTTAATCTATTACAAAGGATGCATTGCAAGTGAATGGGAGTTGAAAGGTCTGTTGAGTAAATGAATGGTATTGTGACAGCTTGTACCATTATACCCTCATCTACTGTAATAAACTAAAATGAGTGACAGCTAGATTGAAAAGTTAAATATTTAAAAAAGCAAATTTTAAACACTAGAGTGAATGGATATTTATCAAGCTTCTAAAGGGGAAGAATTTTCTAAGCTTAGAAAGTAATTTTTTAAAATCACAAAGGAAAAGATCAAACCCGACTGTACAAAATTTTAAAACCAAAATAACTTTTAAAAGGTTTTTTGGCTATTTTCAAAATCTAAACACAGACTGAAAAAGCCTATGTATCATAAATATGACAAAGTGTAATAGGCTTGTATTATCTAACCCACTCCTACAATATAATGTATAAGAAGAAATCTGCACAAAGAACACGAATAGACAATTTACAAAGGAGTTTAAGGACAACTGGAAAACATTGGAAAATGTTCATCACTACTAATCAAAGAAATGTAAATTAAAACCATTAGGTAAGCCTCTTTTTTTTGAGACAGAATCTCGGCTCTGTCATCCAGGCTGGAGTGCAATGGTGTGATCTCGGCTCACTGCATCCTCTGCCTCCCGGGTTCAAGCGATTCTCCTGCCTCAGCCTCTTGAGTAGCTGGGATTACAGGCGCGTGCCACCATGCCCGGCTAATTTTTTTATTTTTAGTAGAGACGGGGTTTCACCGTGTTGGTCAGGCTGGTCTCGAACTCCTGACCTCATGATCTGCCTGCCTCGGCCTCCCAAGGTGCTGGGATTACAGGCATGAGCCACCACTTTTTAAGCCTAAATTTAACAGAATTGAAAAAGATGGTACTCAGTTTCCTAGTGAGTGTGGTTTGGAAGAAAGCATTTTGGTAGCCAATGTGTATTAATGCCCTTTGATCAGGTAATCTTACTTCTGGGAATGTGGCCTAATTTTTTTTTTAAATATGGGAAACAAACTATTTTCATGAAGGTATTTATCAGTGTTATTTATAAAATTTTAAAAACTAAAATAACATGAATGCCTAGCAATAAAGGAATGGTGAATCTACTCCTTAGAATATTATCCTATTGTTTTACTGTTTTTCTTCTGTGCAAAAGCTTTTTGTTTTTATTTATTTATTTATTATTTACTTATGAGACAGGGTCTTGCTCTGTCGCCCAGGCTGGAGTGCAGTTGCACGGTCTTGGCTCACTGCAACCTCTGCTCCCCAAAGGTCAAGCAATCCTCCCACATCAGCCTCCTGAGTAGCTGGGACTACAGGCACATACCACCACACCTGGCTTTTTTTGTAGAGATGGGGTCTTGCCATGTTGTCCAGGCTGGTCTCTAACTCCTGGGCTCAAGCAATCAGCCCACTTTGCCCTCCCAAAGTGCTGGGATTACAGTTGTGTGCCACCATGCCCAGCCTTATGCTATTATTTTAAATAATGATTATAAGGATTATAGGGAACTTCAGATAAATACTTTATGTGTGTCAATAAAAAAGCAGGTCTTGGCTGGGTGCAGTGGCTCATGCCTGTAATCCAAGCACTTTAGGAGGCCGAGGCAGGTGGATCACCTGAGGTCAGGAGTTCAAGACCAGCCTGGCCAACATGGTGAAACCTTGCCTCTACTAAAAATACAAAAATTAGCCGGGTATGGTGGCGGGCACCTGTAATCCCAGCTACTCGGGAGGCTGAGGCAGGAGAATCGCTTGAACCCAGGAGGCAGAGGTTGCGGAGAGCCGAGATCGTGCCACTGCACACCAGCCTGGGTGACAGAGTGAGACTGTGTCTCAGAAAAAAAAAAAAAAAGAAAAAAAATAGGTCTTAAAAATGTATGCACATTGTAATCACAGCTTTGTAAAACATATGAAGAAAAAAAGACTGGTGGGAATGATAACAGTGGTTATCTTAGAATAACAATAATATAGTGGCAGAATTATTTTTTCTCCCAAATATTATTTTTTATTTTTTAATTTAATTTTCTTTTTACAACTTTATATATATATTTTTTTATTTCAATAGGCTTTTGGAGAACAGGTGGCGTTTGGTTACATGAGTAAGTTATTTAGTAGTGATTTCTGAGCTTTTGGTGCACCCATCACCCAAGCAGTGTACACTGTACCCATTGTGTAGTCTTTTATCCCTTATCACCCCTCATCCTTTCCCCCGAGTCCCCAAAGTCTAATGTGTTGTTCTTATGCCTTTGTGTCCTTATAGCTCATCTTCCACATGAATGAGAACATACGACGTTTGGTTTTCCATTCCTGAGTTA
Organism: Homo sapiens; assembly: GCF_000001405.40. Taxonomy (NCBI): domain Eukaryota; kingdom Metazoa; phylum Chordata; class Mammalia; order Primates; family Hominidae; genus Homo; species Homo sapiens. Next base: position 72,562,419 of record NC_000023.11, on the reverse strand, counting down.
CTTCACTTAGAATAATAGTCTCCAATTCCATCCATGTTGCTATGAATGCCATTATCTCATTCCTTTTTATGGCTGAGTAGTATTCCATGGTGTATATATAAAACATTTTCTTTATCCACTTGTTGATTGATGGGCATTTGGGCTGGTTCCATATTTTTGCATTTGCAAATTGTGCTGCTATAAACATGCGTGTGCAAGTATCTTTTTCGTATAATGACTTCTTTTTTTCTGGGTGGATACCTAGTAGTGGGATTGCTAAATCAAATGGTAGATCTACTTTTAGTTCTTTAAGGAGTCTCCACACTGTTTTCCATAGTGATTGTACTAGTTTACATTCCCACCAGCAGTGTAAAAGTGTTCCCTTTTCACCACATCCATAACAACATCTATTATTTTTTGATTTTTTTATTATGGCCATTCTTGCAGGAGTGAGATAGTATCACATTGTGGTTTTGATTTGCATTTTCCTGATCGCTAGTGATGTTGAGCATTTTTTCATATGTTTGTTGGCCATTTGTATATCTTCTTTTGAGAATTGTCTATTCATGTCCTTAGCTCACTTTTTAGTGGGATTATTTGCTTTTTTCTTGCTGATTTGTTTGAGTTCTTTGTAATTCTGGATATTGGTCCTCTGTCAGATGTATAGATTGTGAAGATTTTCTCCCACTCTGTGGGTTGTTAACTCTGCTGATTATTTCTTTTGCTGTGCAGAAGCATTTTAGCTTAATTATGTTTCATCTATTTATCTTTATTTTTGTTGTATTTGTTTTTGGGTCTTTGGTCATGAATTCTTTGCCTAAGCCAATGTCTAGAAGGGTTTTTCCAATGTTATCTTCTAGAATTTTTATAGTTTCAGGTCTTAGATTTAAGTCTTTGATCCATCTCGAGTTGATTTTTTGATAAGGTGAGAGATGGGGATCCAGTTACATTCTTCTACATGTGGCTTGCCAATTATCCCAGCACCATTTGTTGAATAGGGTGTCCTTTCCCCACTTTATGTTTTTGTTTGCTTTGTCAAAGATGAGTTGGCTATAAGCATTTGGCTTTATTTCCAGCTTCTCTATTCTGTTCCATTGGTCTATGTGCTATTTTTATACCAGTATCGTGCTGTTTTGGTGACTATGGCCTTATAGTTTGTAGTTGGGTAATGTGATGCCTCCAGATTTGTTCTTTTTGCTTAGTCTTAGTTTTGGCTTAGCTTTTGGTTCCATATAAATTTTAGGATTGTCTTTTCTATTTCTGTGAAGAATGATGGTGGTATTTTGATGGGAATTGCACTGAATTTGTAGATTGCTTTCGGCAGTATGGTCATTTTCACAATATTGATTCTACCCATCCATGAGCATGGAATGTGTTTTCATTTGTGTTGTCTCTGATTTCTTTCAGCAGTGTTTTGTAGTTTTCCTTGTAAAAGTCTTTCATGTCCTTGATTAGGTATATTCTTTTTTTTTTATTTTTATTAGTAAACTACATTCAATCATATTTTAATCATATTTTTAAAAGATAATACATCATGAAAAAGTAGAATTTATACCAGGAATATAAGTATACTGTAACATTCAAAAATCAATAAATGCAATTCACCACATAAGTGTATTAAAAAACAAACCATATGGTTGTCCCAATAGACACAGAAAAGGCATTTGAAAAAGTTCACCTTCGGGCCATGATAAATATAGTCAGCAAACTAGGAATAGAAGGGAACTTCCTCAAATTGATGAGGGCCATCTACAAAGAACCTATAGATAACATCATTCATAATGGCGAAATACTGAATACTTTCCCACTAAGATTGGAAACAAGGTAAAGGTGTCCATTGTTACCATTTCTTTTTTTTTTTTTTTTTTTTTTTTTAGTATTTATTGATCATTCTTTGGTGTTTCTCGGAGAGGGGGATTTGGCAGGGTCATAGGACAATAGTGGAGGGAAGGTCAGCAGATAAACAAGTGAACAAGGGTCTCTGGTTTTCCTAGGCAGAGGACCCTGCGGCCTTCCACAGTGTTTGTGTCCCTGGGTACTTGAGATTAGGGAGTGGTGATGACTCTTAATGAGCATGCTGCCTTCAAGCATCTGTTTAACAAAGCACATCTTGCAACGCCCTTAATCCATTTAACCCTGAGTGGACACAGCACATGTTTCAGAGAGCACGGGGTTGGGGGTAAGGTTATAGATTAACAGCATCCCAAGGCAGAAGAATTTTTCTTAGTACAGAACAAAATGGAGTCTCCTACGTCTACTTCCCTCTACACGGACACAGCAACAATCTGATTTCTCTATCTTTTCCCCACATTTCCCCCTTTTCTAGTCGACAAAACCGCCATCGTCATCATGGCCCGTTCTCAATGAGCTGTTGGGTACACCTCCCAGACGGGGTGGTGGCCAGGCAGAGGGGCTCCTCACTTCCCAGACGGGGCGGCCGGGCAGAGGCGCCCCCCACCTCCCAGACGGGGCAGCGGCCGGGCGGGGGCTGCCCTCCACCTCCCTCCTGGACGGGGCGGCTGGCGGGGTGGGGGCTGCCCTCCACCTCCCTCCCGGACGGGGTGGCTGCCAGGCGGAGACGCTCCTCACTTCCCAGACGGGGCAGCTGCTGGGCGGAGGGGCTCCTCACTTCACAGACGGGCGGCTGCTGGGCGGAGGGGCTCTTCACTTCTCAGACGGGGCGGCCGGGCAGAGATGCTCCTCACCTCCCAGATGGGGTCCCGGCTGGGCAGAGGCGCTCCTCACATCCCAGACGGGGTGGCGGGGCAGAGGTGCTCCCCACATCTCAGACGATGGGCGGCCGGGCAGAGACGCTCCTCACTTCCTAGATGGGATGGCGGCCGGGAAGAGGCACTCCTCACTTCCCAGACTGGGCGGCGGGGCAGAGGGGCTCCTCACATCCCAGACGATGGGCGGCCAGGCAGAGACGCTCCTCACTTCCCAGACGGGGTGGCGGCCGGGCAGAGGCTGCAATCTCGGCACTTTGGGAGGCCAAGGCAGGCGGCTGGGAGGTGGAGGTTGTAGCGAGCAGAGATCACGCCACTGCACTCCAGCCTGGGCAACATTGAGCACTGAGTGAGTGAGACTCCATCTGCAATCCCGGCACCTCGGGAGGCCGAGGCTGGCAGATCACTCGCGGTTAGGAGCTGGAGACCAGCCTGGCCAACACAGCGAAACCCCGTCTCCACCAAAAAAGTACGAAAACCAGTCAGGCGTGGCAGCACGCCTGCAATCCCAGGCACTCGGCAGGCTGAGGCAGGAGAATCAGGCAGGGAGGTTGCAGTGAGCCGAGATGGTGGCAGTACAGTCCAGCTTCGGCTCGGCATCAGAGGGAGACCGTGGAGAGAGAGGGAGAGGGAGAGGGAGACCGTGGGGAGGGGGAGGGGGGGAGGGGGAGGGGGAGGGGGAGAAGCTAGGTATATTCTTAAGTATTTTATTTTTTCTGCAGCTATTGTGAAAGGGGTTGAGTTCTTGATTTGATTATCAGCTTTGTTGCTGTGGTGCATAGCACAGCTATTGATTTATGTATATTAATTTTGTATCCTAAAACTTTGCTGAATTCATTTACCAGTTCTAGGAGCTATTTGGATGAGTCTTCAGGGTTTTCTAGGTATATGATCATATCATCAACAAAGAGCAACAGTTTGACTTCCTCTTTACCGATTTGGGTGCCCTTTATTTCTTTCTCTTGTCTGATTGCTCTGACTAGGACTTCCAGTACTATGTTGAATAGAAGTGGTGAAAGTGGGCATCCTTTTCTTCTTCCAGTTCTTGGGGGGAATGCTTTCAACTTTTGCCCGTTCAGTATAATGTTGGCCGTGGGTTTGTTGTAGATTATTACCTTTTATTACCTTAAGGTACGTCCCTCCTATGCCAATTTTGCTCGGGGTTTTAATCATAAAGCGATGCTGAATTTTGTCAAATGCTTTTTCTGCATCTATTGAGATGATCATGCGATTTTTGTTTTTAATTCTGTTTATGTGGTATATCACACTTATTGACTTGTGTATGTTAAACTATCCCTGCATCTCTAATATCGAACCCAGTTGATCATGGTGAATTATCTTTTGATATCCTGTTGGATTTGGTTCACTATTATCTTGTTGAAGATTTTTGCATCTTCATCAGGGACTTTGGTCTGTAGTTTTCTTTTTTTGTTATGTCCTTCCCTAGTTTTGGTATTAGGGTGATATTGGCTTCATAGAATGATTTAGGGAGGATTCCCTCTTCCTCTAACTTTTGGAATAGTGTCAATAAGATTGGTATCAATTCTTCTTTGAATGTCTGATAGAGTTCAACTGTGAATTCGTCTGGTCCTGTGCACTTTTTTGTTGGCATTTTTTGTTGTTGTTGTTACCATTTCAATCTCGCTGCTTGTTACTGGTCTGTTCAGAGATGCTTTATGTTCCTGGTTTAATGTAGGAGGGTTGTATATTTCCAGGAATTTATCCATCTCCTTTAGGTTTTCTAGTTTGTGCACGTAAGTGTTCTTAGTAGCATTGAATAATCTTTGGTATTTCTGTGGTATCAGTTGTAATATCTCCCATTTCATTTCTACTTGAGCTTATTTGGATCTTCTCTCTTCTTTCCTTGGTTCATCTTGCCAATTGTCTATCAATTTTATTTATTTTAAAAGAACCAGCGTTTTGCTTCATTTATCTTTTGTATTTTTTTGTTTGTTTGTTTCAGTTTCATTTAGTTCTGCTCTGATCTTGGTTATTTCTTTTCTTCTGCTGGGTTTGGGCTTGGATTGTTCTTGTTTCTCCAGTTTCATGAGGTGTGCCCTTAGATTGTCTATTTGTGCTCTTTCAGACTTTTTAATGTAGGTATTCAATGCATTTGCTAAGGGGCATTTCCCCTTAGCACTGCTTTTGCTGTATCCTAGAGGTTTTGATAGGTTGTGTCACTATTATCGTTCTGTTCAAAGAATTTTTTAACTTTTGTCTTGATTTCATTGTTGACCCAATGTTCATTCAGAAGCAGGTTATTTAATTGCCATGTATTTGCATGGTTTTGAGGGTGCCTTTTGGAGTTTATTTCTAATTTTATTCCACTGTGATCTGAGAGAGTACTTGATATAATTTTGATTTTTAAAATCAAGGCTTGTTAAAGATTTTCTTAAGTGAGACTTGTTTTGTGGCCTATCATATGGTCTGTCTTGGAGAATGTTCCATGTGCTGATGAATAGAATGTATATTCTGCAGTTGTTGGGTAGAATGTTTTTTTGTTTGTTTGTTTGAGGTGGAGTCTCCCTCTGTCGCCCAGGCTGGAGTGCAGTGGCACAGTCTCAGCTCACTGCAAGCTCCGCCTCCCGGGTTCACGCCATTCTCCTTCCTCAGCCTCCCTACAGGCTCCCACCACCATGCCGGGCTAATTTTTTGTATTTTTAGTAGAGACGGGGTTTTACCATGTTAGCCAGGATGGTCTGGATCTCCTGACCTCATGATCCACCCGTCTCGGCCTCCCAAAGCGCTGGGATTACAGGCGTGAGCCACCGCGCCCAGCCTGGGTAGAATGTTCTATAAATCTCTGTTAAGTCCATTTGTTCGAGAGTATAGTTTAAGTCCATTGTTTCTTTGTTGACTTCCTGTCTGGATAACCTGTCTAGTGCTGTCAGTGGAGTATTACAGTCCCTCACTATAATTGTGTTGCTGTCTATCTCATTTCTTAGGTCTAATAGTAATTGTTTTATAAAGTTGGGAGCTCCAGTGTTAGGTGCATATATATTTAGAATTGTGATATTTTCCTGTTGGACTAGTCCTTTTATCATTATATAATGTCCCTCTTTGTCTTTTCTAACTGCTGTTGCTTTAAAGTTTGTTTTGTCTGATATAAGAATAGCTACTCCTGCTTGCTTTTGGTGTCCATTTGCATGGAATATCTTTTTCTGCCCCTTTACCTTCAGTTTATGTAAGTCCTTATGTGTTAGGTGAGTCTCCTGAAGATAGCAGAAACTCGGTTGGTGAATTCTTATCCATTCTGCCATTCTGTATCTTTTAAGTGGAGCATTTAGGCTACGTTCAATGTTAGTATTGAGATTGAGGTACTATTCTATTCATCATGCTAGTTGTTGCCTGAATATCTTGGTTTTTATAAATTGTATTGTTGTTATATAGGTCCTGTGAGATTTATGCTTTAAGGAGCTTCTATTTCAGTTTATTTTGAGGATTTGTTTCAAGATTTATGCTTATTTTTAGCAATTCTTGTAGTGCTGGCTTTGTAGTGGCAAATTCTCTCAGCATTTTTTTTGCCTGGAAAAGACCATATCTTTCCTTCATTTATGAAGCTTAGTTTCCAGTGGATACAAAATTCTTGGTTGATAATTGTTTTGTTTAAGGAGGCTAAAAATAGGACCCCAATCCCTTCCAGCTTGTAAGGTTTCTGCTGAGAAATCTGTTAATCTGATAGGTTTTCCTTTATAGGTTACCTCATGCTTTTGCCTCACAGCTCTTAAGATTCTTTCCGTCGTCTTGACTTTAGGTAACTGATGACTATGTGCCTAGGTGATGATCATTTTGCAATGAATTTCCCAGGTATTCTTTGAGCTTCTTGTATTTGGATGTCGAGCTCTCTAGCAAGGCTGGGGAAGTTTTCCTTAATTATCCCTTCAAATATGTTTTCCAAACTTTTAGATTTATCTTCTTCGTTGGAAACACAAATTATTCTTAGGTTTGGACATTTAACATAGTCCCAAACTTCTTGGAGGCTTTGTTCATTTGTTAAAATTCTTTTCTCTTTGTGTTTGACAGATTGGGTTAATTCAAAAGCCTTGTCTTTGAGCTCTGAAGTTCTTTCTTCTGTTTGTTCAATTATATTGCTGAGACTTTCCAGTGCATTTTGCATTTCTCTAAGTGTGTCCTTAATTTCCAGAAGTTGTGATTGTTTTTTATTTATGCTCTCCATTTCACCGAATAATTTTCCTTTCATATCCTTTATCATGTTTTTGATTTCTTTAAGTTGGACTTCACCTTTCTCTGGTGGCTCCTTGATTAGCTTAATAATCGACCTTCTGAATTCTTTTTCTGGCAATTCAGGGATTTTTGTCTTGGTTTGGATCCATTGCTGGTGAGCTGGTATGATCTTTTGGGGATGTTAAATAACCTCGTTTTGTCATATTACCAGAATTCTGTTTCTGGTTCCTTCTCATTTGGGTAGACTGTATCTGAGGGAAGATCTGGGATTCAAGCGCTGCTGTTCAGACTCTTTTGTCCCACGGGGTGCTCCTTTGATGTGTTGTTCTCCTCCTTCCCCTAGGAATGGGGCTCCCTAAGAGCTAAACTGTAGCGATTGTTTTTGCTCTTCTGAGTCTAGCCACCCAGCAGAGCTACCCAGCTCTGGCCTGGTACTGGGGAGTGTCTGTAAAGAGTGCTGTGATGTGATCTGTCTTCAGGTCTTGCAGTTGCTCCAGTGGAGGTAGCAGGGGAGTGAAGTGGAGGGTCCTTAGTTGTGTTTTTCTTAAGTGCACCGGTTTTGTGTTGGTTGGCCTCCAGCCAGGAGGTGGCGCCTTCAAGAACGCATCAGCTGTGGTCCTATAGGGAGGATGCAAACTTGCCCTGGGGACACCTGTTTAAGTATTCAGGTTTCTCAGGCAGCGGGCAGGGCCATAGAACTCCCAAGAGATTATGACCTTTGTCTTTGTCTATTGGGGCAGGTAGAGAAAGACCACCAGGTGGAGGCAGGGGTAGGTGTGTGTCTGAGCTCAGAGTCTCCTTGGGTGGGGCCTGCTGTGGGGGACGGGGGTGTGGTTCCCAGTCCAGTAGAGTTACATTCCCAGGGGGATTATGGCTGCCTCTGCTGAGTCATACAGGTCTCCAGGAAAGTGAGGGAAAGCCGGCAGTCACAGGCTTCACCCCGCTCCCATGCAGCCTGCAGTCCTAGAGGCCGGTCTCACTCCCACTGTGCCTCGCTCCCCGCGCTCCCCGCCCTCCCCGCCCTCCCCGCTCCCCCCGCCCTACCCGCTCCAAACAGCACTGAGTCTATTTCCAGGCAGCCAGTGACCAGGGCTGAGAACTTGCCCCAGACCATGAGCCTCCCTGTTGAGAAAGCAAGCCAACTTACAGTTGTTTGGCATCTCAGGGAGCCTGCAGCAGTGATCCAGTTCCTTCAAAGGGTCTGTGGATTTTCTTGGCTTCCCTGGTATGTTCCTGGGGTAGTTTTAGGAGCAAAAGTTCATGATGTGAGTCTCCACATGCTGCTCTGTCCATCCGAGCAGGAGCTGTAAGCTAGTCCTGCCTCCTAGCCACCATATTAGTAGGCAGAATTATTGATGATTTTTTAAACATATTTTTCTCTAGTTTTCAAAATTTCTGTAATGATATGATATTATTTTGTAGCTAAAATTTTACCAAGATAAAAAGAGAATCCCCAAAATTACAGCAAATGTAACAAAGGGTTAAAATCTCTAACTGTTCTAATTGATTTTTTTAAACACTAATACTCAGATAAATGAACAAAAAACACAAATAGACAATTCACAAAAGAGGAAACATTAAACAAGCATGAAAAAATATTTAGTATCACTAATAAATAGAGGAATTGAAATATTAGCAGTTAGCCCTTGAACAACACAGGTTTGAACTGTGGGGATTAATTTATATGCAGATTTTTTTCTATAAATACAGTCAGCCCTCCGTATCAGCAGGTTCTGCATCTGCAACCAAATACAGATACAAAATACAGTATTTACCGAATGCAAAACCCACATATACAGAGGGCTGACTTTTATCATCTGCGGGTTCCATGGGGCCAACTGTGGGATTTGAGTGTGCATGGATTTTGGTATCTGCAGGGGTCCTGGAACCAATCACCCACAGATATCAAGGGATTGTATATATATTTTTCCCTCCTACCAATATGAGCCAAACAAAGGAAGATCTTTGATAACATCTATTACTCTTGGTAATCTATTCTAAGGAAGTAAACCGACCCAAAATATGGTAAAGATGTGTTTGTGAAGATGGTACTTTCTCTGTTACTTATAGTAGCCAAAAAAGGGGCAGGAGGGAGACCCAAATATTCAACAACAGTGGGTTAGGTAGTATACTGCAACATATCCACTTGAAGGGATATTATAAAACCATTAAAAATGGTGGCTATTGGCCAGGCGCGGTGGCTCACACCTGTAATCCCAGCACTTTGGGAGACCGAGGCAGGCGGATCACAAGGTCAAGAGATCGAGACTGTCCTGGCCAACATGGTGAAACCCCGTCTCTACTAAAAATACAAAACATTAGCTGGGCATGGTGGCATGAGCCTGTAATCCCAGCTACCCAGGAAGTTGAGGCAGGAGAATCACTTGAACCTGGGAGGAGGAGGCTGCAGTGAGCCTAGATCATGCCACTGCACTCCAGCCTGGGCGACAGAGGGAGATGCCATCTCAAAATAAATAAATAAATAAATAGGGTGGCTAGTACAACTGCATAAATAGAAAAAATGCTTATCTTATAATGTTGATTTTGTTTTTAAAGGGCAGTTGGCTAAACCTCATATATTCACTTAGAGTCCTGTAAAGAATATATGCATATGAAAATATCTTAGAGGGAAATAAAACACAATGTTAACAGTGGCTTTGTGAGGATGGTGATATTGGGTATGTGATACACATATATATATATGTATATATACGTATATATACACATACATATATATATTTTTTTTTTTTTCTAAGACAAGAGTTTCACTCTGTCACCTAGGCTGGAGTGCAGTTGTGCAATCATGGTTTACTGCAGCCGCAGCCTTCTGGGCTCAAGTGATCCTCTCACCTCAGCCAAGTAGCTGGGACCACAGCCACACACCACCACACCTAGCTAAATTTTTTTTTTTTTTTGAAACGGAGTTTCATTCTTGTTGCCCAGGCTGGAGTGTAATGGTGCAATCTCAGCTCACTGCAACCTCCACTTCCTGGGTTCAAGTGATTCTCCTGCCGCCTCAGCCTCCCGAGTGGCTGGGACTACAGGCACATGCCACCACGCCTGGCTAATTTTTTTACTTTTAGTAGAGATGGGGTTTTGCCATGTTGGCCAGGCTGGTCTCGAACTCCTGACCTCAGGTGACCTACCTGCCTCGGCCTCCCAAGGTGCTGGGATTACAGGCGTGAGCCACTGTGCCCGGGCCACCTGGCTAAATTTAAATTTTTTTTTTTTGTAGAGATGGGGTCTCCTTATGTTGCCTAGGCTGGTCTCGAACTCCTGGCCTCAGGTGATCCTCCCACCTCAGCTTCCCAGAGTGCTAGGATTATAGGCGTGAGCCACAGCATCCAGCCCTATATTTTTATATGTACACACTTATATAATATACTCACATCTTTTCTGTTTCCTATATTTTCTCTAACGTGATTGTATTACTTTTATAAATAAAACTTTTTATAATAAAAACTGCTGGAAACAAGGCAGGAAGTAGTTATAATGCAGTGTGGTCAGAGTGTTAACATTATATACAAGGTAGTGTGGTGTCCAGAAGAAGGAATAGGAATTTGCTTTCCCATTGGTGGGGATAGAAAATTCCAAGCAGAGGAAATAATGAAATTCTGGCACCAAGAAAATACAGAACATTTGTAGAACCACAAGTAGTGAAATGTGGCCAGAGTCTGAGGGCAAATAGGACAAGGTCAGATTATAAAGGTTTTATAAGCTATGCTGAGGAATTGGACTTTTTTCTGTGCTTGATGGGAATTTACTAAAGAATTTTAGGGAGGGCTGAAAATGTACTGGTTGGATTGGAGGGAACTGAGACTGGAGGCAGGGGAGGCTTTCACAATCAATCAATTAACGAACATCTATTAAACTCCTTCTGTATGCCTGGCACTGAGGAAACAAAGAGTTATACAGGAGGTTCTTATTACTTGAAGGCAGTTGGTACTGCACAAAAGGCCATTAGTGAATTTATTTAAAAGGGGGACCAAAATTTTAGAGTAATAGTGGAAGGGGTAGGGTTTGATTAGGATGCTAGCTTGAATAACTAAAAGCTATTAAAATATACATATTTTGTCTCATTTAATAAAATTGAGTGCTAGATATAACAATGCACTAATTCTTAAAACAAAAAATATATAAAAGATTCATGGCTTTTGTTTTGTGCCTAATTTTTCAAACAAAATTGCATGATATTTCAAGATGGTGTGTTTCACTTCCTGTGAGATATTTGTAGCATGATCTTTAAGAGGGCTGATTTTGCCAAAATATTCAAGGACTTCATTAGTGTTCCCAAAGGCTTTTCTTTAATCACTTGGTATTCAAATCATTCTGTTTTGAACCACTTTTAAAATCATTATTCATATTTATTTTTCTCCTCTTCAATTGTGGACTGTTCTACCAGATCCTCATCAGTTTTGTGTGTGTGTGTGTGTGTGTGTGTGTGTGTGTGCGCTGACTTCAAGATTTCCAGCATCTTTTTATAAGATTTGTAATTTTACTTTCTGACAGATTTGCATTGAATTGCTAACTGATATACCTGACGATCCATGAGAGACAAAATGACTGAACAGATGGATGGGGTTAGATTCTGGTATTTAAAGGAGTGGGTTCTTTGAGCTGGGACTGCTATAAGTGGTCAGTTCATTAGCAAACACTTGAGGGCAGTTGGTACTGCACAAAAGGCCATTAGTGAATTTATTTAAAAGGGGGACCAGAATTTTAGAGTAATAGTGGAAGGGGTAGGGTTACGACAGCTTTTGTATCCTTAGAAAACCTCAAAGCCTGGGTACTGCTGGGGCTAAGATAATAAATTCTCAGTAATAAGATCTGCCTATTTCAGCAAAGGTCTAGTGCAGTGTTTTTCAAACCAGGGACTGCAACTTGTTGATGGACATTATATCAATTTAGTGGGCTACAATGAGCTTTCTTTCATATCAAGGTGGGTTTCGTGAAACTTGTTCTGGGGTGTGTGTGTGTGTGTGTGCATGTATGTATGTGTTTGTGTGTGTGTTTGTATGTACTAGGTCACAGTGTGAAATGTCAAGCCACTGTAGAGTAGAATGACTGTGAACATTAAAGTAAGACCTGGATGTAAATTCAGGCTCCACCACTTACTAGTTATGTGTGTAACCTCAGGATTATTCCAGGAACAGCATGTGCAGATGCTTAGAGGTGTGAAAGTTGGTGGGGTGGGGGGGACTTCCAAGTTTGTCATTAAAGCTGGAACCATAGGTTCCTATAGATAAATGGCCAGAGATAAGTTTGGAGAGGTATAAAGAGTCCTTGAATGCCAAGCTAAACAGCTTGGACTTGATCCTTTAAGTCAGTGGTTCTTAACCTTCTTTGGTTGTGGACCCCACTGAATTTTCCACGACCAAAAAAGGTTTAGAACCACTGACCTAAAGAATGCATATACATCCCCTAGAAAATCTACATACACAAATTTCTCCTTGTAGTTTCAGAAAGTATAAGGATTTCCTGAAGCCCATGTATGGGTCCTAGATTAAGAACTTCAGCTTTAGACAGTGAGAAGTCACTGAAAGAATTTTTAGCCAGGAAGAAGTAACGTTGTCAGACATGCATTTTAGGAATATGACTCTAGCAATAGTTGGCCGTTAAACCAGAGGGACAGTGACTGTCCATAGAGAAATCTGTGAGGACATTATTTTGATAATATTTCCAAGAAGAGATGAAAGCAGCGGTGATGAGCATAGAGGAGAGAATAAATTCAAGAGCCATTTAGTAGATACAATAGATAGTAAAGAAGACCAATTAGATATAAATGATAAGGAAGGGGTGGTCTAGATTTCTTGTATAGATGATTAAATTATGTTGCCATTAACTAAGAAGCCTATGGGGTGAAGATTCATGTGCTTATGGAACATCTAATTGAAGATGTCTATTAGAGAGCTGATAATAGGGCCCAGACCAGGACTTCTCTACATTTGATGTGTATATGAAACCTCTGGGATTCTTGTTTAAATGCGGATTCTAATTCAGTAGGTCTGAGATGGAACCTAGGAATCTGCATTTCTAACAAGCTCCCAGGTAATATATGCTGCCAGTCTGTGGAACATACTTGAAACAGCAAGAGACTGGAGCTCAGGAGAATCACCTTCACTGAAGATAGAGATTTGAAAGTCAACAGCATTATAGATTGTATTAAAACTAAGGAAATCAATAAAATCACCTTGGAAGCATATATAGAATAATAAGGCGGGGGGGGAACAAACAAATACTGAGACTTATGGGACTCCAGTGTTTAAAACGGGGTGGAAAAAGAAAAGCCTCCAAAGGAATCCTGAAAAGGAATGGTCAAAAAGAAAGAGAATCAGAAAAGACATCATAGAAACCAAGGGTGAACCTCAGGAAGACCAGTTTGAATAGCAATGTCTGATACTGTAGCGCATGCATCTGCAACAGAAGTGATATTGGCCCCAAGGGAACAAAAATTTATTCTTGGTAGAAGGAGGTGAAAAAAACTTATATTTTATGATGGTTTACAGTCCTCCAATGTACCACAGTACATAAACAGATGTACAGTATATCTGCAGTATTAAAATGTTATGGGGGGGTCAATTAGGAAAAGGTATCTAAAAAGGCTCTTTCAGTAGAGGTGGGACATGATAATGAAAAAATGTTTGACAGCCTGGGCAACATAGTGAGACTCCATCTCTACAAAGAATTAGAAAATTAGCTGGGCATGGTGGTGCATGCCTGTAGTCCTAGCTACTCAGGAGGCTGAGGTGGGAGGATCACTTGAGCCCAGGAGTTTGAGGTTGCACCACTGCACTCCAGCCTGGGTGACAGAGCAAGATCTGGTCTCAGAGAGAGAGAGAGAGAGAGAGAAGAGAAATGGTTGAGAAACAGTGCTATAGAGATGACGTAAGATTTATCAGTAAGGAGGTGATGATGAAGATGTCTTCAAAGGATGAAAAGGGATGTGCCAGTGAGACAAGGAGGTGGCAGGGTAGGGGTATTCCAGAAGGCCAGAACAACATTTTTAAAAGTAGGGCAATATAAAATAAAAAGGCAGAAATAAAATAATGTAAAATAAAAAGCAGAGCAATGTAATATAGTTTGGCAGATTTGAGAAACTACACATAGCTCAATATTGCTGGAGGGTTAAGGTATAAAGTAGATAATGGCAGAAGAAGAGGTAGAAACACAGGAAATGGGTCATGAAGCACTTCATGTATATTGGAATCACCGAATTTTAAAATGTAGATTTCTGGGTCTCTCTCAGACATCTTGATTTGGTAGGTTTGGGGTAGTACATAGGAACCTGCACTTTCAAACTCTAGGAATAATTCTGTTATATGAATTTTAAGAAACTCTGCTATAGGAAATGGGGAGCCACTGAAAAATTGTGTTAGGAAGTAACACGGTTAGATGTTTGTAGGAAAATAACTCTGATTGCAGTTATAGCAGATGGATTGCAAGAGGCATAGGCTGAACGTAGGGAGACCGCTTAAGGTATCACAGTCCCACTGAAAAATGAAGACCTGAACTTAGGCAAAGCAATGAGATTAGGGGACGGGGAATGGTGAAGGCTGATTTGAGACAGCTTTAAGAGATAAAAGCAAGTATTGATGATTAACTAGATGTGGGAGGAGATGAAAGATGAGGAAGATAACTCAGGTTTCTGGCTTGCCTAAGTGGAGTCCCAAGCAAAATGGGAATAACAATAGCTAACCTATGTTGAGCTATATAGTAGGCGCTACCTTATGTGCATTTTTCTCATCTATCCTCAGAGGAACACTAAGCAGTAGGTACAAATTATTATCTCTGTTTTATACATGGAAGTACAGAGAGGTTAAATGACTTGCTGAAGTTTAGTAAGTGACCAAGTTGGGTTCAAACCCAGGCAATCTGATTCTTCAAGCTGGCTACTTAACCACTGTGCTACACTTACTACACTACCTCAATAAATAGGAATAGGTGGTGGTGTGCATCAGAGGTAATATATAGGGAAATTTGATATCCAGATTTGGAAATGGAAGTAGAAGCTGGAACTGGAGATAGATGTGTTGCCAGTATATCAAGTGGTGGTGAAAACCATGAAAATGGATGGGATTACTTAGGGAAAAGGTAGATAATAAGGAGAAAATGAAAGTAGAGCCTAGAACCCCAAGAGGCACCAACTTGTAATGGGCAAGCAGAAGAGGCTCCAGTTGATTCAGCTGAAAAGCAACAATCAAGTCTAGCCATATAATCAAAATAGAAAGGGGTTATGGAATCCCAAGGGGGCAGAAGAGCTTAAGGAAGAAAAGAGTTCTCAACAGTTTAATGTACCACAAAGAGGTAATCTAGATAGGTACTGAAGTGTGAATCGTATTTGACAATTAAGATGGTCATTAATGACCTTGGTCAGAGAACTTTGTAGAAAGTGATGGAAGTATACCTCAAACCATTGAGGAGTGAGTAGGAACTAACGAAATAGGAAAGGAAAGCTACTGTGTCTGTCCAGAGGTTTGAATGATAAAGAAAAGAGGAGGGGTGTGGTCAAGGGAAAGTAAGGGTTGAGGGGTGGTTTGTTGGTATTGTTTTAAGAGATTAGGAACATTTAGATTAAGAACATTTAGGAGCTGAAGGGGAAATATTGGAAATATGAAAAAGATAAGAGATGGAGCAAAGTCTTAGAGGTGGCAGGAGAGAGTGAGGTGAATGTCTTTTAGAGAAGCATCTCTTGTGAAGCCAGAGCGAAAGAAGTCAAGAATGAGTGTGGTAAAGGAGTGTGGGGGTTGCCTGCTAGCACACTGATGAAGTGCCTGTCCAGTGGCCTCTGCTTCTCTATGTTGTCCTCTTGCCTTGTGTCACTTGTTCACAGACCTCTTTGAATCCTTTGATTCTGCCTTCTGTCATCAGTGTCTTAGGAAGTCATCTTGTTCCATGTAAATTCCCTTACATGGAACTAACCCTATCCATGACATTATTCATTTCACCCAGCACGGTGACTCCTAACCTCCAGAATGTGTCTAGATCACATCTTGCTTGGTTACTTTGACTGGCTAGTCTTCACCCTTCCACCAGCCTTTTCTAGTGTCTTATTCTGTTTGGTTCTGCATCTCAGTTCCCAATATCTTCCTTCATCTTACTGATAATCCATTTAAGACCCACATCTCTAACATGACCACATCCTTCTTCCCCCAACAATTCTGTAATTTACCCTCTTGTCCCATAACATTTCAGCCTTCTGTCCAGCAACATAGGATCTATGCCAGTTAGGTCCCCTCTGTCCTGCTTCCCTGCTAAGAGAGGGAGAAATTACTCTCCCATGGAATGCTATTGGTTTCTGGGACTTCCACCTGGGGGCAGTAAATGGTAGAGCCATAAAGCTCTATGCTGTTTGTCTTGGCAAGCTCTACAGGAAGAATGTAGAACTAGACCTCCAGCTCTTAGTTACCACCCACCCAGCAGTTAGAATCAAAGCTACTAGAGCTGTATACCAAGAGCTTCACCCTTTTTGCCTCAGAGAGAGTAAATGGTAGTGAATTACACTACAGTTCCAGTTCCCCAAAGGGCTCTGTGCACAGTGTAACTTGTTAACCAAGTAGCCAAACCTCCTCCTCTATCCACACCACCCCAGCTCCAGCCTTTATAAACAAATAAATAACTGCATGAAAATGGAGATCTGGATTCAGTATCAGCAACATTGCCTCAACACCAAGGGAAACCCCTCCTTACCTGTGGGGGGCATGTCTCTGTACTTGCTATTCACAACTGTTCTGTGCTGGCACCTGTAGAACAGGCACATCACTAGACAAAACCAACAGGCCTTTACCATAGTAGCCCAGATCATTCTCTGTCAATACATGTCCAACCCATAAGGCACTAGCCCCTTCATCAGAAAACTGCCTGGCCAGCCACCAGCATAGGAACGAGCTAGGACATGCTTTGTCCCTATGGCATCCCTACCACTAGCCTCTAGTGGGTGAGGGGTGTTCCTAAAATTCCTATAGAAATGGGGAAGATGGTATGTCACAGGTGAAGTGTGGCACAGGGAATCCCAGCTCCATCAATTACTACCTCTCTGTGCCTCAGTGTCCTCATTTATAAAATGGAGATAACAATAGTATGTACCTTATAGGGTTATAAGGATTAAATGTGATAATTGCAGTTAAAGAGCTTAGCAAGAGCCTGGCTCATAGCAAGCATTTGATAAAAGTCATTTATTATATCCAGACTAGGTTATACTCAGGAGTTCTTAGGCAACCTCTCAGACAGGTTCCTGGTCCAGCAAGTCTAACTGCCTGTGCAGCTGAGGTCAGCCTTGATATTGTTTGTCACCCACTACCCTTTGTCCATATGCCATTCCTTGCTGAGAATAGACTATTCTCTACTGCCTTCAAGACTCACATCCTTCACTTTGTCAGAATTTTGCTACCAGCATTTCCAATGACCTTCTACCCCACCCAAAACAACACAGAGAATTCCCTGTTCAACCCACCCCTCACACTGCTAGGATCCAACTCATACCTATAAGGCAAATAAAGATACTATCTACCAAGAGACAGAGCGACCGCCCCTAATTGATGAGGATGACTATGTGGTAGCCCTGATAACCAGGACTTGCCTTACTACCAAAGGAGCAGATTCTCTCTGAGTCTAAAATCAAGGCCTTCTACAAAACAAAAACTTTGGACAGCATCTTGATTCCTCCTCCACCTCTTCCATATTAGCCTTGAGACTCTTTCTGAAAATAAAAAGGAGGGAGTTCTTCCTTGTCATAATTATCCCATCCTTAGTGTAATCACTATCCAAAATTAGTCTGGAACCTTCTAAATCAATTCCATAGTTCTTGGGCAATATTTTGAGAAATTCGCTTAATGTGACTTGACAGAATCTCTGGGCTGGATGGTATTAGAGCGATTACAGTAGTACCAACTTCAGGCCAAGCCCCAAAGTGTAAAAATCGTGTTTCTGGGCTACATTCTGTTATGCCAGAGTTTATATAGTGCTGGGTAACATGTAAGCCTTTTTGAAATGAAGTCTCCTAGGAAGATTGAAAACATCAGCAATCCCTTGATACCACCAGCAATCCATCTACCACCTGTACATTTTCACTACCCCAATATTCGATCTCCTTAAGAGAAAGGAATTTGGTTCCCTGTCACACAAAAAAATGACCTTCCAGTAGCTTAAAGTCTTGCTTATTTCTACCCCAGCCCTGGCCTATACTGTTGACTAATGCCTTCAACATCCAGGTGTGGGGAGTGGGATATTGTCCTGTCGCAGGAGAACCTGGGTACTTTGATCTCTGCCCCTGTCCCCACTTCTCCAAGAAGTTGGTCCTAACCAAGGTCAATTACTCCAAGTGCAAATGAGAGCTCTTAGCGATCAAGGCCACTTTTAAGACAGGACATACTTCCTTTCAGAGAGACAGGCAGCTTGTGGTCATGAGCTCAAACCATTACAGCCTGGACCAGCCAGGGCATACTCGCACCCATCCTGTTTCAGAATTCAGAATCTTAAGGGGAAGTGGAAATGGTTCCAGCTTGAGAATGTCACAGCCATTTACCCCAGTCACAGCATAGGTAACAGGCAGATGCACGTGTAGAACGTAAAGATCCTGGTTCATCATGGCGCAGCCCAGAAGTTTCTGTTCCATGTGCCCCATTCTAATAGGATCTGCAGTCACTTGTGCCCATTAGCACCACTCCAAGAAGCCCACACAGGTATTCAAATATGCTTGTAATCTGATGGAGCGTGTTTCATAATGTAGTCTGCAGACCACCTGCATCTTAATCCTAAAATGATGATTCCGGAATCAGACCCTTTAGGGGTGGAGCCCAAGAATATTCATTTTTAACCAATGCCTACCCAGGTGATTCTGATACACAGCACATTTTGATAACTCTTCATCTAAGTGGTCTTTCAGTTGTCTCCTGTCTGACCTAACCTGTAGTATGCCTTTATGATTTCTACAGTTGAAGTAGAAAGACCAAGGTATCCTTCAGGCTCTCGGGACATTGGGACATTGTCCCAATGAACTCTATTGTAGATTCACATCTAGAACACCTTCAAATCAGTGATTGATCCCTCTTACCCTCTTGGCCCAATTCACACCAGCTACTGGTGCCTTGTTCATCTAAAAGGTCTTCCCTTTCACAAGTCCCACGGCCACCTGCTCTCCAGCCACAGCCATATGCATTAACCACGTACTGGCGGAGAATGCTACTGCTACTCTAACACATAACACATTGGTTCTCCTCCCCAGACTCCTCAGAATGCATTTCTTAACTCACTATACCCCTCCATCCAGGCCTCTTCCCTTCAAGGCATCAATCGTTTCTAGCCCACTATTGCCCTGGCTAGTTACTGAAACCATCAACACTCCAGAGTCTGCCAATACCTGGGTCAACCAAAACCAAGTATGGACTACACAAGGACATAGCCAGTTAGCCTTCAGCATACAACATAGCACAGGGGTTAAAAGCAGGAACTCTGAAGTCACACTGCCTGGGTTTGAATCCCAGCACTATCACTTTCTATGTCAACTTGAACAACTTAAACCCTCTTTTCCTCAAGTTCCTGACTATAAAAGGGAGATGATAATACTACCTACCTCAAAAAACAGTGTGATATGATATGAACTAATATGTGTAAAGCACGTAGAATAGTGCCTGGCACATACTGAGCACCAAAAAGTGTTTGCTCTTAAATTGTATATGAATTACACTAACTGAATCATTCAGGTGTGAGACATCAGTGAGATTTCATTTGGGCACAGACTCATCTGCCCATGCCAAAAATTGAAGGACTCTTTATAAACCTTTGAAGTGAAATTCAGTCATCTGCCCATAGACCTCCTACAGCAGCAGCTCCTTGAACTTCACGCCCTTCCTCCGCATGATCACTCATCCAGTCTTTTCAGTACTCCTTGGTGTACTTTGACTACCTTGTCTCTGCAATTAGCCCCAGCAAACCTAAGGCTAAGAGACCAGTTATGTCATGAAAGAGGTGCCAGATTTCCAGCAGCATCATGGTTGGTCCACCGCCTCATTCTCTGGGAAAGTTGTTGACCAAGACGTAGTTGGGTGGACCACTCAAAGGGACCTTGATATAATCTGATTATAGGTATGCTTTCTCAGCTCAACCTCAGCAATCTCTCTTAAATGTTATTCTGAGCTGGGTGGTAATGGAGTGATTACAGTAGCACCAACTCCAGGCTAAGCCTCAAAGTGTGAAAATGATGTATATTCACTTTCAGTTCAAGGTACCAGGACTGGGAGTAAATTACTTGCCTCCACCCTCACTTCCTGACCCCAGATCAGCTGGATCACTCTACCCATTCTCACTGATAAAGGAAAAAGATCAGACTGTTATGCTCAGTGACCAAAGTAGAGATTGGGAAAGTATGAACAAAATTAATGACAGCAGATGTGAAAAGAAAGGATAGCACTTGAGAGTAATTTGGGAAGTATAATTGACAGAATGGACATGGTGATCAATTGGCTGTTGGGGGTGAAGAGAAGGGATATGTCAAAAATACCCAGTTTCTTGTTAAGTAGATGGAAATATTATAACTAAGACTGGAAATAACATACCAAAAAGTACATAGAAGTATCAAAGGATTTGTGACAGAGAGAAATCTGAGTGGGTAAAATGTATAGGCAGGAGAAGGTGGTAGAGAGTAGATTGGTTGGTGGGTGTCTGATTGACATCCTAAACTTAATATGTCCAAAGCTGAACTTGCAATCTTTCCCTCCCATATGGCAATCTTATTCTTCTAGTTGTTTAAGTCAAACATATCAGAATTGCCCTTGACTCCTTTCGTTCACACCTCAAATTCAATCTGTAAAAAAACCCTGTCAACTCTGTCTTCAAAATACATCCAGAATCTGACCACCTCTCACTACCTCTAGCACTATAACTCTAGTACAAACCATGATCACCTCTCTCACTGATTATTGCAACAGCCTCCCAGCTAGCGTTCCTGCTTCTAGCCTTGCCCCCTTTGGTCTGTTCTCCACACAACATTAAAATTACCCTTTTAAAACAAATTAGATCCTGTCACTCCCCTGCTCAAAACACTGCACTGGCTCCCTGTTCCACTCAGAGTAAAA
This sequence comes from Homo sapiens, assembly GCF_000001405.40. NCBI lineage: Eukaryota > Metazoa > Chordata > Mammalia > Primates > Hominidae > Homo > Homo sapiens. The sequence continues at coordinate 72,541,460 of NC_000023.11, read as the reverse complement.
GCCGAAGTCCCTACCATGGCCTACAAGGCCCTGCACAATATCCCCTTTTCTCCTCTCCCTGGTAAAACTGCTATTCTCTGCTTTCCCTCACTGTTCTTCAGGCACTGGATTCATTGTGCCCCTTGGACATACCAGGCATGTTCCCACCTCTAGGGCTTTGCCCTTGCTATTCCCACTGCCTGGAATGCTTTTCCCCCAAGGATGTCCCTTCACTTCCTTCAAGTCTTTGCTCAAATAACACTTTCTCACTGAGGCCTTCCCTAACCACATTTTTAAAAAATTTGCGCACGAGAAAAAAAAAAAAAAGCCTCCTGTCATCCTTTTCCTGTTTTACTGTTCTCCATACCATTGATAATTGGAAAAATTACCTAATCTACTTGTTAATTATATCTATTTTGTTTCACCCTCCCGCCACCACTAGAGCATAAGCTTCATGGGGAAGGGAAGTTTTGTCTGTTTTGTTCCTTACTATAGCTTCACTGCCTAGAACTCTACCTGGCACATAGTAAGCCCTCATACAAGGCCCCAGCTCGTATTGTTGGGGAATGGACAAGCGTGAAAGTTGCAGTAGATGGGCAGGACAGAGATGAATAGGAAATGTTAATTCCCAACCCTTTAAGAGACTGTCCATCATAGTGTTACCAGTTGACTTACTGAATGTTAAAATGTTTGGGAAATAAAGTTATTAAATTGGAATGATTAGTTAATGCCTTCTCAAGATAGATTCTCAATAAATATTTGTTGAATGAATCAGTGGTAATATCTTGACAGATATCAAATTATCAGGACCGGGAGAGAGAGAAGGTGAGAGGTTCCACGTGGCAGTCAGAGATTACAGTGCTCACAAAGTCAAGCAGTCAGGATGTCAGAGATTCCAGCATATTGAACATTACTAGACTGTGGGCTGTTATATAAGCTTCACATTTTAACAAAAAAAAAAACCACTAGAGGGAGTGCAAGGTTAAATCAAGTATGTTCTCCGCTTAATGAAATTCTATTAACGTCATTCTCGTTTCTATTTATTGATCTATGTTCATCTAAACTGTTTCATCAGGTCAGAGCATTCTGCACCATTTTCTTTCACCAGTCCAGTATCTGACTCATAATAGGTCTTCAATAAATGTTTATAATTTGAATAAAAGAATGAAATAATGAATATTTAGAATCAACAGACTTTTCATCTTGAAATTTGTTTTGCTAATTAACAGTGGTTAGTATTTCCATTAAGAAACCATTCTTCAGAGTTCATAACCTGGCTGATAAAGATAACACTCATGATCCTTAGTCTTAAAGAATCTTTAGGCAAGAGGAGGAAAAGAGTCAGACTTGGAGTTTGTGTGCCTTATTTGTATAAATGATAGTGTCAGACAAGAGTGTATGTTGTAAAGCCAGAGCTAGGAGTCACTAAAGCCCCAGTCAGGCCTCTGCTCCCATATCAGCTCTTTCCTTCTCAGGAGGGGTGGGCAGCTGCTGAAGGATGCGGTTCCTCTGGGCTTGTTTGACCCCACGGGAATCATTAGCTCTGCTTTTGTACATGGGGATTTCACTGCTTGAGAAACCTGCTGTCCACAATGTGCTTGAGAGCTGTAGGGTTGTTCAGGAGAAAGAAAGTTAAACAGACTTTGCTTATTGTCTTAATCATCCATTGTTCTCACTGAAATTCTCTGAAGGGATTTTGGGTGTCTGGATTTGCAGCTTTCTGACCTGGGTTATTGTTGGGGGTGCGGAGCTCTTGTCTAGTTATCATCTGATGGCTGAAGCCTCCAACTGCCCTGGATCCAGGCCCATGAGCTGGGCCCTCATATTAGGAATTTTTCATTAATGGAATCATTTCAAATGGTCTGACAAAATAACCCTTTTTAAAATTTTGATTAACATTTTTTAAGAATGGTTTTAGATTTATAGAAAAATTGAGCAGATAGGCCAGGCACGGTGGCTCATGCCTGTAATCCCAGTACTTTGGGAGGCCGAGGCGGGTGGATCACGAGGTCAAGAGATCGAGACCATCCTGGCCAACATGGTGAAACCCTGTCTCTACTAAAAATACAAAAAAAAAAAAAAATTAGCTGGGCATGGTGGCGCATGCCTGTAGTCCCAGCTACTCGGGAGACTGAGGCAGGAGAATCACTTGAACCCGGGAGGCGGAGGTTGCAGTGAGCGGAGATCGTGCCACTGCACTCCAGCCTGGTGACAGAGTGAGATTCCGTCTCAAAATAAATACATAAATAAATAAATAAATAAATAAAATTGCACAGATAGTGTAGAGTTTCCATAAACCCCACACAGTTTCCTCTATTGTTAACATCTTACATGAGTATGAAACATTGTTACAATTAACCAATATTGATACATGATCACTCATTACAGTCCATAGTTTATTCAGAGTTTATAGTTCCTTAGTGTTTACATAATGTCCTTTTTCTGTCCCCAGATCCCACTAGGACACCACATTGCATTTAGTTGTCTCCTTAGGCTCCTCTTGGCTGTGTCAATTTCTCAGACTTTCTTTAATTTTGATGACCTTCACAGTTTTGAGAAATACTGGTCATAATACTCAGTACTACATTTTTCAGTGTGTTTTATGTATTTTAATGTATTTTTCCATCTATTTAATGGAATCTTTTCAAAAGCCTGAGAAACACAACCCATTTTTATTGCTCTTCTCAACACCTATTTTTATGATATGTCTGAACCGTTCCTGAAGCTAGTCCTTGCTAGAGGAGGGCAAGTGTCTCTAGCATTGGTGAATTTTCTAATACAGTATAGACTCCAGAGTAAGCCTTTCTATTTGTTTTCTGTTGTCACCAAACCCATCCTGATATCTTTTCTCAGGCAACTTTAAATGGAAATTGAAGGTGCAAACTCAAAGTTTGTATCTAAAACTAATTGATCTTTTGCCTTCTTTTTTCTTCTGATGTCTTAACTGTAGTAAGAGTCCTAATTTTTCAGTGTCAGTGTTTAAATATAAGAACCAAGGGACCGAGAGCAGTAGCTCACACCTGTAATCCTGGCACTTTGGGAGGCCGAGGTGGGTGGATCACCTGAGGTCAGGAGTTCGAGACCAGCCTGGCCAACATGGCAAAACCCCGTCTCTACTAAAAATTAAAAAATTAACCAGGTGTGGTGGTGCGCACCTGTAATCCCAGCTACTCGGGAGGTTGATGCACAAGAATCGCTTGAACCCAGGAGGTGGAGGTTGCAGTGAGCCGAGATGGTGCCACTGCACTCCAGCTTGGGTGACAGAGCAAGACTTCATCTCCAAAAAAAAAAAAAAAGAAAAACAAAACCAAGGGCTAAGAGAAAGGAAGTAAGTTGCATAGAGCCACATTATTCCACAGCTTTACCTCAATATGATTTTCTACCCCAACTTGTCTTTAATATAACTGTATTATCACCAAGATAAAACTCATCTTTTTTTCAGCATATTTGCAAATATTTAATCCAACTACCCACTCAGATTCTTATACAACTGATACTACTAAATTTAGTTGGAATGCTAGTAAGCTGCATTCACTTCCTCACTGGTCTTTGCTAGAATTCAGTGGATTTTTCTTCTGATAATCATTAGTTTCAATGCCTTTCATGTACTGTCTTTGGAATTTAGTAAAAATGGCTCTTTAAACTCTTCTGGAAACTAAGGACAAAGGTAAGGCATAAGGGGCAGAGGTAAGGCATAAATTGAGAGGAGCTTAAACCACTAGTCTTGCCTGATGTACTTTAATATAACAGTAATAATAAAGCATATAAAGTGGATCAAGTCAACTGGTAACTATGGACTTTATTCCAGACAACTAACAAATTTTCTTTAAGAGATTATGACAGCCTCCTCTGGGAGGCATCTTGAAGGTCACTAAGCTCTTGTTAATGCCTTGACCAGGAATCCCTATCTGTGGATTTACTATAAGAGGGATATATATCCATAAAGAAGGTACAACAATTAACTTCAGATTTCTGCTTGCCATTCAAGGCTTAATAATAAATAATAGCAGTATTTACTAAAAATTTCTCAAATGCATACTAATTGCAGGAAATGTATAAATAGTTGGAACTCAAGCCATTCACATGAGATAACATTAATTATTGGGTGTAATAGTACAAAATATGAAACTTTTAGAACTGTTCAGGTAAATAAAGGATCTTTCCACCTCATTAGATGGCAACTTTGGAATAGGCTCAACATTGGATACAGGTCACTGAGACTGAATGATTTATCTGTGCCATATACTTGAATACATTTTTGTTTCTGATTAAAGGTTGGTCTTCTTTCAGGTAATATCTGTAGTTAGTTAGCTCAGAAAGTTAGAGTATAGTGCTAATGAGGCCAAAACTATGATTTTAGTCCTTGTACAAACCAGTTAGTTTTCATTTACTCTAATGCTACTACTGGCTGCACCATTTCCCTTGGCCAGCCAGCTCTTCAAAAGCATATTCTAAGTCATAAGGGAGGCCAATCTGGGAGGCGTAGGTTGATAAATCTATCCCAGTTTTGAAGAAACAGCCCAAACCTTCTTTCTCTCTGTGCTGGGTCAATTACATCATTGTCACTGGTTTGGCTCACTATGCTGTTATGAGTACCCTAAAATGCAGAACTATGTCCACTGCCTCCTCTGTTTTATATCCTATTAGCTCAGGAAAGATTTTCATTCCATTGAGCACCAGACTGTGGGGTATATTTTTGGAAGCAAGTGTAGGTGTACCAGAGCCAAAAAAGGTTGGGAACAACTGTAGACAAACTGATCTCACTGTTCCTAGAGCTGCCAACTCTAGGCACAGAGCCCTTAAAGTGGACTATAAATGTCAAGTGGGTAGTTAAAAGAAAACCCATTATGTGGAACTAATTTCTGATTTCCCACAATTAGGTGCATGTATTTTGTGTGCATGTATATTTTATGTGGAGAGAAGCAGATGTGCACGAAGCTTATTTATTTAGCTATATGTATTAAATCACAATTGGGGGCTTAATGAGAGAAAAAATGTGAGTTTCATAATTACAATAGTTAAAACTTTGGATTTTTAATAAATATCTTTAAACTTATCATGATAACATTCCTCTGAAGGAGACAGGTAAGATTAGGGAGTTTTTGGTAAGATGAAAAACTGAAGCAGAGACCTAGGTCTCCTGGTTTCTACCCCGGTTTCTATCATGTAAGTGTCCAAGAGGACTTGCTTGATATAACTATGAAGTCAAATAACAGAAAGATTTCTGTTTTTTCCAGTCTCCTTCTTTGATAGAGGAAATAATGCAGTTATAAACACACCAGCTTGATCTGTAAAAGCCATTGAGTCAGTTCTCACAAGAGAGCTCTGCATTTGACAGCTACATGAACTGGGCCACAGAAGTAGTGAATGGGGTGTTACGAAAAGGAGCCCACAGAAGATATCATAACAAGGTTTGGACATTAGGCATGGAAACATCTGATTATATAATCTGTTAACCAGCCATAAGCTATAATGACATAGGCTAGGACTTGTAAGCTCATGTTTCCTTCCCTAGATCATTATACCCAGCAGTGAGGAAAAGAAAGCTAATGTGTTCTAATAGGGATGTCAGCACTATCTTAAAGATCAAGTACGGGTGTGCTCCAACTGAAAGAAATCTCAGGAAATAAAAGATGTGCCGTTACCAAATTTATAGATACAGGGATTTTGGATAGAGTATTCACTTTATAGAAGGGCTCTTCCCTATGACCGGATTTACCTGAGTTCCTTAAATTAAGTTCTCCAGTGAATTCAAGATTTGATTTACAAAGAATTATCACATGACTTTTCAGGAATATATTCCTGAATCAAATTTTACCATAGTATTACTATTTATAAAATGTAGGTATTTTATGATAGTATTACTATTTATACAATATAGGTATTTCACAATACACAGTCTATGCACTAACATAAAGCAAAGAGCAGATTTCACAGAACTTTGTTTTCCTGTTTTTTTTTGTAGCACCATATGAGATGTGTAGATTTACATGTAAGGTAAAGCATAAAAACCAGATTATGAGTACTGTCTAGAGAGAAGGAGAGACACAAGGGCACTAAAAGACTATGAGAATTCAATGGGCAAGAGATACAAAAAGAGAAAGAACACTGAAAATTTTAGCCATTTCCAATTTCTGGGAAAGCCATCATGATTTCTATCTCTGGTATGCCTCTCACCTCAGACCAATCAGTTGAATTTTCCTCCCCTGCTGATCTCCTGTAACCATTTCTGCCCTTAAACATAGAAATTACTTATAATGGTACAAATAGCATCATTTAATGAAGCGACAGTAGAAGCACCAATACCACATTCCCAGAACAGCTTAAGAGGTTTGATCAGCTAGTACTGAAAATAAGGAAAACAACGTACCTTGTTTGAAAGTAAGAATGAAACTTGCTAAGCCCAACCCTGGATCATAAAAGCTACAGGCTTGGGTAGGGGTGCTCTTAAATGCCAAAGTTACAGCTAGAAAAATGACCCTTGTCCTGACCTGCCAACAACCATGGAAATTTACAGAAGCTCCAACAACTGCAGCTCTGTAGAAATGGTGGACAGAATTATAAAAAGATATTTCAGAGCTTCTAGCTAATTGCAGTTAAACACCCAAAATGTATGAAGTGAATAAATTTCTAAAGGGCATCTTCCCACATCAGAAAAAGCATCAGCTGTTTTCTCCATCTTTCCATGTAATAATCAGCATATATCAAGTACTGGAACTACCATCCATAATTCTACTATGACGGGCCCCTTGAAAAGGTACATTTCAAGAATCATAACTTCTTTCCATTTATTTAGATCATCTTTAATTTCTCTCAACAATATAATTTTCAGTATACAAGTCTTGCACTTCTTTTGCTAAATTTATTGCTAGGGGCCGGATGCAATGGCTTATGCCTGTAATCCCAGCACTTTGGGAGGCCCAAGCAGTAGGATCACTTGCGGTCAGGAATTCAAGACCAGCCTGGCCAACATGGCAAAACCCCATCTCTACTAATTGTACAAAAATTAGCCGGGCATGGTGATGCGCGCCTATAGTCCCAGCTATTCGGGAGGCTGAGGCACAAGAATCGCTTGAACCCAGGAGTTGGAGGTTGCAGTGAGCCAAGGTCACACTACTGTACTCCAGCCTAGGCAACAGAATGAGACTTTCTCAAAAAAAAAAAAATATATATATATATACACATATATATATAGCTACGTATTTTATTCTTTTGATGCTATTATAAGTAGGATTTTCTTTCATTTTTGGATTGTTAATTGCTACTATATAGAAATAAAATTGATTTTTGTATTTTGATTTCATATCATGCAATCTTGCTGAACTATAACTATTAGAAGTGATAGTTTTTTTAGTAGACTCCTTAGGATTTTATACATACAAGATTATCTCATCTGCCAACAGACATAGTTTTACTTCTTCCTTTGTATTTTGGATGCCTTTCTTTTCTTTCTTTTTTTTTCTTCTTGCCAAATTGCCCTGGCTAGAGCCTCCAATATAATGTTGAATAGAAGTGGTGAAAGTGGGCATCCTTTTCTGTTCCTGATCTTATGGGGAAAGCATCTAGTCTTTCACCAGGCAGTATGATATTAGCTGTGAATGTTTGTAGGTACCCTTTATCTGGATGAGGAAGTTCCCTATTCCTAGTGAGTGTTTATATCGTGAAAAGGTGTTGGATCTTGTCAAATGGTTTTTCTGAGTCTGTTGAAATGCTGATGAGGTTTAATCCTTTATCCTAGTAATATGGTATATTATATTGATTTTTTGATGTTAAACCAAACCTGCATTCTTGGGATAAATCCTTTTTTGGTCATGGTATATAATTATTTTAATATATTTGCTGGATTTGGTTTGTTAGTATTTTGTTGAGGATTTTGTATCTATATTCATAAGGAAAAGACGTTAGTCTGTAGTTTTCTTATGATGTTTTTGTCTGATTTTGGTATCGGGGTAATAATACTGACCTCCTAAAATTAGTTGGGAAGTATTCTGTCTGTTTCTAGTTCTAGGAGACAATGTAGATAACTGGTATTATTTCTACTTTAAATGTTTGGTAGAATTCACCAGTGAAGCCATCTGGGCCTGGGCTTTCTTGCAGAAATTGATATGATGATTCTAAAATTCATATGGAAATGCAAGGGACCCAGAATAGCCAAAACAATCCTGAAAAAGAATAAAGTTGGAGGACTCACAATTCCCAATTTCAAAACTTACCATAAAGCTACAGTAATCAAAATAGTCTGTTACTGGCATAAGGATAGATACATAGATCAATGGGATAGAACTGAGAATTGACAAATAAACCCCACACATCCATGGTCAATTTTTGGCAAGAGAACCAAGACCACTCAATGGGAAAAGAATAGCCTCTTCAACAAATGGTGCTGGGATAACCTGATAACCACCTTCAAAAGAGTGAAGTTGGACCCCTACTTCACTCCATATTTAAAAGTTAAGTCAAAATAGATCAAAGACTTAAATGTAAGAACTAAAACTATAAAACTCTTTGAAGACAATTTAGAAGTAAATCTTTGTGACCTGGGTTAGGCTTCTTAGATATAATACCAAAAGCACAAGTAACAAAAAAATAGATTGAATTTCATCAAAGTTAAAAACTTGTGTGCTGCAAATGATTTATCTTCAAGTAAGTAGAAAGATAATCCATAGAATGGGAGAAAATATTTGAAAATAATATATCTAAGAAGGGTCTTTTATCCAGAATATATGTGTATAGAACTCTTGCAACTTAACAATAAAAAGAGCAATGACTCAATTGAAAAATGTATAAAGGATTCAAATAGATGTTTCTCAAAAAAAGATATACAAGTAGTCAATAAGAGCATTAAAGATGTTCAGCATCATTAGTCATCAGGGAAATGATGAGCTAAGGAGGAGGATCGCTTGAGCCCAGGAGTTTGAGGTTACAGCGTGCTATGATAAAGCCACTACACTTCAGCCTGGATGACAGAGCAAGATCCTGTCTCTAATTTAAAAAAAAAAAAAAAAAAAGACACTAGCAAGTATTCAAGAGGATTTGGAGAAATTGGAACCTTCATACATTGCTGGTGAGAATCTAAAATGGTACAGCTGGCCAGATGCAATGGCTTACGCCTGTAATCCCAACACTTTGGGAGGACAAGGTGGGAGGATTGCTTGAGACCAGGAGTTTGAGACCAGCCTGAGCAACATAGCAGGAACCTGTTTCTACAAAAAAAAAAAAAAAAAAAAAAAAATGCCCAACACGGTGGTGCATGCCTATAGTCCTGGCTATTCCAGAGGCTGTGGTGAGAAGATAGCTTGAGCCCAGGAGTTCAAGGCCATAGCAGTAAGCTATGATTTTGCCAGTGCATGCTAGCCTGGGCAACAGAGTGAGATCTTGTCTCAAAATAAAATAAAATAAAACAAAAAACATAAAATGGTACAGCCACTTTAGAAAACAGCTATGTAGTTCCTCCAAAGTTAAAAATATGACCCAGAACTTCTACTCCTAGGGATGGGAGTGTATCCAAAAGAACTGAAAATATATGTCCATACAGAAGTTTTTTATGCCATTGTTAACTGCCACATTATTCACTATAGCCGAAAGGTGGAAACAACCAAAATGTGCATCAATTGATGAATTTAAAAAGCAAAATGTGGTATATCCATACAGTGGGACATTGTTTCATAATAAAAAGAAATGAAATACTGATACATGCTACAACATGGATGAATCTTGAAACATTATGCTAAGTTAAAGAAGCTAGTCACAAAAGACCATAAATTGTATATTCCATTTGTATGAAATATCCAGAATAGGTACATCTATAGAGACAGAATGTAAATTAGTGGTTTGCCAGAGCCTTGGGGGGTTCAGGAGAAATGGGGAGTAGTTATTGTTAATGCATGCAGGGTTTCTTTTTGAGGTGATGAAAATATTCTAAAATTGGTTGTGATGGATAAACAAAAAAGTTGTTTTCTTTTTAAAGAAGAAGAATTAAAACTAGTAGGTCTTACAGTAGACTCATTATGCATATTAGTGACCAGAAAATAAAACTTTTCTGAATAATCACCTTTCTATTTTTCTGTTCAGTGGAAGAAATTGATAAGGAAACTGGGGAAATGGATAGAGAAACTGAGAAGTTGGCTCAAGTATCCCTCCAAATTTAACACTTTTCAGAAAACATATTCTGATCAGTTTTTCTTCTTTAGATAGTATAGATTTTATATAGTAATTCCACAGTTAAAACATCCTCTTTGAAGTGCAAATTTTCTATTGGGGGTGCTTTTCACATGAAATAGAAATCAGATCCATTGGCTACCCTTCACATACAAAATATAAGTCCAGACAATCCAAGTATGGCTTTAAAAGTCTGGCCTTAATCTACCCTTCTAGCCTCATCACCAATCATTCCTTGCTCTGGCTAATTCTTCAGTTCACAATTCCCCTGAGCCTTCCCATGCTTTTCCTCTGTCTAGAATGCCCTACACACCTCTTCTCCTCCTGGAAAACTGCTACTCCTTCAAGGCACGGCTTAATTGTCACCTTCACGGTGTTCTTCCTGACTCCCATAGACAGAATTAATTGCTCTAGCCTCTGTTTTAATAGGATTTGTTTTTGCCTCTAGCATATCATGTTATGTTATAATGTGTTAGTTTTTCGGTCTTCTGCCATTGGAGGCAGAAACCAAGTGTTTTTATACTTCTGTATCCACTGAATGTACTAAGTATAAGCCTGGCCCATGGTAAGATACCAATTAATGGCTGATTGATTAGAGGGTATGTATGTAGGTAGGTAGGTAGGTAGATAGACAGACAGACAGACAGACAGAATCAGTTAACTACTTGTGGTCTGGAAAAGGAAGCATAAGATAACATTCTCCTGCTCAGCGTTCTCAAGGCTTGATTATCAGCAATAAATATTTCCTGAACCCCTCTGAGAATGTATAGTATCATTGAAAATCCAAATATATACATAATGGTTTCTGCCCTTTAGGATCTTAAGAGATTAAGGAGATACGACTGAGATATATGCTGTAACCAAAAAAAAAAAAAAAAACGCATAAAATAGCATATGAGTATTCAGCAATTTAAGACAGATTATAATTGCTATCAGAATTCAGTGAGAAGGAAGCTATATCTTATTTCTATATCTCAGGTTTGGGGCTGCATGGTACAGCATTTCAGGCAACTGAGGGCTCTAGAAGTACCCTCCCAAGTAGATTTCCAAAGTGGTAATAGAAGGCTGATAACTCTCAGCCCTATGGTAGGCAGACAGTAAACTGCACTATTGATTTCCAAGGTGACCTAGTCAAGGGGAAAGTAAGCTGTGGCTCCTTGGAGCATTTTCAAGGCTTTTAGGCTATTTTCCACTGGGTAGATATATTAGTCCGTTCTCACACTATTATAAAGAACTAACTGAGACTGGGTAATTTATGAAGAAAAGACATTTAATTGACTCACAGTTCTAGAGGCTGTAGAGGAGGCATGGCTGGGAGGCCTCAGAAAACTTACAGTCTTGGCAGAGGGACAAAGGAGAAGAAAGCACATGTTACCATGGAGGCAGAAAAGAGAGAAGGGAAAAGTGCAACATACTTTCAAACAACCAGATCTCATAAGAACTCACTATCATGGGAACAGCAAGGGGGAAATCCACCCCCATGATCCAATCACCTCCCACCAGGTCCCCCCTACAACACTGGGGGACACAATTCAACATGAGATTTTCATGGGACCACAGAGCCAAACCATATCAGTAGGGAATCCCTGTATCTTTACCTGTTTTATGGAATGTAAAAAAAATCTACTTATTCACAAATGTGTATTGAGTACTGTATTAGTTTCTTATTGCTGCTGTAACAAACTTCTACAAATTTAGTAGCTTAAAACAACAGGAACTTATTATCTTACAGTTCTGGAAGCCAGGTGTCTGAAATGAGTCTTACAGGGCTAAAATCAAGGTATGGGCAGGGCTACATTTTTTCTGGAGGCTCTAGGGAAAAATCTGTTTACTTGCCTTTTCCTTGGGTCAAGAGCTATATTCATTGCTCATAGCCCCTTCCTCCAACTTCAAAGCTAGCAACATAGCTTCTTTTCTCTCTCTTATGCTTCCATCACATAGCTTCCTTCTCTTCCATGTCAAATCTCCCTCTGCTTCCTTCACAAAGACACTTGTGATTACATTTAGGGCCCACCCCCATAATGCAAGCTAATCGCTCTCATCTCAAGACCCTTAACTTAATCATATCTGCAAAGCCATTTTTGCCATATAATGTAACATTCATAGGTTCCAGGGATTAAGACATGGGTATCTTTAGGGTCCACTATTCAGCCTTTCACAGGTATTTACTACATAGCAGGCACTGTGCTAGGCACTTTTTATCTGTGCTACATTTATTGTGTCCATAGCTTTTCCCTCCTGCTATACTGTAAACTCCTGGAAGACAGAGTCCTTGTTGCTTTCTTGCTCCCAATGCCTAGTATGTGGCCTTGCTTGAGGTATATAATAGATACCAGGTAAATAATTAAAGAATGACATGAGCTACACCTTGTCACATAGTAGAATTTAAATTAACTTCATTCAACCAATGTTTATTGAGGCAAAGAGAACGGGTTTGGATATCTAGATAGATACAATTCAGCAAACAGTTGTTGAGCTCCTGCTATGTGCCAGATATCTTACTAGTTATTAAAGATAAGGACATGAGTAAGGTAGTTCCACCCCCTGAGGAAAAGTAGTGGGTAACCAGGTGTGCCCAGACTGGATAAGAATGGCCTGGTTGGTGGAGAAGCAATGTCCCAGCTTCAGGCACCTCTGAGGAGAGCAGGTTAATAAGGATGCTTCCTCCAGAAGGAAGCCTGAATGTCATATACCGTCACCACCATCATGACCCCCAGCCATTACCCCACGTTCCCTACCCTATCTGCTGCTGAGATGCCCTCTACTACATTACTGCCAAGCATTCTTCAGCTTCTGATTGCTCACCTCTTATCACAGGAAGCTCACTTTTCCCTGGGGAAGCCCATTTGATACTCAGGCCGTTTTAAAAGTTAACAAAATTCATTGAGCTAAAACAATGCCACTGCTCTTCCTACCTCTTCTGCCTCCTGCAGCCACACAGATTAATCTAATTTTTCAGTCTCATGACAGCCATTCAGGTATTTATAGAGACTCCCTTGAGTCATATCTTCTCATTCATCCATTTGTTCATTCAACAAATGCTTTCTGAGCATCTCTTGTAGGGCTGGCACTGTGCTAGGGGGTTGAGATAGAGATGAGTAGACAAAATTCTGTCCTCAAGGAGCTCCTAGTCTAGCAAACAGACAGCAGTACAGGTGTTCTAGGAGAAACAGAAGGAGATACAAAATGCTGTAGAAACAGGGTAGAGACCAACCAGCTGTACCTAGGGCTAAGAGGACAGAAAGGTGGGCCAGGCATGGTGGCTCATGCCTGTAAACCAAGCACTTTGGGAGGCCGAGGTGGGTGGATCACCTGAGGTCAGGAGTTCAAGACCAGCCTGCCCAACATGGTGAAACCTTGTGTCTACTTAAAAAACAAAAATTAGCCGGGCATGGTGGTGCACACCTGTAATCCCAGCTACTTGGGAGGCTGAGGCAGGAGAATCACTTGAACCCAGGAGGCGGAGGTTGCAGTGAGCCGAGATCATGCCATTGCACTCCAGCCTGGGTGACAAGAGCAAAACTCCATCTCAAAAAAAAAAAAAAAAAAAAGAGGTCAGAAAGGTGGTACTTCAGCTTGGTATCATTCGTTCATTCAGTATGTGTTTAGTACATGCTGTATGTCAGGAACTCTGCTAGATGCTAGAGATACAATAGTGACCTAGGATATTACCAGACAGAGTATGCCAGGCAAATAGATCAGCATTTGCAAAGTCAAGAAGGTGTTTATTCATGTATTTAAATACTTGTTTCGGTCATTGGGTTTTTACTGTGTTCCCATAAATGATGCTAGGCACTGGAGATAAAATAGACCACAATGACACTGTCCCTGGCTTCAAGAAGTTCATGGTCAACTGAGACTGACAAACTAGCATTCTACCGTAATGTAATTCATGGTTGTAATTGCCACAGAGTACTAGGAAAGCATATCAACAAAGACACTAAACTCAACTGGGCTGTGGGGAAGTGCCGAGTTCAGACCAGGCCTTTCTGAAGTATTGAGGCTGTTGTGGTACTTGAGCTGAGTCATAAGGGGCCAGGAAGCATTAGCCTGGCAGATGCAGAAGAAAAAGATAAGGAAAAGGGAACTGAACATGCAAAGGTAGGAAGGCATGAGAGAACAAGACTTGTGTTGAGAGCTGTCAAGAATTCAGCATGACTGAGGCAGAAAGTTTGGGTCAGTGGCAAGAGATGAGGCTGGAAATTTAGAAGAGGGCTGAATCCTTAAGGACCTTGTGTAACATACTAAAGTGTTTGGACTTTATCCTAAAGGCAGTGGGAAGCTAGAAAAGATCATTAAGCAGGGAAGTGACACAATCAGATTTTTCTTTGACAAAAATAACCCTGGCAGCAGTGTGGAGGATGAAATCCAGGGGGTGAGACTAGAGGCAGGAAGACTGGTACAGTCAGCCAGGGGCGCGATAATGAAGCCAATGGCAGAGGAAATAAGAAGGAGGGGCCAAAGGGAGGTTTTATGAAGTAGAATTATCCAAGAGAGGAAGACAGAATAAACAAAATTGACTCTAAGGTTGCCAGTCTGAGAAATGATGTTAAGAATACAGGAGGAAGAGTGGGTTTCAGGGCGTGATAATGATGTCATCATTGGTCATGGTGTCTTCGAGGTACCTGAGAGGTAGAAAGATGCCTGGTAAGCATTTGATCATAAGAGTGGAGTGCAGCAGAGTGGTCTGGGCATAAATGAGAATGGCATGTGCAAGTAACAATCCTTAATTCAACAAATATTTATTGAGGGCCTAGTATGTGCTATACACTGGAGGAAGTTCTCAAGGTCCTGGAGTTACAAAGGTGAATTAGACAGTTTCCACCCACTGAGAGCACACCCTAAAAGGAAAACCAAGATACAGAAACAAACCACGATAAGGCAGTGTAGAAATGCGGCGAGAGAGGTGTGCACAGTATATTATTAAGGGAGCATGGACAAGACACATCTAACCTAGGGGAGAAGAAGGATGGCTTCCCAGGTGATGTGCTGTCTTAGCTGAATCTTAAAGAAGAAATAGGAGTTAATCAAGTAAAAAAAAAAGAGAGGGTAGAGCATTCCAGGCAAAAGGGACAGCAAAAGCAAAGTTGGGGCAGGAGCAGGGAGAAAAAACAGTGTAGGCATTTCAGTATTGCTAGAGCACAAAATACAAGAAATGAAACTAAAGTACCTAAGGGCTGGGTCACAGGAAGCCTTAAATACCATGTTCAGGTAGTTTGGACTATAAATAATAGGGAGCTAGTGAAGAGTTTTTTAAAGAGGCAAGGTCTCACTATGTTGCCCAGGCTGGTCTCAAACTCCTGGGCTCAAACGATTCTTTTGCCACAGCCTCTTAAGTAGTTAGGATTATAGGCACAAGCCACCACACATGGCTAGTGAAGGTTTTAAAGAGAGTGACATGGTCAGAGCTGCATGCAAATGGGTCACTTGATGGCTGTGATTCCCCCTCCTAGAACATAAGCTCCATGAGGACCGGGATTTTTTTTTTTTTTTTTTTTTTTTTTTTTTTTGAGACAGAGTCTCGCTCTGTTGCCCAGGCTGGAGTGCAGTGGCGCGATCTCGGCTCACTGCAAGCTCCGCCTCCCGGGTTCACGCCATTCTCCTGCCTCAGCCTCCTGAGTAGCTGGGACTACGGGCGCCCGCCACAACGCCCGGCTAATTTTTTTGTATTTTTAGTAGTGACGGGGTTTCACCGTTTTAGCCAGGATGGTCTCGATCTGCTGACCTCGTGATCCACCCGCCTTGGCCTCCCAAGAGGACAGGGATTTTTGTCTCAGTGCCTAGAACAGAGAGCATTTAGTAAATACTCATTAGATATTTGTTGAAGGAAGGAATTAATGTAGGAGACCAATTTGAGGGGCCAAGACAAGAGGCAAGAAGGTTGTGACGCTAATCCTGGGTACAAATGATGAAGGTCTGGCCTGTGATTGGCAGTGGGAGGTGCAGAGAAGGCACTGGAGTCGTGAGCTGTGTACCAAGCTTTCGTCTGGGTAGATGGTGATACCTGCGATGATTTTATCCTCCTTCCAATCTATCATACTGACGGTCTGCTCTGTTCTCGATACTGCTAGACACCAGGCATGCAAAGAGAATTAAGATACGTGGCCTGCTTTTAAAAAGCTCTTAATCTCATGGGGTAGACAGACCAACCTATGAAAAGATAGATATAGGTATAATGCAGGAGGTGAGTGGCGGGCAAGACAGCATTACTGCTTGAGCTCTGCCTTCTGTCAGATCAGTGGTGGCACTAGTATCATAGAAGAGTCAAGTGTATTGTGAACTGCGCATGCCAGGGATCTAGGTTTTATGCTCCTTATGAGAATCTAATGCCTGATGAAACTACCCCCAACCATGCCCATGGAAAAATTGTCTTCCACGAAACCAGCCCTTGAGGCCAAAAAGGTTGGGGGCTGGTGGTATAATGTATCATGTATTAGTGTTATGAGAGAGTTCAGAACTAGTAAGGGCACCATGTAGGGAATAGCTACATGGGGGAGGAGTAGGGAAAGGCTTCATGGTAGTGACATTTGAACTGGTTGTCAGACATGGGAAAAGGGGTTGCCAGGCAGAGCAGGGAGAGCGTGGCATTCTGGGATGATGAATCTTGTGCATGGACGTGGAATTGTGAAGGGACTTGATCAGATTCCAGGACTAGTGAGAAGCGGGTGTAGTAGTAGCTAACAATCACGGGTATCACCATCTACGCAGACAAAAGTTAGACACACAAGCCTCCAGTATCTCCATAGACTGTTGATTCTACCTCCTAAAAAGTTCTTGACTCCAACCCTTTCTCTGCACCTCCCACTGCCAATCTCAGGCCAGGCCTTCATAGTTTCATAAAGCCTGTGTTAAGATTCTGAGGCCTCATCTGGGCTTAATGGGAAAGAGCGCTGTGATCAATTAGCAATGTCTGCCATGGGTATAAGAGTGAAGAATGGCAGCATGCATGCCACATCCCTGGGCATCCCTAGGGCATAGGGTATGAGGTAGAGAATGGCAGCAGCTGGTACCTTAGAATCCAGTTTTGAGTGTGATAAGACTGAAGTACTTCTAGGCTAGGGATGTCCGGTTGATAAGTAAATAAAGAGCTCAGAAGATAGGTCAGTGATGAAGATATAGATTTTTGGAGTTATCAGTATACAGATCAGAAGTAGACAAACTATTTCTGTAATGGTCCAGCTAGTATTTTAGACTTCACAGGCCATAGAGTTTCTGTCATATCTATTCAGCTTTGCTGTGGCAGTGTTAAAGCAGCCATAGACAATATTGGAATGAATGGGTATAGCTGTGTTCCAATAAAACTTCATTTACAGAAACACATGACAGGCTGGGTTTGGCCTGTGGGCTAGTTTGCCTACCCCTGATGTGTATGGTATACAGAATATAGTCCTACCTGGTGTCAGACAAGACCTGAGTTTGAGTCCCAACTCTTACATACTAACTTTGTGACCTTGGATAAGTCAGTTCAACATTCCTGACTCCATTTTCTCATCTGTAAAATGGAGATTGGTGATAGAACCTACCTTACAAGATTACTGTGAGGAATAACTAAGCTTTTCCATATAAGCACTAGTTATAGTCCCTAGCACATAGTAAATTCTCAATAAAGGTTTGATAATCGTTAATATCACTATTACTATTGGGATTGTTCATGTTGTTATAGATTTTAATTAAGATCAGAAGAGTGGATGGGATCACTGAGGAAAAGTGGGTAGAGCTGAAGAGAAGAGAGCATCAACATTTAGGGGGCAAACAGAGGATTGGAAACCAGAGAAGGAAACTGAGAAGGAACTGGCAACATTGTAGGAAGGGAACCATAAAGAAGTAGTGTATAGGAATCAGAGGAAAGAAAGTGTTTTAAGAAACGGGTGAGAGGCAAAGGTCTTCTACACTAGAAAAATGGGCAAAGGACATGAAAAGGCAGTTATCAAAAGACATACAAATGGATAATAAATATAAGATGTTCAGTTTCACTAACAGTCAAAGACGTGAAAACAAAATCATGTGTTTTTAGTGTTTGCCTATGAGATTAGCAAAAATTTAAAAGATTGACACAATGTTACCATGGCTGTGGGAAAACAGGTACTGTTTTATATTTATTGGTGGGAATGTAAATGTTTTTGTACTTTCCAGAGGACAGTTTAGCAATATGTATCAAAATGAAAAATAAGCCGATTCTGTGAGACAGCAATTTTACTTCTGGGAATTTACCCCAAAGAGATAGAAAATTATACAAACGTATTTTTTAAATACACATAATGACATTGGTCCTAGCATTATGATAGCAAAAGCAACATAAAATATTCAACAATAGAAGAATTATCATGGCAGACAGACACAATGGAATATTGTACAGCCATTTAAAATGATGACAGAGCTCTACACTTATTGACGTGGAAAGTGTCCATGACAAATTGTAAAAAGGTTATAAAACAGCAGGGTAGCATTGTCTCCATTAAGTAAAACTTTGCTTCCTAGCAAATAGTGTTTTTTGTTTGTTTGTTTTCTGGATAGTGAGATTTCAGATCATTACATTTTTTGTCAAAGGTTGAATATTTTTTACTGAGCACATATTACTTGATAAAAACAGTAACAAGTACTGTGTTGGTAAACCAGCTCTCTGAAAAAATAAAGCCTCAATTTATAGCAGTTGTCAATTTTAGTAATATAAATACTCCCCAAGGCTTGCAAAATTTTTAATATGCAGCAATCGGCTCTTACCAGCTGGCTCTGGCATACCACTGGCAATGACTCTGTTTAAAACTCAATAATGTGGTGTATGTTTACCAGTGTCAAATGCTAATCAAGTAAGATGAAGATTAAAAATTACCTATCACTGATGTGCCTGGTAAAAGGCATTTCAGTGGAACAGACAGTTGCAGAATAAATGGGAAATAAGGAAGTGGAGAAAGCAAGGCATTTTGTAGTCAACAGAAGGAAAGACATGGGCAATTGCTTGAGGGAGATGTAGAGTCAAGGCAAGTTTAATTTGAAGGAGTGGAAAGAAATACCAAACAGAGATAATGTTACAAACTTTTTCATTTCTTACTTTTGAATAATCTTTAGAGTTCAAAGTATGCATGCACGTGAAAGTTCTTGAAACAACCCTTCCTTCGTGTTGGTGTTATTATCATTACCACTGTATATATGGAGAACCTGAGGTTCAGAGAGGTTTAGTGGCTTACCCCAGGTGTCAGAGAGTGAGCCACATTTGTGTGTGCCTGTTGGGTTTCACCCACTGGGTAAGCCCTGAAAATAGGGAGACGGATAAAATGTGGCCACTAGCACAAATGCCTCAATCCTTCTCGAACCTGAGTCTCCCTCTTCTATAATTTTAAGTTCTTTTTCTGCTTGTTCTGGGAAGGCCGTGGCAAGCCATGAACCTGGGTATGGATTATTTGTCTCTGATTGGATGAGAAGAGAAGCTAGCCCAGCATGAGAGCGCAAGTGGTTATTAGCAACAATGAAGTTGAGTATGTTGAGGACCGAGAATGGGTCTGTTGGATTTGGCAATCAAAGATTACTGCCATATTTACAGTGGTGTAAAAAGAACAGGCTGAGGAGCAAATGAACAATAAGGAAATAAAGGCAGGGGAGAGAGAGACAGAGACAGATAGAGAGAAAAGAAGAATTATAGTAAATATGGGTAATTTTAAAAGCACTTGTTTTTAGTGCTCAAATTATCCCAAATTTGGCCTTTGAGCTGGCTCCTATGTGTTTGTGACATGACCCCATCAGTTTTTCAGCACCTTTAATTTCTGGTGAACAAGGTTTCCCTGGTTTTCTGAACTATCCCTGCTCCAGCCCTGGAATCAGCCGTTTCTCTCAGAAATCCTGGTTCCTTTTAGTAGGGAATGGCATTTCAGTACCAAAATCTAGGTACTGGGTATGCTCATTGCCACTGGCATGCATTGCTTGCCTTTTCTGTAGACCAACCTAAGAAATATATAATTTTTAAAGAAATTATGAAAAGATTGAAGGAAATGGATTATAGCATAGTCTATAGTGCTACTCCAAAGACAGCGAGAGAGAGGGGGAAAAAGGGAGAAAGACCTACTTTAGAGCAGAACAGCAGCTAATAAATGTAGAAGGTAGACTAAAAAAAAAATCACTGTTTTGCAGCCCCCCAGTACAATAATTGATTTTGGCAAAGATCATCAGATGGATGCTAAAACCTTTGAGCAGAAAGGTCCTTGAGAACAGGATATTCACACAGTTTCAAATTATCACCCCACAGATTCCTTGCTAATTACAAAGAGGAAAATGCACATTTACAATAGGAAAATCTGGCAGTCACCAGGTTAAACAAGTTATTAAACTCAGCATTGTCAGTAGCAGGACAAGCTGACATCGTGCTTTCTGATGTGATCTCAGATGAAGTACAAAGCATCATTTATGAAATATTCTTGCCAGAAATGTTTATGAAGAAACAATTAGATGAACCTAGAGTGTGGGATATCCAACAAGTGAACTAGCCTGGACTCTTCAGAAAGCCATTATCATGAAAAACAAAAGAAGGTGGAGGAATTGTTCTGGATTTTAGAAAACAATGAACTCAAATACAATGTGTCAACCTTGAATGGATTCTGAATTGGAGAGAAATCTTAAACAATTATTAAAGACATTTTTGGAATGATTTGGGAAATTTACAGACTATATTAGATGATATTCTTGAATTGATGTTGATTTTCTTAGGCATGATAATGTAGAAGTCTTTTTCTTAGGAGATGCATGATGAAGTGTTTAGGAGTGAAATGTCATCATATTTGTAGCTTACTTTCAAATGGCTCAGCAAAAAGTGTGTGTGAGAGAGAGACAGAAATGTGGAAAATTATGACAATTGGTGAATCTAGGCAAAAAGGTATATGATTGCTTGTCATACTATTCTTTCAACTCTTCCATAAGTTTGAAATTTTTCAAAATAAAAAGTTGGAAAAAACAGTTCTTTTAAAGCCTATGAAATGTATGATGAGTTTCAGCAAATGATGCTGGGACAATTGGATATGCAGATGCAAAATGATGAAATTAGACCATTACCTCAATACCATAAACAAAAATTAACTCAAAATGGAAAAGAGACCTAAATGTAAGAGGTAAAACTAAAAAAACTTTTAGAAAAACAAACATAGGAGATTTTTGAGACGCTGGTTAGGCAAAGATTTAATACATATAACAACAAAAGCATGGTCCATAAAACAAACATTTGATAAATTGAACTTCATCAAAATTTAAAACTTGCCCTTCAAAAGACAATCTTTGAAAATTAAAAGACAAGCTACAGACTAGGAAAAAATGTTTGCAAATTTCATATATGATAAAAGTCTTGTATCCAGAATATACTGTTACAATTGAATAATAGACAGACAACCCAATTTAAAAATGGGCAAAATATTTTAATAAATACTTTGTCAAAGAAAATATATGGGCCAGGTGCAGCTGCTCACTGAAGCCTGGCCTGTATATTCCGGCACTTTGGGAGGCTGAGGCAGATGGATTACTTGAGCTCAGGAGTTCAAGACCAGCTTGGGCAACGTGGTGAAACCCCATCTCTACAAAAAATACAAAACTTAGCTGGGTGTGGTGGCACATTCCTGTAGTCCCAGCTACTTGAGGGGCTAAGGCAGGAGGATCACTTGAGCCCGGGAGGTTGAGGCTGCAGTAAGCCATGTTCGTGCCACTACACTACAGCCTGGGTGACAAAGTGAGACCCTATCTCAAAAAAAGAAAATTTATAAATGGCCTAATAGGCAAATGAGAAGATGCTCAGTATCATTAATCAGTAGGAAATCACAAATGAAAACTACCATGAGATACCATTACTCATCCACTAGAATAGCTGTAATCAAAAAGATAGACAATAAGTGTTGGCAAGGATGTTGAGAAATAGGAACCCTCATACATTGCTGGTGGGAATGTAGAATGGTACGGCTACTTTGGAAAACAATCTGACAGTTTCTTAAGAAGTTAAACATAAATTTATCATATATCCCAGCAGTTCCACTCCTAGGTATCTACCCAGTGAAAACATACCTCTGCACAAAGACTTGCACATAAATGTTCATAGCAGCTCTATTCATTATAGCCAAAAAGTGGAACAACCCAAATGACCATCAACTAGTGGATGTATAAACAAAATGTGAGATATCCATACAAGGAATACTATTCGGGAATTAAAAAGGAATGCAACATGAATGAACCTCAAAAACATTATGCTCAGCAAACGTGCTCCTAGGTTATTTACACAATTGACTTGAAAATGTATGTCCACATGAAAACGTATACACAAATGTTTATAGCAGCTTTATTCATAATTGTCAAAATCTGGAAGCAAGCAAAATGTCCATCAGTAGATGAATGGATAACTAAGCTGTGTTACATTCATACAATGCACTATTATTCAGCAATTTTTAAAATGAGCTATTAAGCCCTGAAAGACATGGAGGAAACTTAAATGTATATTGTTGAGTGAAAGAAGCCAATCTGTATGATTCCAACTATTTGATATTCTGGAAAAGGCAAAACTATAGAGACAGTAAAAGAAATTAATGGTTGTCAAGGGCTTGGTGGGGAGAGGAAGGGAAGAGAGGAGGGATGAATAGCTAAAGCACAGGGGATTTCTAGAGCAGCGAAACTATTCTATATGATTCTGTAATGGTAGATACATGGCATCATGTATTTGTCCAAAGTCATAGAACTATATAACACTAAGAGTGAACCCTCTTATAAACTATGGACTTTAATGAATAATTATGGGTCAATATTGAAACAAACATATCACGCTAATACAAAATGTTAATAATAGGGAAAGCTGTGTGCAGGGAAGAAGATATATGGGAATTCTGCTCTATCTGCTCAATTTTTCTGTAAATCTGAAACTGTTCCCCAGAACTATACTAATTTAAAAAAATGATGCTAAGTGAAAGAAGACAGATAGAAAAAGACCACATCACATATTATATAATTCCATTTATATGAAATGTCTAGAAAGACAAATCTACAGAGACAGAAAGAAGATGAGGGGTTGCCTGGGTCTAGGGATGACAGCAGGGATTAACTATAAATGGGCATGAGGGATCTTATTGGAATGGTGAAAATATTCTAATACGAGATTATGATGATGAATTGCACAACTCAGTAAATTCACTAAAAATCATTGAATTGTATACTTAATATGAGTGAACTTTATGGTATCTAAATTATACCTAAATCAAGCTGTTAAAAATTCATTTGATCTCACATTTTAAAATTATTTTACATTAGTTCCTTATAACTATGAATCATGTAAAAAATGTATAATGAGATCTCATGTTCATGGATCAGAAAACTTAATATTGTTAAGATGGCAATACTCCCGAATTGACCTAAAGATTCAACACAATCTCTATCAAAATTCCAGCTGGCTTGTTGTAGAAATTGACAGGCTGATCCTAAAATTCATATGGAAATGCAAGAGACCCCAAAACAACTAAAATAATCTTGAAAAAGAACAAATTTGAAGGACTCACACTGTAATCAAGACCATGTGGTCCTGGCATATGGATAGACACGCAGACCAGTGGAATAGAATTGGGAGTCCAGAAATAAACCCTCACATTTATGATCAACTGACTTTCAACAAAAGTACTAAGACAATTCATAAGGGAAGAACAGTCTTTTCCACAAATGGTACTAGGATCTACATGCAAAAGAATGAATTTCAATCCCTACCTCAAGCCATACATAAAAATGAATTCCAAATGGATCATAGGCCAAAATGTAAGAGCTAAAACTGTGAAAGTCTTACAAGAAAGCATAGGAGTAAGTCTTCATGACCTTGGGTGAGGCAAAGCTTTCTCAGATATGTCACAGAAAGTACAAAAAAAAAGAAAATATAGATAAATTGACCATCAAAACTAAAAGCTTTTGGGCTTCAAAGAAAGTGAGAAAAACATCAAGAAAGTGAAAATACAACCAATAGAATGGGAAAAAGCATTTGCAAATTATATTTCTGATCAGAGATGTGTCCAGAATATATAAATAATTCTTACAACTCAATGATGAAAAGACAAATAACCTAATTCAAATATAGGCAGAAGATTTGAATAGATGTTTATCCAAAAAAAAATATAAATGGCCAATAAGCACTTGAAAAGATGCTCAACATCATTAGTCATTAGAAAAATGCAAATTAAAACCACAATGAGATGCCACTTCACTAAGATGGCTAGAATCAAAAGGTCAGATAATAACAAATGTACATGAAGGCATGGAGAAATTAGAATCCTCATACATTGCTGGTGGGACTGTAGAATGGTGTAGCCACTTTGGAAAGCAGTTTGGCAGTTCCTCAAAAGCAAACCATATAACTGCAAATGCACGCCATTATCCATTAGAAGCTTCTGAGGAACAACAAGAAAGCCAGTGTGCCTGGAGCAAAGTGAGTAATTTGGACAGTGGCACAAGAGGACAGAGAAGTTGCCATAGGCCACATCATACAAGGCCTTATGGACCATGGGGCTTTGGATTTTATTCTAAATGCGACGGAATTTTAAGCAAGGAGTCTTTGTTCTTAGTAAGTTTATAATGTCCACTGTAATGAATGAGAAAAAGACAATTAGAAGAAGTGCTGAACATCCTTGAAGGCCCACCTGTGATGGGAACCATAAGTGTTTAATGTGTGTCTGCAGTTATAGTTTTGTGGGTTTTTTTCCAAAAGCACTTGGCTGTCCTAGCTTTGAAAGCAGAGAAAATGGCAGAAAGGGGTCAGATGCTAAGAGGAAACTAAACATGCTAAACTCGTAAGTACTCAGGCAGGTTCTTACAGAGAAAGATGGAATTTTCAGAAGCCCTTAAGAAAGGGAATGCTGTATTTCTACTTTTTGCCATCTTTTACTGCTTTGCTGTAAACAATTAGATGCAATTAACTTAGTGAAAAAAAAAAACAAGAATCAGAAGATTTAAATATGAGCCTCAGCTTTCCCGGTGACTGTGACACTACAGGTAAATTGCCAAAGTTGACAACCTTAAGAAAGCTAAAGAAGCTCTTTCTGGCTACTTGTTAAGTCACACCAAGAAATTAGCTTTATACCATTAAACTAAACTCATTAACCTTTCTTGGCAACAATTCTGTCTCGCAAATTTCCTGTCTTACTGTTAATAAATTTCTCCTGATGCAGTTTAGCCCATTCTGCCTGGTACTAATGATAGACTAAAAGATAGTTTACATCAGATCTCATCCCTTCTCTGCTCAGAACCCTCCAATGGCTTCTCATCTCACTGAAAGTAAAATCCAAACTCCTTGCAGTGGCCTACAAGCCCCTGTGATGTCCCATCAGACAGCTTCTTGTACCCCTGTCCTTCATTACCTGTGTTTCAGCCATACTGGCTGCCTTTCAGCTTCTCAGACCAGGGAAGTTTTTTCCTGCCTCAGACCTTTTGCAGTGCTAGTCCCTCTGCACTTTTAAAAAGTGATAGACCAGTGAACTTTTCATTAAGTATGTCCAAAAAGTCCTGAAGACTTCTCCATCTCAGTATGGATGAGTTTCTTTTCACCTTTTGGGTCTCTATTTAAATGCTACCTCCTCAGAGAAGCTTTCACTGGACTGACCTATCTAAGCCCTACACACCCCACTGCTCTATCACATTCCTGTGTGTTATCTTTGCAACATTGCTTGTCACAATAGGGCTGTTTTCTTATTTGGTTGTTTGCTTACCTATTTATCATCTGTTCCACATACTTCCCCCCCACCCCCCCCCCACACACACTGAAAGATCCTTGAGAATGAGGTATTATCTGTCCTGTTCATCATTATTCCCAGAGTGTAGAACAGAGTACTCAATACAAATTTGCATGTTGAGGGAGGAAGGAAGGGAAGGGGCTTCTTGTTATCCATGCCCTGCTGTTAAGTAAGCCCAGTTTTCCTCAAGATTATTTCTTAAATGTAGTATATATTCACAATGGAATATTATTCAGCCTTGAAAAAGAAGGAAGTCCTACCATTTGTGACAAGATGAATAAACCTGGAGGGCATTAGGCTAAATGAGCTAAATCAGTACCACGTGATTTCACTTATATGTGAAATCTAAAAAGGTCAGACTCAAAAACAGAGAAAAGAATGGCGGTTACCAGGGGTAGAGAAGGGGGAAATGGGGAGATGTTGGTCAGGGGATACAGTTTCAGGTACACAAGATGAATACGTTCTGGAAAGCTAATGTACAACAATGTGGCTATAATAATAACTTTATTGTATACTTGAAATCTGCCAAGAGAGTAGATCTTAAGTCTTCTCATCACAAAAAGTGGTAACTATCTGCAGTGATGGATATGTTAATTAGCTTGATTGTGGTGGTTATTTCACAGTGTATATGTATTTCAAATCATCATATTGTATACCCTGAATATATATCATTTTTAATTATCCAATATACCTCAATTTTTTTAAAAAAAGATTATTTCTCAAGCCCTCAAGTTATTTGGATTGACCTCTCCTAGCCTCTTCTGTAAGTGGAATAAAATTCTAATTTTTGGACTGGTCCTGAGTATCAAAGAGAGGCTTATCATATTACAGACTTTCGGAGGCCGAAACAATAGAAGTCATCTGTTCTAACCTCTCTGTCCATATAGAAACCTTTGCCATAAGCACCTATCTCAGAAATTTCTTAGAGGTGCCTCAACAGTAACTATAGGAAGTAAAGGGGTGGCTAAATACATAGGGTTCTGGACCTCCAAATGCCCACTCTCTACTCACTTTACCAGCCCCTACTTTAACCAGAGCAAAGCTGATTTTGTTTGTTTTATGTATTGGGATTCCACATAAAATTTTATTTGAGAAAAACTTCTGCTGCTTAAGAAAAGTTTGAAAACTACTAATCTAACCTGTGCCTGAACATGCACAGTGACCAGGAATTTACTCTTAATATTCCTTCATGCTGTTTTTATATCTCTTATATCTCTGTCTTCAACTTTCAAAGATGACCCTACTGACAACAATCACCATTTATACATGTGCCTGTCACTATAAAGACAAATGTACCACCAAGTGGTTATTTCTACATTTAAAGCCTGTCCACCGGTTTCAGGCAGCATCCGTAAGTTAAAGAAACTATTTCATAGATTCATCTTGATGCTAGATGGTCTGTGCAGCCTATATTGCTATCCTGCAGTACTCAGAACCACTTCAAATATGACCTTACATCATATCTTCCACCCTCCTGATCTGTTTCACATCAGTGAATTACCTTCTGAGTTTCAGTATTAAATTTCACGCTGGTGATAGCCACCCACTTTGCCAACTGATTCAAGTCATTTCCATTTTAAGTGTGTTTACCAAACAATACTACCACATCTAACTTTATTTTTGGACCTATTTAATGAAAAGTTTCTCATCTATCACTTAAAAGAAAATGGTTAATGGTGTGACTCTTGACCCAGGATCAGCCTCTACATAAATCCATGCTTTGTTTCTCTTTTTGTTTATGACTGGGGACAGTTGAACAATGGGTCACAGGCCCTTAAAGCTTCCTGATTTTGGTACTGACCAGTACATTTTTAAAATAATCTGTTCCAGTGTTTCTCTAGTTTATTACATTTTAATTTGTAAATGTATAATCTGGAGGTTATTTTTCTCTTTTATTCAAGATAAATAATACAAATATTCTTCTTCATTCTCTAGGCATTTTACAATTCCTATAAAATCTTTAAAATTAAAAAAAAACTTGGCCAGGCGCAGTGGCTCATGTCTGTAATCCCAGCATTTTGGGAGGCTAAGGCAGGCAGATCACCTGAAATCAGGAGTTTGAGACCAGCCTGGCCAACATGGCAGAACCCTGGCTCTGCTAAAAATACAAAAAAATTAGTTAGGTGTGGTGGTACACGCCTGTGGTTCCAGCTACTCAGGTGGCTGAGGCAGAAGAATCACTTGAACCCAGGAGGCAGAGGTTGCAGTGAGCTGAGATCATGCCACTGCACTCCAGCCTGGATGACAGAGAGAGACTCAGTCTCAAAAAAAAAAAAAAAGTAATTAGAAAAAGTTTAAAGCATAGCATGTGCTAAGCACTGTGCTAGGTACCAAAGGTGAATAATATACAGTCTTTGCTCTCCAAGAGTATGTAGTCTAGTGGAGAAGACAAGTACAAGAAGTAATCATTGCAAACTAGTTTGAGAAGTACTATGGTAGAGGTTTGAATAAACTGCTGGAGCACAAAAAGAGGGATCAACTTTCTTTGCCTGGGAAAGGAAGCTGGAACTTCAGAGATGTCTTCACAGCTGTATCTTAAAGGATGAGTAGGAGTTCATCAGAGGAGATGGAAGTCATTCTACAAGTCCAAAACTATGCATGTACAAAGGCCCAGAGGCTTGAAGAACATTTTATGTTTAGAAAGTGAGAGAAAAGTTTGGTGTGGTTAAGCTTTGAGTACTTGAGGGCAATAGTGAGATAAGAGGACTGAGAAGTAGGCAGGGACAAAATTATGAAGGGCCTTGCATACTACGCAAAAGAAAGGATCTTTCTTCCTGTGGGCATGGGGACCTACTGAGAGGCTTTCAAGCAGGGTAGTGATATTGTCAGGGTTGTGCTTTAGGAAGGTCTAATTAGCAGTGTAAAGTGTGCGACCCAGGAGGGGACAGACAGCAGGAGGAGTACGGGACTGCCAGAGGCTCTGCAACGCTCTGCAACGTTTGGCCAACTCCTTAAGTGCTCTGGGGTAGATTTCCTATTTGTTTCTCAATTGTAAAAGAGGAATAGCCTTTTCTTCCCCTACTTCACATAGAGCTAATGAGACTACATGAGATCATAAGTCCTCTGAGCCTCTTAGAAGACAGCTTCGAGGTTTGGACTAGATGGTTGAAGGTGGAGACAAGCACAGGCTGCACGATATAATTGAACTCATACTCGTGCACATTTTATGCATTTTTAAAAATGTGTATTAGTCTTATAGCTTGATTCAACTCAGTTGTGAACTCAAGGGCAGGATCCAGAAATCTTGTGTTGACCACAACCCCTAGCACAAAGGGAGAGCACTGAATGAGTCCTCAGCACCTATCAGAAGGTTAATTGCATAGAGTGTCCCCTCTCAGGCAGACCACCTGAGACTGAAGCATCACAGGAAGGCCACAGTATTATTTGGGACTAGTGGCAATGTTATATTTCAAGGTTCATTATCTAGGAGTGGCCAAAAATATTCCATGCTTTGTTTGACCAGGCCTATGAGGACCAGGCAAGGCCCCTTTACTTCCTGCCTTTAGCATGACACTCCTCTGTAAATACAAGAGGTAAATTCATAGAATTTCCCTTTCTATAAAGTATAATCACCATTTTGCTAAGAAGTCGCAGCCTACAGATGAAAGATATTGAGTAGAATATGTGCATATTATTATTATGAACAATCTTTCAGAATTTAGCTACTTGTTTACAGAAAAAGTCTAGAAAGAATGCTTAAAATTTTATATCTGTCTACTTAGTGTTGTAATTAATGTAGCTATAACATGACAACACCCTAGATGTTTGAAATCCAAGTTTTGAACCATTTCAGTAATATGTGGTCAAACGTTATAGAGGGGCCAAAAGGATATTTGAAGAGCATCCATGTGTTTTTGTTGTGTGTCAAAAATTACTCTAGATTTTCATCAACCAAAGCCAGAAAATCTGAAAGCTTTCCCTGCATTTTAAAGCAAACACTCTTCTCTCTCTCCTGACTTGACAGAGATTGTGATCAGTCCACTGAACACAATGGCATTTCCTCCTATCCACACCTAATATAAACTCCAGCCAATTTAATGGGGTCTATTACATAGTTTGGGGATGCAAGCACATAAAGTCTTTGGCTCTTGAGACACTCATCTTGTGTGCCAGGACCAGGTGCAGAAATACAAATACATATGTATTAAGCCCGAGACAGCTGCTTTGCCGGTGCTTTTAACTAGAAAGGTTGAGCCGGCACAATTTCCATCAATTATACCTAAAGTGTTCTTTTTCTTGTGGAGGAAGAGAGTACATTTAATTCGTCTACCCAGTACTGATGTCTAAACCATTAAGGTTTTTAAGTTCATTAAATGAGAGGTGAAAATCAAAAGTGATATTTTCAACTAACTAGAATTCTCAGAAAATGGGGTTTCTGGTTAATTGAATTTTCTGGCTTAGTGGACAGTTATACTAGACAGACTTTTTTTGTTCTATCCATGTTCTTTAACCTCTTTTTAAAATGTACGTATACATTTTTGCCTTAGTAAGCACAGTGGACTGAACCTGATTGAATCTTGCTATCACTAAAAGTTACACAGTGTTTCTGTACTCTGACTTCTATTGAATAAGATCATTGGAGATAGAGGATAGTGACTAAATCTGGGCTGAACCTGAGATATACCCTGGGAAACTGCTTTTGGAAACCTGTTTGGTTTTGGTTTCTTCTTATTTGCTTCTTTCCCTAAAAACAGAGTACATAAAAGAAAAATTCATAGCCAAGTGAAGATTTTGATTTGCTAACCTACATTTTACTGAATAAAAACATATTTTAGGGCAGGAAAATTGTACCTAAGTAATCTGAAAAAAAGTGTGCTAAAGAAGCTTACAGCCAGAAAAATGTGACCTTGCATGTCCAAAGGAAACAAGCAGTGAATTTAGTTCATCATGACCTATCTACTCAATTTATTCCCTAGCTGAATTAATCTTACAGCAATTTTCACGGACCCACTCACCACTTGGATTTTTCTGTAGTGCAAATGTTAGGTTTTATGAACTATCTAAGATTCTTGGTGGTGAACAGAACTGCTTTATACTTTTTTCCATCCATGTACCTTAAATGGTATAATTATTGAAAGGGAAAGATGGCCTATGGGTCCAAAAACTGGCCTTCCAGCACTTTTCACCATCATGGACTCATAGTCAACGTTCTTGATACATTTTCAGGCAAGTATTACCTTGTTTCTACTTCCACAAACCTTCGTTTGTCTTCAGTAGTGACTGTTTATCGTGCCAAATGGTGTAGAGAGAGTGAGAACTGTGTAGAATCATACTACTGTTGTATTTATTTCCTAGGTAACATTTTTGGTAGTTTTGTCACACAGTTAATGGATTTGTTTCTATTAACATGTAGGGCCTTCTTGACCTAATCATTTTTCACACGTGTTCCTATGTAAATTCTAAATCCAAACGTGCTAGGTCAATAGCTAAATTGAGTTTATAGAAGAAAGGACCACTGCAAAATCAATTATTCCAGTTTGACGCTGGCTCATTTACTTGCCTTTGGGAGGACTTTTAATACCCATTTACCCCAAATGCAAATAACCCAAAAGCTGAAATGATTAAAGTTTAGTGGGCTATTATAGTAGAAATCTGGACACAAAAATTGCTACTAAAAGGAACTGTGGTTGGTCATCTTAGTAACCAAAAACTTTTAATTCCAAACATTCAGGAAATGGCAAAGGAGACAGAGGCAAACTGAAAAAGTGGTAAAATGGTAAATGGGGATAGACAAGTAAACAGGTAAGGGAAAACTGTGAAAATTGACTAATTTCAACAACATTACAGTATTAAAATGGTGAAAGGGGAGTAGACACGAAGGAGAAATAGAAGAAATTACAAGGAAAAAAAAAGCAATAGGTGCAGATAGAAAGTCCCCATTTCCCCCTCTCCTCTGCCCCGGCAACTACCATTCCACTCTTCGCTTCTATGAGTTTGACTATTTTAGATTCCTCATGTAAGTAGTATCATGCATTTGTCCTTCTTGTCTGGCTTATTTCACTTAGCCTAATATCCTCCAGGTTCGTCCCTGTTGTCACATGATTTCCTTCTTTTTAAAGGCGGAATAATAATCCACTTTATGTGTATATCATATTTTCTTTATTCACTCGTCCATCAGTGAACACTTAGTTATCTACTGTACAGCATAGCACCTATAGTTAACAATACTGCATTGTATACTTAAAAATTTGCTAAGAGAGGCCGGGCGGGGTGACTAACGCCTGTAATCCCAGCACTTTGGGAGGCCGAGGCTGGCGGATCACTTGAGATCAGGAGTTCAAGACCAATTTGGCCAACATGGTGAAACCCCATCTCTACTAAAAATACAAAAATTAGCCAGATGTGATGGTGCTCACCTATAACCCCAGCTACTCAGGAGGCTGAGGCAGGAGAATCATTTGAACCTGGGAGGTGGAGAGGTGGAGGTTGCGGTGAGCTGAGATTGTACCACTGCACTCTAGCCTGGGCAACAGGCAAGATTCTGTCTCAAAAAAAAAAAAAATTGATAAGAGGGTAGATCTTATGTTAACTGTTCTTATTACAATAAATAAATAAATAAACAGGGCAGGAAAAACTTTTGGAGGTAAGGGATAGTTTTGTGGCATAGATTGTGGTGATGGTTTCATGGGTGTATACTTAACTCCAAATTCATCAGGTTGTAAACATTAAGTATGTACAGCTTTTGGTATGTCAATCATACGTTTCTTTGTTTTCTATTGCTTTAACTGAATACCTGAGACTGAGTAATTTATGAAGAAAATAAATTTATTTCTCACATTTTGGAGGCTGAGAAGTTCAAAGTTGAGGAGCCACATTTGGTGAAGGCCTTTTTTCTCGTGAGGACTCTGCAGAGTCCCAAGGAGTGCAGGGCATCACATGGCAAGGGGCTTAGAAGAGATGGCCACATTGGCCTTTATAACAGACCTACTCTTGTGGTAACTAACCCACTGCCTCAATAACCCATTAATCCATAAAGAGATTATTCTTGAGGGTAGATCCCTCATGACTCAATCAGCTCCAAAAAGGCTTCACCTCTTCATACTGTTATATTGGTGTTTAAGTTTCAACACGAGTTTTGGAGGGGACAAACATTTAAGCCATAGCATACCTTAATAAAGTGGTTTTAAAAATTCAAATTCAAGTTCAGACACTTTCTACCTATGTTTCCTTGGACAAGTTACTTAATTTCCCTGTGCTTTAGTTTTCTCATTTGTTCAATGGGCATAATAGTAGTACCTACTTCACAGGGTTTTTGTGAAAATTTATTGAGTTAACAATATTGAAAGCACCTAGTACAGTTCCTGGCACAGGGTAATCACTTAATAGATGTCAGCTATTATTTTTATTATATGCCAACAACAGAGGAAAGCCAAACCTTACTACCAATGAAAGTAAAAAATTGTAAGAGGTATGCTAATATGTAAAGAGAAAATAGATGTCTGAGCAAGTCTTAGGTCCAAATAAGAAAACATTATTGGAAATCTATAATGCTAACTTCTGATACCAGTACTGGCATAAAAGATTGTTGCAAAATCTTTGCCAGTAACAAACTGTTGAACAGAGCAGGTATCTGGTTGTGCCTGGGTAAGGTAGCCACCTGCTTGCTGTTTTACATAAATTTCTTGATGTCGTGATCAAAGCCCCTGACCTTTAATGGACCTAAAATGGCAAATGCACACAAGTAAATACAGTTGACTGAGCCCTGCACTTTTTCTTAAAGATTGATTTTGTGGTTTATAATTCACCAGGGTATTTAAGAAGCAAGATATATCTGGAAAAACAAAAACAAAACAACTGCCAAACCACAACGCTGCAGACACATTTCAGAAATGTGCTTTCAGAAATACGTTTGCAGAACCTGGTCTCTTCCATGAACATGTTTGTGTTGATGATGTGAAAGACAAAATGTACCAGACAATTAAGGAAATGATTTTATTCAGGTATTGCAATAGGGGGAATATTTATTAATGAGGACCAGCTCAAAGAAAATGAAGGAAGCCTGGCATTTTATAGAGACAGGTAAACAAGGGAGTCATCTGTAAGTCTTTTGGGAGTTGTGAGGAAGGATGGAGATGGGTCTTCCCTTGGAATAATGTGTCAGTGTAGGATGGTCACTTGTGGTTAACCTTTTCCTGGAAAACAAAAGGTTGGGGGGGATTTTTTAACCATTACTGCTTTCTAGGGTACACAGGGCTCAGATAAACTTAAATACTGTCATTTCTCTCTTTTGTTTAAAACAAATATCATTTATAATTGAGCCACTCAGAGGAGAACATAAAGCTCCTAAGTGAGGTGAAGCTGAAGTCTAAGAAATAGTCTCTCAAGGACTCTTGTTGGTATTGTTTCTGTAAAGCCACTTGAACCATCTGTTGAGAGACAATGGCAAAGGTCAGTTGTTTTAGGGTCCTGGAAATTAGGCATATTAAAAGAGGGATGGCAATAATGAAAAAAGAAATGTTGGCCAGGTGTGGTGGCTCATGCCTATAATCTCAGCACTTTGGGAGGCCGAGGTGGGTGGATTGCTTGAGCTCGGGAGTTCGAGGCCAGCCTGGGCAACATGGCAAAACCCCGTCTCTACAAAAAATACAAAAAATTATCTGGGTGTGGTGGCATGCACCTGTAGTCCCAGCTACTTGGGAGGCTGAGGTGGGAGGATCACTTGAGCCTGGTGGAGGTTGCGGTCAACTGAGATCATGCTGCTGCATTCCACCCTGGGTGACAGAGTGAGACCCTATCTCAAAAAAAAAGTTAATATAAAAGATTATATTATAGTAAAGAGCCAAGAATTGAACCCTGAAAGTAACCAGTCCAGTGGATTCCAACGCATCAGTGGAAGAGAACTTTTCCATTTTGCAGCACCACTCATGGAGCTAGGGTATGGGTACTCTTGGCAATGTTGTTTGTCCACAGTCTTGGTTACCGCTATGGTTTATATGTGGTTTCCCCCTGCCAAAACTCATGTTGAATTTAATCCCCAATGTTAAGAGGTGGAGCCTAATGGGAGGTATTTGGGTCATGGAGGCAGATATCTCATGAATAAATTAATGCCCTCCTGCAGAAGTGAGTGAGTTTTTATTCTCTCATGGGAATGGATTTGTTCCCACATGACTGAGTTGTTTTAAAGAAGTCTAGTATCCTCAGTTTCTCTCTCTTGCTTTCTCTCTCACCATGTGATCTCTTTGCACACACCTGCTCTCCTTCTGCTTTCTGCCATGAATGGAAGCAGTATGAGGGAGGCCCTTACCAGATGCAGCTGCCCAATTTTGAACTTTCCAGCCACCAGAATTATAAGCCAAACAAACCTCTTTTCTTTATAAGTTATCCAGCCTCAGGTATTCTGTTATAGCAACACTAAATGGACTAAGACAGTCATCTTTCATGTAAAAGGTATGCATGACTTGAGCATTTCTTACAACTTCTATCATAGTCTAGGCAGCAGCTTGTTCAAGGAGAATTCTAGTCATGCATGGTCGGCTGCAGTTCTGTGTTCGTCTAGGTTTATATTGAGCCACTGGAGTTTAGCTTGCAGGGCTGCCTCAGATCCTGGAAAAGAGGGCAAGCTCCAAGACAACTTAGAGTCCCAATAGGGATTTGGGCAGTCGGGTTTTAGTTCTCAGTGACTCTGAGTCAGGTGGGAGGGAGAAAACTTGGAAAAGTTAGTTTGGAGGATATTAGCAAGATATTGAAGTAACCTAGAAGAACTGAAAATTTGGTAAAGATTGACAATTTGGACAAGTTAACAAGATCCAGTTTGATTTACAAGTAGGTGCCAAAACTGGTTTTTCCACAGAAGAAAAGGAAGTCAATTATCTAATTTTTTTTTTTTTAAACAGAGTCTCTTCACCCAGGCTAGAGTGCAGTGGCACAATCATAGCCCACTGCAGCCTCAGACTCCCAGGCTGAAGCAATCCTCCTGCCTCAGCCTCCTGAGTAGCTAGGACTAAAGGTGCATGCCCAGCTAATTTTTAAAACTTTTTGTGAAGATGAGGACTTGAATTCCCAGCCTCAAGCAATCCTCCCACCCCAGCCTCCCAAAGTGCTGGAATTACAGCATGAGCCACTGCGCCTAGCCCTAAGGAAGTCAATTATATCTCCACCAGACAAGATAAAGTTTGCCTATCCATCAGTAACCTGTAGCTTATAAGTAGGTACCAAATAGCTCAAAGACAGTGAATAGGACTAGACTCTGATAACCTAGAGTGGTGTGCCATAGATGAGGCAGAGTTTTCTGCTGAAACACAAAATTTCTCTCTATAGTCACTTCCTTTTGACTAAAGATAATCTCAAGAAAGATTATTCTTGAACGCAAAATAAGGCTGGTCTCAAAAAACAAAAGAAAAATAGTTAAACTGGAGTTCATCAAAATGTAAAGCTTTGGGGCTTCAAAGGATATTTATCAACAAAGTGAAACAACAACCTGCAGAATCGGAGAAAATATGTGCAAATCATATATCCAATAAGTGTGTGACATCCATAATATAAAAAGAACTCTTATAACTCAACAGCAAAAAAAAAATTAAAAAATTTTTAAATTTTTAAAAATTTTAAAAGATTAAAAATTTAAAAATGGGCAAAGGACTTGAATAGACATATCTCCAAAGAAGGTCTACAAATGGACAACAAGCTCATAAAACAATGCTTGACATCATTAGTCATCAGGAAAATGCAAACCAGATCCACAAGTAGATACCACTTCACACATACTAGGATGGCTAGAATTTAAAAACAAAAATAACTGGAAAATAACAAGTGCTGGTGAGGACGTGGAGAAATTGAAGCCCTTATACACTGCTGGCGAGAAAGTAAAATGGTGCAACTACCGTGAAAAACAGTTTGGTCGTTCCTCAAAAGTTAAACATAGAATTACTATATGACCTAAAAATTCCACTTCTAAGTATAAATATTCAAAAGAATTGCAAACAAGTACTCAAACGAATACTTATGCACAAATGTTTATAGCAGCACTATTCACAATAGCCATACAATGAAAACAACACAAATGTTACCCATTCGTCAACAGATGAATGGATAAACACAATGTGGGGTGTGTGGGTGTGTGTGTGTGTGTGATGGAATATTATTCAGCTCTAAAAAAAGAACAGAGTACTGGCACATGCTACAACATGGATGAACCTCAAACACATTATATTAAGTGAAAGAAGCCAGACATAAAAGATCACATATTGTGTGATTACACATATAAAATATCCAAAATAGGTAAATCCATAGAGACCCAACACAGATTACTGGTTGTCAGAGGCTGGAAGGCGGATGAGAGTGTAAGAAGTGAATGTTTAATAAGCATGGGTTTTCTTTTGAGGTAATGGAAATGTTTTAGAACTAGGTTGAGGTGAAGGTTACACAGTATTGTAAAGGTACTAAATGCCACTAAATTGTACACTTTAAAATAATTAATTTTATGTTATGTAAGTTTTGCCTCAATAAGAATATTAAAAAGTAAAAATTAAGTCTCATTAGATTTAGCTTGATTATTTACATAGGCACAGTAAGAATGGTAATTTACCAAATAGACCTTAAGCTTGCTTTGCTCAAAGTTTTCATAAGGAATCTGAATTTGAAATTTTAAAAGCCTATCAAGCTAAGAAGATTTTACTTGCTGCATCTATAAATGTGGGAGAACTGTTCTCTTTTTGAGGTCGACAAAATATCCTAAGCTTCTAAGACTTGCCAGGAAGTAACCTTCCTTACTCAGTTGTAAG
This sequence comes from Homo sapiens, assembly GCF_000001405.40. Classification (NCBI taxonomy): domain Eukaryota; kingdom Metazoa; phylum Chordata; class Mammalia; order Primates; family Hominidae; genus Homo; species Homo sapiens. The sequence goes on along the minus strand of NC_000023.11, from coordinate 72,503,887 downwards.
GCTGAGAACCCTGTAAGTCAGGTACCAGGCTAGTTTTCCCAAGAGGGCTTTGTATGCATTGGCTCCATAAAGTCAGCCTTAGTTCCTTAAAAGTGTCTGATCATATCTGATTCAGTGAGCATCATTCACAAATATGGCATTCCAGGTAAGGCCTTGGTTACATACCAATGTTTCTAATCATGATCTGGTAAGAAGGGCAGACAGATTTTTATTGAACCAATGCAGATATTTATATTGCTATGAAAATAAGAATACTCAATGAGAGTTTCCAAATCCTGGAGAACTCAGGGGTATAAGATATCATTTACAAACATTTCATTTCAGTTTACAAAAGCATGGTCTACTAGATAGTTATGAATTATAGATAGTGTAAGAGAAAAGAGAAATAGGAAGTGAGTTTCTTATATATCCAGAAAACAGAATATTAAAGCTTTAGCAATATTCCAAACAAAACCCAAATCATCCCTTCTATCATTCAGGTCTATGTAATTAGTTCTTTTTCCACTCCACCTTGGGTTAGCACTATCTTATTAACACACTTGCTTCTCAACTAGAGTTCTCAAAATCCTGCCTCAGTTCACTAGTGTGGTCTCAAAGTTGTTTAAACCATCTCATCATAAGCCTGTACACAAAAGTACCTGGCATAGTTCTTTTCCACGGGACTCTGAAAAAGTGCTTTGTTGAAGATGAAGCCCTCTAGCTTGTAGCTGATGCAAGTGCTTTCAGGGAAGCATTGGTGTAAAACATAAAAAGCTGTCTACCTGTAGCTGATAAAAGACTTACAACAGCTATGGTTAACTTATTGCTGATCATTTTCAAAAGGGAAAAATACAATAAGAGTTCATTACAAGAATAATAAAGCAACTGACAAAGAGGTGTAGTTTCTGTGGTATGGAAAATGAGATAAAAGTCAATCCAAAAATTTTTTTTGACAAAATATCTTTTATTTATTTATTTTTTTTGAGACAGAGTCTCACTCTGTCACCCAGGCTGGAGTGCAGTGGCGTGATCTCAGCTCACTGCAACCTCCCCCTCCTGGGTTCAAGCGATTCTCCTGCCTCAGCCTCCTGAGTAGCTGGGACTACAGGTGCATGCCACCACGCCTGGCTAATTTTTTTTTCGTATTTTTAGTAGAGACGGGGTTTCACTGTGTTAGCCAGGATGGTCTCAATTTCCTAACCTTGTGATCCGCCCGCCTCAGCCTCCCAAAATGCTCGGATTACAGGCATGAGCCACCACGCCCGGCCAAAATATCTATTTTCTTAAAAATTTTTAGTTTAGGTTCGGGGATACTTGTAAAGGTCTGTTACTTGGTAAACTTGTGTCACAGGGGTTTGTCATACAGATTATTTCATCACCCGGGTATTAAGCCCAGTACCCAACAGTTATCTTTTCTGCTCCTCTCCTTCCTCTCACCCTCCACCCTCAATAGATCCCAGTGTCTGTTGTTTCCTTTTTTGTGTTCATGAGTTCTCATCATTTAGTTCCCACTTTTGAGTGAGAACATGCAGCATTGATGAGCATTCCAAGTCTTTGTTGTTGTGAATAGTGCCGCAGTGAACATTCACGTGCATGTGTCTTTATAGTAGAATGATTTATATTCCTCTTGGTATATACACAGTAGTGGGATTGCTGAGTCAAATGGTAGTTCTACTTTTAACTCTTTGAGAAATCACCATACTGCTTTCCTCAATGGTTGAACTGGTTTACTCTCCCATCAACAGGGTATAAGTGTTTTCTTTTCTCTGCAACCTCGCCAGCATGTATTATTTTTTTGAATTTTTAATAGTAGCCACTCTGACTGGTGTGACATGGTATCTCATTGTGGCTTTGATTTGCATTACTCTAATGATCATTGATATTGAGCTTTTTTTCCTATGCTTGTTGGCCGCATGTATGTCGTCTTTTGAAAAGTATCTGTTCATATCCCTTGCCTACTTTTTAATTGGGTTTTTGTTTTTCTCTTGTAAACTTGTTAAGTTCCTTAAAGATGCTGGATATTAGACCTTTGTCAGATGCATAGTTTGCAAATATTTTCTCCTATTCTGTAGGTTGTCTGTTTACTCTGTTGATAGTTTATTTTGCTGTGCAGAAGCTCTGAAGTTTAATTAGATCCCATTTGTCAACTTTTGCTTTTGTTGAAATTGCATTTGTTGTCTTTGTCATGAAATCTTTGCCCGTTCCTATGTTCAGAATGGTATTACCTAGGTTGTCTTCCAGGGTTTTTATAGTTTTGGGTTTTACATTTAAGTCTTTGATCCATCTTGAGTTGATTTTTGTATATCCTATAAGAAAGGGGTCCAGCTTCAATCTTCTGAATATGGCTAGCTAGTTATCCCAGTACCATTTACTAAATAGGGAGTCTTTCCCCCATTGCTTGCTCTTGTCAGCTTTGTTGAAGATCAGATGGTGATAGGTGTGCAGCCTTATTTCTGGGCTCTCTATTCTGTTCCATTGGTCTATGTATCTGTTTTTGTACCAGTACCATGCTGTTTTGGTTACTGTCAGCCTGTAGTGTAGTTCAAAGTTGGGTAACATGATGCTTCAAGCTTTGTTCTTTTTGCTTAGGATTGTCTTGGCCATTTGGGCTCTTTTTTGGTTCCATATGAATTTTAAAATAGTTTTTTCTAGTTCTGTGAAGAATGTCACATGTATTTTGATAGGTATAGCATTGAATCTGTAAGTTGCCTTGAGCAGTATGGCCATTTTAATTATATTGATTCCTCCTATCCATGAGCATGGGATGTTTTTCCATTTGTTTGTGTCTTCTCTGATTTATTTGAGCAGTGTTTTGTAATTCTCTTTATAGAGATCTTTCACCTCCCTGGTAAGCTGTATTCCTAGGTATTTTATTCTTTTTGTGTCAATTGTGAATGGAAGTTCTTTCATGATTTGGTTCTCGGGTTGACTATTGTTGGTATGTAGGAATGCTAGTGATTTTTGTACATTGATTTTGTATCCTGAAACTTTGCTGAAGCTGTTTATCAGCTGAAGGAGATTTTGGGCTGAGATTATGAGGTTTTCTAGATATAGAACCATGTCATCTGCAGACATAGTTTGACTTCCTCTCTTCCTATTTGGATGCCCATTATTTCTTTCTCTTACCTGATTGCTCTGACCGGGACTTCCAATACTATGTTGAATAGGAGTTGTGAGAGAGAGCATCTTTGTCTTGTGCCAGTTTTCAAGGGGAATGCTTCCAGCTTTTGCCCATTCAGTATGATGTTGGCTATGGGTTTGTTATAGATGGCTGTTATTATTTTGAGATATGTTCCTTCAATACCTATTGAGAGTTTTTAACATGAAGGGGTGTTGAATTTTATTGAAAGCCTTTTCTGCGTCTATTGAGATGATCATGTAGTTTTTGTCTTTAGTTCTGTTTATGTGATGAATCACATTTATTGATTCGCATATATTGAGCCAACCTTGCATCGTAGAGATGAAGCCTACTTGATCATGGTGGATTAGCATTTTGTTGTGTTGCTGGATTCGGTTTGCAATTATTTTGTTGAGGATTTTTGCATTAGTATTCATCAAGGATATTGGCTTGATGTTTTCTTTTTTGTTGTATCTCTGCCAGGTTTTTGTATCAGGATGATGCTGCTCTCATAGAATGAGTCGAGGAAGAGTCCCTCCTCCTAAATTTTTTGGAATAGTTTCAGTAGGAATACTACCAGCTTTCTTTATACATCTGGTAGAATTTGGCTGTGAATCTATCAAGTGCCAGGCTTTTTTTAGTTGGTAAAGCTATTTATTACTGATTCAATTCTGGAGCTCATTATTGGTCTGTTTAGGGTATCAGTTTCTCCCTGGTTCAGTCTTAGGAGGGTGTATATGTCCAGGAATTTATCCATCTCTTCTGGGTTTTCTAGTTTGTGTGCATAGAGTGTTCATCATAGATTCTGCTGGTTATTTTTGCTTCTGTGGGGCCAGTGGTAACATTCCCTTCATCATTTCTAATTGTGTTTATTTGGATCTTCTTTCTTTTCTTCTTTATTAGTCTAGCTAGCGGCCTATCTTATTAATTTTTTCAAAAATCTAACTTTTGCATTCATCAATCTTTTGAAAGGTTTTTCATGTCTCAATTTCCTTCAGTTCAGCTCTGATTTTGCTTGTCTTATGCTAGCTTTGGGGTTGATTTGTTCTTGCTTCTCTAATTCAGTTGCAATGTTAAGTTATTAATTTGAGATCTTTCTACCTTTTTGATGTGGGCATTTAGTGCTAGGAGTTTCCCTCTTAACACTGCCTTAGCTGCTTCCCAGAGATTCTGGTGTATTGTATCTATTTTCTTATTAGTTTCAAATAACTTCTTGATTTTTGCCTTAATTTTATTATTTACTCAAAAGTTATTCAGGAGCATGTTGTTTAGTTTCCATGTAATTATTTTGTTGCATGGCTTTGAGTGATTTTCTCAGTCTTGACTTCTATTTTTACTGTGCTGTGTCCCAAGAGTGTATTTGGTGGTATGATTTCAGTTATTTTGCGCTTGCTAGGGATTGCTTTATGTCCAATTATGTGGTTGATTTTAGAGTAAGTGCTATGTGGCAATGAGAAGAGTGTATATTTTGTTGTTTTTGGGTGGAGAGTTCTGTAGAGGTCTATCAGATCCAGACAAAAATGTCTATATACATAATGATTAGCCCTTGTCTTAGTACATCTGTGTTCTTTTAAAGGAATACCTGAGTCTGGGTAATTTATAAAGAAAAGAGGTATTTGGCTTACAGCTCTTCAGTCTGTACAAGAAGCATGGTGCCAGTATCTGCTTCTGGTGAGGGCTTCAGGCTGCCTCCACTTATGACAGAAGGTAAAGGGAAGCCACATGTGCAAATCACATGGTGAGAGAGGAAGCAAGAGAGAGGGAGAAGGTGTCAGGCTCTTTTTAACAACCAGCTCCCAGGGGAACTCTAGCAGTAACTAATAGAGTGAGAACTCACTCATTACTGTGAGATCACAACCAAGCCATTTGTAAGGGATACACCCCCATGACCCAACACTTCCCACTAGGCCCCACCTCCAACACTGGGGATCAAATTTCAACATGAGGCTTGGAAGGCCAAATATCCAAACTGTAGAAATCCTATTTTCAAAGAAGAGAGGGTATTATATGTAATTTATAAAAATGCATGAACATCATCTTTATAGAGAAAAAAGACTCAGATATAACATATAATAATCCTGACATAATATATCATCAATATACCAAGCATATAGGTTGAATATACCCAGAATATATCAAGAACATCAAGTAAAGAGATTCAGTAATCTGGAATAGTTCTTAAACATGTGTATATTAACAGAATTTCATAGGTAAATGATGTGAATCCCCAGTTGAAAACTAATGACTGGAAAAATGCTAGATTCAAAACAAAGAAGCAATGTGGAGACCAAGTTAACATTTTAAAAAGCTGAAATTATTACTGAAAACACTATACTATAGTTATCTAATATCTAGCAAAGCAGCATCAGGATTCTGACATATCTCGGCCAGTGAGAGCACTAATGAATCTGTAGAAACGTTCCATACAGCATACAATTTCTAAAATGTTTATGCTAATAACATTTTCCTATACCAATTTAACCTAGAAAAAGCAAAGCATCTGTTCTGATTTGACAACTCTTCCCATGCAACTCCTCAATAGTAATATATTGAATAAATCTAATTCTTTCTAGCACTTCTCTTTCAATAAGGTGAAAGAACAAATCTTTTTTTTTTTTTTTTTTGCCATTTTAACAGTGAGGAAACCAAATTCTAGCTTTGCATCAGAATATTTGATACTAAAGTTCTTTTTGGAAATATTGTAAATCAACTCATCAAACCTTAGCCAGCCACCTCAACAAATAAAATTCCCTTTCTGTGATCCCTCTACAACTTTCTATATCTATATGCATCCTTTATAACAACTTCTTTAATTGGCAAAAAATAGCATGTTCATTACCAGGCCCAAGTATACATAACTTTTCTGCAGCATGTAGAAATAAGAAGCAAAAGCATACAAAATTATATGTAGTAATTAATATTTCAGCATTCTCTTACTTAGAAATGGTCTAGGTATGTAATGAATATTCATTAATTCAATTTAGTATCAGCTCAAAGTTTTTAGTTACCTAAAGATTTTATAAATTATCTTCAAGTTGATATACTGCAAAACATAATTACTGTTGAAATAAAGTTTGTCAGAATAACGACTCAACTTGGTTAAACAAATTTACATTTTTTATAATCGTAAACACTTAGGAGAAGTAATGTTAGCTCATTCAATCAGTAAACCTGTCTATGTTGAGGAAGAATATACTCAAGTAGAAAAAAAATCTACCTGTATATTATGCCCAACACTGATAAATCAGAAAAGACATGGCTGGTTTTAGTAAGCCAAAAATTACTAAGTTAGTCTCATTTGCCCAAGATTTACCTAAATTATATGAACTTGAATTCTTAAAGTATTTGAGTTTGTTTTTATAGGAATACTTTTTTTAGCATATTGAAAATCTTGAACGTTCAATTGCCTTATTTTCTGGGGATTTTAGGAATATTCTATTTATCTAAACACTTATTATTTCTATAAGCCAATGAGAACAGAGCTCCTTTAAGAGATTTTATCATCTAATTTAGTAATACTATCCAGAGGTAGAAAAATGTTACAAATTCATACAATGAGACATAAAGGCCTTTCTGAATGATAGACATCATCTTCGTCATCATTATTATTATTCAGGCTATTGCCATGAGGAGAATGTTCATTAGTGTAAGGAACATCTTAAAGAAAAGGAAGGGGGCCACCTGCTTAATGGAGGCAGGTAAATAAAGGAGTCATCTACCAGTCTTATGGGCATGCTGAGGAAGGAGAGAGATGAGTCTTTCCTTAGAATATGCCAGGGCAATGTGGTCCTTTGCAGTTCGCCATTTCTCGTAACGCAAAAGGGTGGAGGGTTTCTTAACCATCACTGCTTTTGCAAAAGCACAGGGCTCAGGTAAATCTCAATGTTGTCAATGAGAAGAGTCTACTTTGTCAATTTTGTCTATAGCTTTTCTCTGTATTCTCCTTTATCTGCCATATTATTTCTGGTTGCCTTTTTTGTTTGGATGATTGGTTTTTTTTTTTTTTTCTGTGTTTATGCCTTATCTCCCCAATTTAATTGTAAGTTCTGTGAGGAAAGGAAGTATGTCTTGTATTGATTTGTACTCTTCCTCCACATCTCTCTCCTCTTTTTGCCTAGCACTTAGTGTTCCGTCCCATCTACCTAAAAGTTATTGATGTTCAGAAGGTCAGCAAATTATCTCTTTTTTTAATGTGCTAAGGCAGTAAACTTACAAAATGTAAGCTTTTCATAATTGGAAAATAGCATTTGCATCTAAGAACTTCCAAAATCACACATTTAATTCTTATTTAAAGAGAATTCATAGATGGAGAAATCTTTTTCTTTAATTGGTCTCTACCTGGTTGCATATCTAAGGCCAAGCTATTCTTTGGCTAGATGATTGCCGAGTTCACCATCATGAAGCAAAGTCAGTGTCTAAAGATATTTTTACCAACCTTCTGCTTGCCAGTGTACATGTCTTATTGATTCAGCCTGTGAACCAGGGCATTATTTAGAATATGAAATGTTATTATGGAAGAGATTTCATGAAGAAGTTTATGCATTGTGAAGGCACTACAAAGAGCTTTACAGTCTCATAGTAGCAAAGATGCCATTTTAACTGTTGCTTATGCCTAGGCAATCTCAAGGAGAACTCAGAAAAAAATGGGCTGGATATTTGAAGTCTCTGTGGAAGTGAAATAAATTAAGCATTTAGGATGAGGCCTTAAAAATAACTTAAATACACTCTTGATGATAAAGAATGTTATTTGACATCTAATCAGCAAGGCTTAATGGAAGTGTAGTAAAAGAGCGGGTTAACCTTGACAAGGGGTTAAAGTGACGCATTATCACTGATAGCACAAAAGTTAAAGGACACCAGTGAAGTCAATGAAGAGAATTTTAGTGAAGAAAACAAAATAACTTTATAAAAGACTGCTTCACTCTTCGTTGTAATAATTGCATTTACAGACAGGCGACCACATTATACTGCCCAGGAGATTATGCATTTGTATATTCTACACTCAGCTTTTATGAGCAACAAGTGCAAAACTAACTTTTTAAAAATTCTAGTTTGTGTCATAGGGTCAGTACAGAGAATCCAATCTCTAACATCTTCTACATCTGGCTGAGCAAGATTGTCTTTAAGGCCTCTTCTAGATTCTAGCTTTCTTAAAGTCCTGTAAGTGATTACCAGTGTTCCTCATGATGACCCCAGGGTATACAAATTTTTTGAAGTGATTCCTAAATCCAGGGAAAGGTGGTTCTCTCTTGTTCAATATAGTTATAATATTCTAATGCTTTGAAAATCTGGGATCATGAATGGAAAATATTACCAATTTACCCAAATATTTACTTTACTGAAACACTTCATTCCCTGATCATTCTGGGTCATTTACTTATAATCTTTGTAGATGGATTTCTGTTTTTCTTAAAAGAAGGGGGAACTTTAGGGGACTAGATCTCAAGGGTTAGATCCTTGGCTGTAAAGACTCCCTTGGATTGCTTTTTGGCTGTTGGCTGTAGCAACTTGTTTTCTTACAGAGATGAAGCATCTGGTTTTTGTTATCTCAATGATGCTGTCCTGGGAATATTACGATTGCGACGGAAATTTGAGCGTATTCTCTACGTGGATTTGGATCTGCACCATGGAGATGGTAAGCCCTTTGGTTTTAAAGATGCTTTGCTGCGAGGACAGCAGGTTTTTATCAGTTAAGCTGCTTCTAGGCAACTGGTAGAAATGTCTGCTGTAATTGAAATTTTCCTAATTGAGAATTTAAAGTAGGTAGTGTAGTGATTCCTCTAATTGATGCAATTCCTGCTTTGCTGCCCAAGCCAGGCTCCTGTAATTTCCTCTTCTCTCTCCTCCTGTAGCAAGCCTCTAGAACTAATAGAGAATGTTAAGAAGTGAAAATCTTACCTAGTGTTTACTCCAGTGCTCAGTAACCTCCCTCAGGTCATTTCCATTCATTCTAAGGGAATCTATAGGGATGACAGTCTTGTCTCTTTTCATTGATGCTTTTCTCAAGATAGAATGGGCGTATGATGGGCTAACATTCTGAATTTTTCACCAATAGGTTGCCAACTCGTGTAGTGATCAGAATCTGTGCCATTTTCTTTGTATTGCTAAAATATTTAGTGCCGTACAAACAGGACATCTTCCCTAACATTTAATAGCAGAATCACTTAGCAGTTTGCCTTAACCCATTAATCCTCTCTTAGAAGACTCCACTGACAGGATTTATCCGACCCTCCTATGTATTTTCCATCTAGAATGTAGAGCTCCAGTGACAGTTGCCACATTCTGTTTCTTTAAGCAATCCTCTCTGGGACACGTAGTATTTCCATTTATTTAAGAACACTTATCCTGTAAATTCTTAGTTAAAAATACTCCTCCCTCACATCAATGATTGCCATTTCCCTGTTTCCAGGGATTTTTTTTTTTTCAGACAAACTAACATAATCAAGGCATAGAGAGGAAAAGAATATTATATGTCTGAAGCTAGGGTCAGCTCCACTGCCAAAACAGAGAAAGAAGGATGAAATTGTTGAGGGAACCTTTCCAGAGAGCTTCATCTGCATGGATGCTACCATGGAACGATGACAGAAAATTAAAGGTAACAGAGAGAAGAGAGGTTAAAACCACCAATATACTACTTTGAGAACCATTTTCACTGAATATCTGAATGCTCAACCAGTGCAAAACATAGCCTTGCTCAAAAGCCTTCAGAGACTCCTTATTGCCTATAACAAGGGGTAGCATTTGACCTATGGCTTGTTTTTGTATGGCCAGTAAGCTAAGAATGGTTAAGAATGGTTTTTCCAGCCAAGTGCAGTCGCTCATGCCTGTGATCCCAATATTTTGGAAGGATGAAGTGGGAGGACTGTTTGAAACCATGAGTTTGAGACCAGCCTGGGCAACAAAGTGAAACCCCCATCTCGAAAAAAATTAGCTGAGTTTGGTGTTGTGTGCTTATATTCCTAGCTACTTAGGAAGCTGAGGCAGGAGGATCGCTTGAACCCAAGAGGTCAAGGCTGTAGTGAATTATGATCGTGCCACTGCACTCCAGCTTGGGCGACAGACCAAGCCATTGTCTCTTAAAAAAATAAAATAAGAATGGTTTTTCCATTTTTAAAGGGTTATAAAAGAGAAAATATATTTTTTAAAAATGTGTCTGTGTGTGTGTATATATGTGTGTGCGTGTGCAATAGAGACCTTGAGTGGTTTGCAAAGCCGAAAATGTTTACTATTTAGCCACTTAGTTCATTGACCCCTGGCCTACAGCAGTGGTTCTCAAACTTGAAAGTGCATCAGGATGACCTGGAGAAGTTTGTTTTAAAATGCAGATTGCTGGGCCATATCCACCAGATATTCAGATTTAGTAGGTCTGGCATGGAACCAAAGAAACTACGTTTTAATACCTCAGCTGTTCTACAGGCCACACTTTGAAAAACAGTGGTCTTCAAGGTAGTCCACACTCTTTACCTAGTCTTTCAAGGCCTACCTTGAATAGGTCTCACCTCATCTTTCCACCCTTATCTCTCATTACTTGCTGTCCAGGCTACACTACTCAATGAGCATGTCTAACTATTCATGACATGTCTCACTATTCATGACATGGCTCAGTATTCCCAGACATGTCTCATTATTCCCACCTCCCTGACTTTGCCTCCTTTTTTCCTAATTTAGTTTTGTTTCACCTGTCCCAAGGTCTACCCATTTGTTCAAGTTCCAACAGTAACAGATTTGCCCTGACCACTCCAGCTCAAGTGTTCTCTCCCTCCTCTCAAGTCCCGTATTATTCATATCACCAATTTGATATTTCATTACATATTGCCTTGTATTTCTAATTAATTTTTTAATGTGTCTGTGTCTTCTCTTCCCATAGAAACTATAAGTTCCTTCAGAGCAGAGATCAAGTTGTTTACTTCTTCCTGTTTTATATAATGCCTTGAACCAACAGTACTATGCATATAGTAGTGGCTCATTAAAATATTTGATCAATGAATGATTATGAAATTCAAACTATTAGTATCGGAGTTTAAGAATACAATCAACTCTACAGAACCACATAAGAATGAACTGAAACTGTCACCTGAAAGTGTTCTTTCCATTTGCAATGTTATTTCTACACCCTTCAGAGTTTCCTGTTTTAGCCAACTTTTATGGTGTGTTTCATTTCAGTTTATTTCCCCTCTTCAGCACCTCCCTTACAGTGACCCCTGCCCCACCCCCCAACACTTATGCATTTGGTTTATTTTAAATCTCCCATGATTACATAACTAGCATCCTGTGGTGGCTTCACTAGCCACCCCTACCCCATCCTTGCCTTCTTTCATCTACCTAACTACTCTCCTCTTTCCCACCAAGTCCATAGCTTCCTCCTATCTGTGTACATCTCCTTTTTAAATATGATTTTATAACTGTGCCTAGTGGTATTTCCCATGAGAAGAAATACAAATGGCCACTAAACTTATGAAAAGGTGCTCAACACTCTAATACTCAAAGAAAGGCAAATTAGAGCAAAACCATTCTTTCTGCCTAAGATTAAAGAGAATAACAATAGTTTGGGAACTCTCATACATGATTGGTCCAAGTGTAAATTGGTACAACATTTCTGGATTGATCAATAATCAGGATTTTCATGAATTATCCTTGTTTAAGACTTCATTTCTAAGTTGAAATACTATTTTCATTTATTTTGTTTGTTTTATTTTTTTTACTTCATGCTTTTTGCTTAGAGCCTTTAACTGGATTTAACTGCCTCCCTAGGGCCAAACATAAGGCTTGGGAAATTCAAACATACCTGTTATATATAAATAGAGTTAATATTTTTTTAAAGTCGCTGTTGGGGCTGTAGTGAAGACTGAAAACATTAAATAAATACAGAGACAATTTCTTTGTTTGAAGTAAGAAAGAGGACAGTACCTGAATTTGCTAATAGTCCTCCCATTTTACAGATTGATTATCTGAACATAGTGTGACTATATGTGATTCTGAGAGGAAAGGGGTGGAGGTGGGCAGTGTGTTTACCTGTATACGTAGAGGCTTGTGAGGGTTACTTTAAATCCCAGCTTTTATCTCCCAGGCCTCTAATCGTTTACTCACTAAGTTAAAATGGAAAACAGACCCCTTTCTCGCCCATCTTTCTTCAGATTTTAAAACACTCTTATAAGGCTGCTATTAGGAGACAAGGTCACGGCTGTTTTCAGCCTTCCATGTTTTAGCCAGAAAGATGTACTATAAGTTACTTATTTATAACCAAATCTGCATTATAGAAAGGCACTTTATAATTAGGTTTTTGGTATATAATGGCTAATGTTTCTATTGGTCATATTTTTCAAAGGGTTATCACGTTGTACGTCTTTGGAAAAAATCCCAAGACTTTAACTATAACCACTTAAACAAGACAAAACATACAACTTGTAAGATGGTTCCAGTTTCCCTTATTCAATTCTGTTGATAATGCCTCAATTCTAGGCTCTCGCCTTTCCCTACTTTTTAGAACAGGTTGTCAAAGAGAGCCCAGACATCCCATTGCTTGGAAAGGGGAAGTCCAGTTATAGTTTTCCATGAGTTTGAAAAGGAACCCCCAAACTTCACTTGGGGCCAAAGTTCTACCTCATCTTGTAATTACGAGATTAGAGACCAGAGGTTCGTATTACTTTTATTCCTCAGCTTGTTAGTTTTATATTGCTGCCTTCTCATCTACCCTCCTTCTCACAGCTGCTTTCTAGATTTTCAGATGTTGAAAATAGGAATGCCATATGTGAAGTGATTCTTTTGATGTTTCTTTATCTGTTAGGTGTAGAAGACGCATTCAGTTTCACCTCCAAAGTCATGACCGTGTCCCTGCACAAATTCTCCCCAGGATTTTTCCCAGGCAAGTGATCATAAACTCAGTATTACATTTGATGACTAAATACTGAAATTCTTCTACACATTTCTTATACTTGGACAGTTCCATGCTGTTAATGCCTTACTGCCACAATCCTATGCAAAATTTTTTTTTTTGCATTTTCATTCAGATAGGAGATAATTTTGTAAATTTCTTTTTTATTATACTTTAAGTTTTAGGGTACATGTGCACAATGTGCAGGTTAGTTACATATGTATACACGTGCCATGCTGGTGTGCTGCACCCATTAACTCGTCATTTAGCATTAGGTATATCTCCTAAAGCTATCCCTCCCCCCTCCCCCCACCCCGCAACAGTCCCCAGAGTGTGATGTTCCCCTTCCTGTGTCCATGTGTTCTCATTTTTCAATTCCCACCTATGAGTGAGAATATGCGGTGTTTGGTTTTCTGTTCTCGCGATAGTTTACTGAGAATGATGATTTCCAATTTCATCCATGTCCCTACAAAGGACATGAACTCATCCTTTTTTATGGCTGCATAGTATTCCATGGTGTATATGTGCCACATTTTCTTAATCCAGTCTATCATTGTTGGACATTTGGGTTGGTTCCAAGTCTTTGCTATTGTGAATAGTGCTGCAATAAACATACGTATGCATGTGTCTTTATAGCAGCGTGATTTATAGTCCTTTGGGTATATACCCAGTAATGGGATGGCTGGGTCAAATGGTATTTCTAGTTCTAGATCCCTGAGGAATCGCCACACTGACTTCCACAAGGGTTGATCTAGTTTACAGTCCCACCAACAGTGTAAAAGTGTTCCTATTTGTCCACATCCTCTCCAGCACCTGTTGTTTCCTGACTTTTTAATGATCGCCATTCTAACTGGTGTGAGATGGTGTCTCATTGTGATTTTGATTTGCATTTCTCTGATGGCCAGTGATGGTGAGCGTTTTTTCATGTGTTTTTTGGCTGCATAAATGTCTTCTTTTGAGAAGAGTCTGTTCATGTCCTTCGCCCACTTTTTGATGGGGTTGTTTGTTTTTTTCTTGTAAATTTGTTTGAGTTCATTGTAGATTCTGGATATTAGCCCTTTGTCAGATGAGTAGGTTGCAAAAATTTTTTCCCATTCTATAGGTTGCCTGTTCACTCTGATGGTAGTTTCTTTTGCTGTACAGAAGCTCTTTAGTTTAATTAGATCCCATTTGTCAATTTTGGCTTTTGTTGCCATTGCTTTTGGTGTTTTAGACATGAAGTCCTTGCCCATGCCTATGTCCTGAATGGTGATGCCTAGGTTTTCTTCTAGGGTTTTTATGGTTTTAGGTCTAACGTTTAAGTCTTTAATCCATCTTGAATTAATTTTTGTATAAGGTGTAAGGAAGGGATCCAGTTTCAGCTTTCTACATATGGCTAGCCAGTTTTCCCAGCACCATTTATTAAATAGGGAATCCTTTCCCCATTGATTGTTTTTCTCAGTCCTGTGCAAAATTTTAACACAGGTCACCTCAGGTGACAATAACAAGAAGAATGACATTAAAGCTGTTTCTTTTTCCAGGTGATTTTTATGGACTGTTAACAGATCACTTATGCTTACTATACTAGTAGACACCCCATGCAACTCCTAACATCCTGAATAATTGCAGTGATAAATTGATGTTATGTCAACCTAAAAAGCATGAAGCCAAGCAAAGGAGTTAATCTCTTATTTTTTCATTTGATCCAGTAAGGTGAAAACTGAGGTTTTTCAGTTTCCTTATGATTTGCCTGCTTCTCCAAGATTGTTTACAATACTTACTTCTTTATATAATTTTTCTTAATTTCTTTCCCTAGAAATTTCCCTATCAGGAAATCCTTTAAGTTTTCTGGGTTCTCATGTTCCTAATAACTGATCATAGTGCTCTTCTCTTTTATAGGAACAGGTGACGTGTCTGATGTTGGCCTAGGGAAGGGACGGTACTACAGTGTAAATGTGCCCATTCAGGATGGCATACAAGATGAAAAATATTACCAGATCTGTGAAAGGTATGGCAGTAACACTAGCCAGTAATAAGTGGATTGCAGTTCTGTAGGATGAAATGGCCCCCATCTCACAATGTAAACAAGAACAATGTAAAAAAGAAAACATCTATATACCTATAAAGCTTTTGTATACTGGTCATTATGCTTATTTGATCAGTAGCTATCCGCTGTATGGCAGAGCCAAGCAGTTGGACCAGAGCCATGCTCCAGGTTGGATCTTACTCAATATGATTAAGCCCATCCCAAGAGCAGAGCTTTTTTTGCTATCCTGAAGAATCCCTTATTTGCTACTTTCTTAGCTAAATAAACCTACATGTGTCTTATTTCATTAACCTGGCAGGGTTCATTTCAGTTGTCAGGGTTCATTATGGAGACCTGTGCTTTCTTCTACTGGTGTAAATATTAGAGAATTGACTATTATTATTCATCATGCATTCTTACCTTCTATCCACTGTGTTAAAATTGGAGTCAGATACCTGTTCTTTCTACACCATGGCTAAGGATTAAGTTACAGACAATCGTAGACAGACAGATTGGTGCCAATGTGTGGACCACTAGAGTTGAAAAGCCTTATGGAATGGGGGTGGGGGGTTGTGTTAAACTCATATTCATAAAAATTGAGATTGGTCAGGCACAAGTGGTGGCAGAGAAAGCAAATCCGAATAGAAGTCAGCCAGTCAACATTACTGAAGGTAAGTAACGGGGATTGAGGTACTCTTGATCCCTCCCCAACTTAGCTCGTATTTCTCCCAACCTCTGGTGGAGGTTCTTCCCAAAGAAGCCTGCCTGCACTGGCCATCATCACTGGCAGTTGTATAAACAAAGCAGAACTATTAAAAAATAAAAACTTTATGCTTCAAAAGTGCTTCTTAGCTCAAGAGATTTGGTGAGCCAAGTCATCATTCAGTTATTCAGCAGCATAAGCCTCTTCATAATTTTGATCATGTCTCCTGGCTACCTCTGTATTATCATGCTGAAAAAACTTTTTTTTTTTTTTTTTGGAGCCTGCCATCAATGGTTTAATTGCCCTTCTTTGTTCCCCTTAAGCTCTCTTCTGTCCTTGAGATGTGCAGATCAGAGCTGCTTATGTAACTTTACCAATAAAGATATCCTGCAGTTCTATGTAAAAGGAGAATTATTTTGTTTTTCTTTTAATCCCTTTCTTAACAGTGCCTGATTTTGTTACCCTTTTTTTTTTTTTTTTACCATAACAGAAAACTAGGTTGTTCTCTTCAGTGCACTGTCCACAGTGTCTCCTCGAGCCCTTTCCTGGGTCTTAATTGAAAGGTCAGCACTCATCATCCAGCAAGTATAGTTTGTAATATCTAGTGCTCCCTAGATGGATCACCCTAAATGGATCACCTTACATGTACCCCTTACAAAGCCCTAAATGGATCACTTTACATGTGCCCCTATTGAAGGTTATCTGCCAATCATAAAACCTCCTGAGATCTTCTTTATCTCCCATCAACTTGGCATTTCACTGCCTGGGAAAGCTGAGTATTATCTGTAGACTTGAGGATTTTCCAGTGCCCACCCCCAAGGAAGTCTATTTATCCTTCTTCAGTCAGAAAAAATATCTGTTTCTACCCTATATTTTCTCTTTTTTTTCTGTAGACCAGTTCCTACTACATGATAAAAAATATTTTAAATCCCATGGTAATTCATGTTTAAAAATAGCCTTGGTATCAAACCTAATCAGAAGCATTTTTAAAGTAAGTTTAGCCCCAAGGAAAAGATCTGTAGAAGATTACACATGATTTCGCTTTACAAAAAGCATGATGCCACCCACATCCCAATAGATTGATGGCTTTTGTGTACAGGAGGCTAGCATTTATTAAAAATTCTTCCAGCTTGCCTACTGAAGAACCAGACACTCATCAGTTTATAGTTCCCAGGGCCCCTTTGCCTGTGGACCCACATTGGCAATGCAAGCCACACAGTGATCATCCAGAATAACAGGTTCCAGGTTTTCATTAGAGGTATAATAATTTTTTTTCTTTGCTTTCCTTCAGAAGTCAAGTCTGGTCAGGGCATTATGTGAAGGCACCTCTGATTCCAAGGGTACCAAGGAGGCTTCCTGGCCCAAACATCTCTCCTATCTGTTGGATTAATACCTGAAATTCCTTTAACAGGAAACATACTTTTATTCTACAATTAGAAATAGTCCTTAAAACGAAATTTTGGCACAACCTCTCATCCTCACCCCTGCTGTACTATAGAAGTATAGTTTCACAGAACCTTTCTTTTTTGGGGTTGTGGACAGGGTCTTCCCCTGTTGCCCAGGCTGGAGTGCAATGGCATGATCACAGCTCACTGCAGCCTTGACCTCCTGGATCCAAGTGATCCCCTTGCTTCAGCTTCCCAAGTAGCTGGGGCAAACAGGCACACGATACCACATCTGGCTAATTTAAAAAAAAGAAACTTTTAGTAGAGATGAGGTGTAGCTTCACAGTGCCATTCTTGAGAATGAATTGTGAAAGGGTCAGAGCATGAGCTCCTTGAGTATTCTGAGGAGCAGGAATTGCCTAGTGGAGCAGTAGAGGGAAAGGGGTACCAAAAACCACAGCGATCTTTGCCAAGAGTTTTGCAGAGGGCCAGCCCTGGTAACTAGATCACTCAGTCCCAGGCATTATGCCTTTGAATACTTCTGGTATGTGGCTTGGAAACAGTCTCTTACACATTTGCCATTGTTACCTCTGACCCTTCTGCCTACCTCAAAAGATATATTACACAGAGGAATGGCTTAATCTTTTTGTAAAAAGTCATTTAGTTTATCTACTATCTTCTTTTCATCCTTTTATTTTATTTTATTTATTTATTTTTATTTTTTTGGAGATGGTGTCTCACTCTGTCGGCGATCTAGGCTCACTGCAAGCTCTGCCTTCCGGGTTCACGCCATTCTCCTGCCTCAGCCTCCCCAGTAGCTGGGACTACAGGCGCCTGCCACCACACCCGACTAATTTTTTTGTATTTTTAGTAGAGACGGGGTTTCACCGTGTTAGCCACTATGGTCTCGATCTCCTGACCTCGTGATCCACCCACCTCGGCCTCCCAAAGTGCTGGGATTACAGGCATGAGCCACCACGCCTAGCCCCTTTTCATCCTTTTTATTTCATGACCCCACTGGTTCTCTGGCTCACTCCTTACTTGTGATGTGTAAAGGACCTCTTATTGCTGGTTCACTTATAAGATGCTCTCATTTTTATTTGCCACCCAATTTCTAGTTTGCTCATAAATTGCTCCTTTTTCCTTTTCCTTCTTTCTTTCTTCTTTCTTTTACTTTTCTTCCTTCCTTCCTTTTCTTGTCTTGTCTTTTCCTTTTCTCCTTTTCCTTCCTTTTCTTCCTTTGTTCTTCCCTTCCTCCCTTTCTTTCCTCCTCTTTTCCTTTCTAAAATGGTTTTTTCCTCTGCTGTAGCCTTTTTTACTTTGCCAGCTAGTCAGGCAGGAACTTAATGGTTTTAGTTTAAGCTTGAACATACCCCCTTCAGTTAAAAATTGGCTTAGAGTTTTTTTGTAATAGACTAGATATGGAATCTTTACATGAACATTTCCTAACACCAAAAGATCTCAAGCTCCATTTTATATAAATGACAGATTTCACAGTGAGATCTCCCTAGATCATTCAATTCTAAGGGCAAGGGCCACTAATTCCCAAAAGCTTCCCATAATTTTCATGAGAGCTGCTAGAGTTGGTATCACAAGTAGAGCCCTGTTTTAACCAGCATAAAGGAACATCATCAACATTGCTCTGGTAAGCATACCTCCTCCTTCAAATGGAAGCCTATAGTCCTAGTATAGAGATGATAGAGGTATACTATATTTTTTATGTATGTGAAGGCCTAAACCTGACCCCACCACCACCCCATCCCCGGGCCACACACGCATATACCCATGAAGGTTGGTGGGAAAGGGAGGCTGCTTTGCGAAAGGAAGGGTTTGCTAATTCCCAAGTTTTATCATCTGAGACAGGAAATATTACGCTGCCTATGTTTAACCCATTTGCTCTCTAAGTATAATATATTTGAATGCAATCTGAGATAGTCTTAATAATGTTTAATCTATTACCTAAAACTCTGTGTTGACAATTTTGGGAGCATTTATAGTTAAGGATTCTGAGAGAAAAGGACACTAACAAGTATGACCTTGCTGTTGGTTAAAGGGAGATTTTGATAAATAGTAGGGCACTATTCTGAAATCTCAAATCTTTCAGGATGACCCAACTACTTGTCCACTCTGAACTTCCATGACATATGTGAAGTTCGAATGAAGAAATTTAGAATTGTGCCAATACTTCTTAATTCTCATCCTACCTATCATTTTATAGCCCTAACAGCCAGAAAGTTTTCTTTACTAAATATCTGATTATCAATAGATATCGCATAAGAAAACCATATATGAAGTGCTTATAATGTGTATGGGTGAAGTTGACAGTTCAAAGTTTTGAAAAACAATCATGTTTTTTTAAGAATATTCAACTATTCAGCTTAGTAATTTCACCAAAAGGAAGATACATTGTTAAACAGACTTCTCAACAAATAGGACTTATAAAAGATTCTATTAAAATGGAGTTCTCATTCAGTAGCAGTGTTTATATCCATATAGGCAAAACTCCACTAGTTAGAGCTACCAACCCATCCAGAGAAATAGCCTTACTCTAGTGAACCAGAGTTCATAATAGTAGTCATTAAAATAAGAACCTACCTGTATTTGGTCCTTGGCCTATTTGCCTTGAGTTCTATGGCTTATATTGTATAGCTCAAAATTGAAAGAAACCTTTTCTTCCCCATCAAAGACTATTAACTTAAAAAAAATTCAGAGACTGCAGAAGTGAATAAACAACTTAAGATTCGTACCTCTTTCCTTTTATGGGAGAAATATTACACTTTTCTATTTTAAATATTTATTTTATAGCTCTTTAACTACTTTTCTGGAACATTAGTTCTGCTGTTAACAGCCTTACCCAAGTAGCCTACCCAGAAAGGATTTGCTCTCTAGGACAACAGCAGAGTCATTAAAGGAATAGCTCATTAAAGCCTAAGTTTTTATTCCTGGGTAGAATCTTTTTGTCTATCTATACTGAGCCCCACTGATACCCAACAAAGAAGAAAAAAATTATAGTATCTTTATATTATATGTTTATGGCATGATAATTTTTCTTAGACTCTGTCATTGCTTCTGAAATATATGTCAGTGGTATTTTAGGCATAGGATCAATTCCTGGGGTCTGGGGCCAAAATTCAGCTCTCTGAAGCCACTCTGACCTTCCTACAAAAGAGTTGAGCACCTCAAGTCACTTTATAAGGTGTGTTAGTCTGTTTTGCATTGTTATAAAGGAATACCTGTGACAGTTATTTATAAATAATAAGAGGTTAATTTGGCTCACAGTTCTGCGGACTGTAAAAGCATGGTGCCAGCATCTGCTCAGCTTCTGGTGAGGCCTCAGGAAGTTTACAGTCGTGATGGAGGGCAAAGGGGGAGTCAGCATATCACACAAGAGGGAGCAAGAGAAAAAGGAGGAAGTTCCAGGTTCTTTTAACAACCAGCTCTTATTAACTCATAAAGTGAGAATTAACTCATTACCATGAGGACAGCACCAAGTCATTCATGAAGGATCCACCTCCAAGACCCTAATACCTTCCACCACGCCCTACCTCCAACATTGGGGATCACATTTCAACATGAGATTTGGAAAGGACACACATTCAAACTATATCAATAGGGTTTTAAAAACATTAACCACAAGAAGGAGAGTTGGGGAAGGAGCTACCAAGCTACATAGTTTATTGTTTGCCTGATGCTGTGCTTAACATTTGACATGCATTCTTGTGTGTGTATCTTTAAGTATAATAAAAGCATTTTATTCATTCATTTGGCCAAAAAATGTATTGTCTCCTCTATGACTGGTACTTGCAAATGAGGCAGATGAGGCTCCTGCACCCTGGAGCTTAACTCTAAGGGAACCCTTGCCTGTGCCAGTAATTACACTAAACATTTACATTGCTTCATTTGATCCCTGCCGCAATCTATAATACCTACTAAAGTAGCTATTAGTATTGCCATTTTACAGTGGGAATTGTAATATGTTCTGATTTCTCATGAGATATGAGAAAACTGGAGAAAAGATTGACTTGCTTAAGGTCTCACAATTAGTAAATGGTGAAGCCTGTGTTTGAACCCACGTCTGTCTGCCTCTTAACTATTGACTATATTGTCCCCAAAGTTGTCACATGGAAGTGAGAAACTTAATGGTTGCAAACAAATTAAAAAACACCATCCCTGGGACTTCTTGGAAAACTTTATCTCAGGGGATTGCAGAAAATCCCCCCCCCCAAAATAGAAACCATTTAACTATGCAAATGAACCACATGATCCACAGTATATGCAATCCATTGTATTTGTTTGTGTAAGTGCAACTTAGATTTTTGCCCAAAAAAGAATTGTTTAATCTCAAGGATTTAATTTGTAATTTTATAGATAGAAAACAAGGATAAATATTGCCAGAATTAACTTCTTAGGTTTTCAATTCCTAAAGTTTGTAAACATGCAGATTCTGTAAAACCACCTTTCCCTTCATTTTCAATGGAGAAAATCCTGACTTCCTACTTTAGAAAGTGAATAGTGTCCCCTGTCATTTTACAGAGGTCTTCTCATGGAATTACATCTTTTTCATGTGGTTGTTTTAGATGAGTATAGCTAAAAATTTTTAACATCATGCATTTTTAAACTATAGGCAAAATTTATACCACCTCTTGGTCCTTGTGGAAGGCCATATCTGCATAAAGGGTAGAGATTCTCCATCCATGCTAAGCTGTTCAACCAGTACCAGTTGAATAAAATGAGGACCAAGGGACATCACTAAAGGGCATTTAAGGGAAGTGTTTCCTTTCACTATTGACTTACTGTTAATATTTAAAGAAGAGATGTTTTAATTATGATAGGTTTTTCTTTCATTATAATAAGTCATCTAGAATTTATCTTCCACCTGGGACTCCAGGTTATCATTCAATTTTAGAAGCAGGTAGGGCTGGGCACAGGTGGCTCACAGCTGTAATCCCAGCACTTTGGGAGGCCAAGGTGAGCAGATTGATTGAGGCTAGGGGTTCAAGACCAGCCTGGCCAACATAATAAAACCCCGTCTCTACTAAAAGTACAAAAATTAGCTAGGTGTGGGATTATAGGTGCGCACCTATAATCCCAGCTACTTAGGAGGCTGAGGCAGGAGAATCACTTGAACCTGGGAGATAGAGGTTGCAGTGAGCTGAAATTGTGCCACTGTACTCTAGCTTGTATGACAGAGTGAGACTCTGTCTCAACAACAAAAAAAAAAGGAAGCAGGTAGATCTTCAGTGAAAGAGAGCCGAAAAAGTGTAATTTACTCCTTTAGGCCTGGTGATGTGGCAAAAGCAATGCATACACACACATATTCATAAATAACTATTTTAAGCGATACAAATTTTTTAAAATTCTCTTTCATTTGATGAGAAGGGATGAACCCTCTAGAAATTTGCATGTGAGAACAAGTAATTATTTAGCCTTCCATCTTCATCCCTGATATGGTCTAGCTTTGTGTCCCCACCCAAATCTCATCTTGAATTGTAATCCAAATTGTAATCCCCACGTTTTGGGGGAGGGAATCATGGGAGGTGATTAGATCATAGGGGCAATTCCCTCATGCTGTTCTCATGATAGTGAGTTCTCATGAGATCTGATAGTTTTATAAGGGGCTTTCCCCCCTTCACTCTGCCCTTCCTCCTGCCGCCATGTGAAGAAGGACATCTTTGCTTCCCCTTCTGCCATGATTGTAAGTTTCCTGAGGCTTCCCCAGCCCTGCAGAACCTCTATAAATTACCTAGTCTTTTTTTTTTTTACTTTAAGTTCTAGGATATATGTGCAGAACGTGCAGGTTTGTTACATAGTTATATATGTGCCATGGTGGTTTGCTGCACCTATCAACCCATCATCTAGGTTTTAAGCCCCATATGCATTAGGTATTTGTCCTAAGGCTCTCCCTCCCCTGGCTCCCCACCCCCTGACAAGCCCCAGTGTGTGAGTTTCCCCTCCCTGTGTCCATGTGTTCTCATTGTTCAGCTCTCACTTATGAGGAAGAACATGCAGTGTTTGGTTTTCTGTTCCAGTGTTAGTTTTCTGAGAATGATGGCTTCCAGCTTCATCCATGTCCCTGCAAAGGACATGAACTCTTTCATTTTTATGGCTGCATAGTATTCCATGGTATATATATGCCACATTTTCTTTATCCAGTCTATCATTGATGGGCATTTGGGTTGGTTCCAAGTCTGCTATTGTAAATAGTGCTGCAATAAACATACATGTGCATGTGTCTTTATAGTAGAATGACTTATATTCCTTTGGGTATATACCCAGTAATGGGATTGCTGGGTCAGATGGTATTTCTGGTAGATCCTTGAGGAATCGCAACACTGTCTTCCACAATGGTTGAACTAATTTACACTCCCACCAACAGTGTAAAAGCATTTCTACTTCTGCACAGCCTCACCAGCATCTGTTGTTTCCTGACTTTACAGCAGCATGAGCACAAGCTAATACATTCCCCATTTCATTACAATCTAAGAACTGATAAAAAATTCTTTACAAACTTATTCTACCTCTCTTCAGTTGGGTCACAGCTACACTACCTTGATAATCACTAGCTCACTGTCGCCCAGTGATTAAGGTAACAGAAGCTGCTAATTCATTCTATAAGCCTTGCACTTTGAACTCAGCCCTCTGTAAGTAAGGTATTTGTGTTAAATGCTTTTGTTCTATTTAATAAACTTTTATCCTGCCTCTCCGGGGTATGGCAGATGTAAAATTACCTGTTGTTCTGGAAAATGGATGACTCAGACACTAATTAAAGTTACTGTTAATATTAGCCACAGGTGGAAATGAGGCCAAAGTGAGCCATTCATTTATTGTTCCTACTTTGATGTGTCTTTTAAAATATTAAATTCAAGAGGCACTAAGTGTGTCAGAATGTAGGATAATTAGGAAGAGGGAGATACTGTGCTTCACTGAGTTATCCTGAAACCTCAGTCAGTGAACTCACCCTGCCTGTCCTCAGGATTTGTTTAGGGTTGCAGTGGCGAACCGGTGTTTTCTCTCACCTAATCCTTAGGGCTTTAAATCCAGGTGGTTAGAGGGACAGTTCTTATATTCTCCTTCCTCTCTCAACTGATGTCTTTTATGACTGTTTGCTGAACTGCACGAAGTAGCCCTGCCATCATGACAGTCCCTCCCACCCTGAGTAAACAAGTCTTCATAGGTATATTGTTTCATTTGTATCAAGGAAGACAGTCTTCTGGAATTCTGTAGGTTTGTGCTGTTTCTCTGATGTGCCTCTTCTCTGGTCTCTTGTTATGCTGACTGATCCCTGCCTCCTGGAGCAAGTGACCTGATTCTTTGGCAGCAGTTGAATAAGTTCTGATGCTAGAACATGTTCTGAAGCTCTCCAGAGACAGGAAGACCTTGCTCCTAAATGGAAATCTTGAAAATTACACCCTTTAACATAACTCTGCTCTGAAAAGAACCCCAGACTTGACTATAATCTGGGCTTCATAGGATATTCTAACATCAAAATTCATATTATTCCTCTCAGCTGCTCTCCACCATGCACCCCACTAACCTCTGCCCTAATCCTCTCTCTCCCACATTCTTTAGTCACTGCTCTGTCCCTTCAGTGTAGCCTAGAAAAACTACTGTTTACGTTTTGCTTCGACATGTTATGGCTTTGAACGACTGTGCCTGACATTGCCATACACCTAGCAGCTGCCGAGACTGATGAGCTGCCTCGTTGGGATGTGTTGACAAGGACTATACAGAGATTTAGTTAAACCCAGTGTCCAGCACCTGATGAAAAAGCCTGATGTTACGTTGGCTGGACTTTGCTCTGTGTGCACTGTTAACCCATTGTACTACCAGGAAAGAGCCATGTCCATTGGTACTTAAAGAAGAACTAAAGGGCCGAGCACAGTGGCTCACACCGGTAATCCCAGCATTTTGGGAGGCTGAGGCGGGCAGATCACTTGAAGTCAGGAGTTCAAAACCAGCCTGGCCAATCTGGTGAAACCCCGTCTCTACTAAAAATACAAAAATTAGCTGGGCTTGGTGGTGCGTGCCTGTAGTCCCAGCTACTTGGGAGGCTGAGGCAGATTGAATCGCTTGAAAACCCAGGAGGCGGAGGTTACAGTGAGCCGAGATCACGCCACTGCACTCCAGCCTAGGTAACAGAGCAAGACTCCGTCAAAAAAAAAAAAAAAAAAGGACTAAAGGAAAGAACTCCTCAAAAAAAGCTATATCAAATAACCAGCTAACAAGTTAATAAGCAAAAGGGCACGTGTGTGTGCCAGGGGCTAAAAGCAATGTGTTTGCCTGGAGGTGATGCAAGTGCCATTGCATAGTGAGCCAGAAGCTAAGGGGTTTGTGTGCGCCAGCTCCGTGTTGAGGGGGATGGAGGAATAGAGAGGGGAGGGAGACCATCTTAAACGTGTTAGGGGTGAAGTGGAAAAATATCTATCCTATTTAAATACAGGCAAGCCTCACTAACTCAGCCTAATTAGAGGAAAGCCAGTCTGAATCATGGGATATTTTTAAATGCATTTTTATTACTTTCAAGCACTGGACATGCTAGTAATTCAAACTAGACTAACAGCATAGTACAGCACCTCAGGGAAGGGGCTTTAAGAATCATTTGTAATTAGCATATCAATTATTTGTATGTAAGTGGATATGCACAAAGTGCATAAAAAGTTTATTCTCCTAAGTAGGACAAACATTCCCCCGTGCAGTCCTGTTTACACTATTAATTTGCTTAGCCAGCCCTTTTTGTGCCAAGATAGATGTATGTAAGAAATGCTTATTTCCTCAGGGAAGAATGAATCGCTTCCCTGTGTTTAGTCCAGTAACTAAGAAGCGGAGCGCCACTTGATTGGTTTGGGATTTCCAGGACATGGAGTTTTGAATTTGCATACAGACTAGAGAGATTTCATATGGAGAAGATCTGGCAGCCATTGCCAGAGATCCAGTTTCCCCATCTGGATTTCATTGAAGTGATCTGGATTTCATCAAGCAACAGGACACTGATCCTAAATGATCCACCAGACACTCTAACATAGGCATGTTTAACATACATCCTGCCCTAGAAAAATAACTGTTAAAATATGATGAGTTGGAGTTATTCTATGTGCAGTACTTAAAAGTAATAAAAATGCATTTCTTTTTAAGTCCCACAAAAACCATGCAATGTCAAGTTAATGATGAAAATCAATCCCCAAACTCTTTCTTGCACACCTCATTGTATGACGGCATTGCAGAGATTTCCAATCATCTGGGAAAGGATATTATATTTTGATGAGCTGCACCAGGTGCTAACTATATGGCAGAATTTCGGCTTTGAATCTTAGGGAGGCCCTCAGGGGTAAAGAAGAGTGAGGGAAGGGCTAGGAGCATGTTTATTGTTAACAAATCACTATTGTTCACCTAAGCTTGAAAAGTGAGCAATTGAATTGGAAAAGAAGAGGTATCAGTTATATAAGGAAGGTAGAAAATGTGATTAGGAAATGAGAAACAGAGATATAGGCCTTTATTCCCACCCGTATGTATTAAACTGTGCTCTAGGTAAATTGTGAATTCTTCAAGGCTTAGAGAGTAAAAACTAAGGCAGAGAGCATAAGCACAAGCAGTAAATATACACGTAAATGTTCTAACTATAGTTTGGAATGACTCCAACACTCCCCTTTCCCCCAAGGGCATCGCTATCCAGGGTCTGCAAAGGCCAAATAGCTGTTTGGCTTCCAATCTGATTTTTTGCCTAAGAAATCAGAGAAGTCGGTTTCAATTTTAATAATATATTCTCCCAACCTCTATATAACAGAAAGGCACTTGTGTTTCTGTCCCTTCTTAAAGCGAATTTTGTGTTTGGTGAAAGGTAATAGATTGACAGCACTGGAAAATGAATTACTGTATTCCCAGAACAGGTATAACCGGGCAGTGACACGATGAAATTTCTCTCTGCCTTTGGGGACCATTAGAATACTATTCAGGAAGTCACTGCTCTGGTGTGCTGTGCTGAACTCACCAGTATCCTAGTGGGCTGAAAGAATTAACATAGCACTCAAAGGGCCTGACTTGAGGCCATTCATTTATTCATTCAATGTTATGGAGTGCTTACTATATGCCTGATGCTGGGAGAAGACTTTCACAAATGTTATATCATTTAATCCTCACAATAACCCTGTGAGGGAGAGAATATTATTGTTTTACAGAGAAGGAAACTGAGGTTCAGGGAAGTGATTTGTCCAAGTTGCTATACAAACACTGAATCCAACCTTATCTGACTCCAAATTCAGCATTCTCCCTGAACTGAGTGCTGTAGGGGTTGCAAAGGGGGACAGATGAGACATTTGGTCAAATGATGTGACACAGAGCAGAATGCAGTCTACACTATGAGCAGTCCTGGTAGTTACAGAGCAGTTAAATGACATACCCCAGATCAAATAGCACAGATAGCCTTAGGATTCATATTCTTTAGGTCTTCTTCCATTTTTTGTTTTTCAGCTTAGCTCTCCAAACCAGCCTACCACTTTGCCCACCCTACCCCCTGCCCAGATAATGTACACTCTGCTTGCTAGGTCCTCTGGCCTCTCAGAATGAAGATAGCCAAAGACCATTGGGATTTAGTAACAAGAGCATTGCATTCGAATTAGAATTAGTGTTCTAATTCTAGCTCTGACGATTCACTTCAGGCCACTGGTAAGGTGCCATGAAAACACTGGATGACTTTAATTCTGGATGACTCACTTTCCGTTGTGTGAATGAGAATGGTTTACTTCTAAAAGGTATAGTGAGAGATAAGTAATAATATGTTAAAAATAGTATGCAGCCCTTTCTGTTGCCAAGGTGACACGTAATTGATGAGTAGAATTACCTACTACAAGGCGTGTTAGAATGCCCGTTAGAATCTATGTTTCTATATAATAGACTCAGCAGTGAGAGAAAAGATGCCCCTTTAAAACGTTAAGAAATTACGTTACGAAAATTAAAACAGCGAAAGGGATATGAGGTTGTTTGCTGGTTGGTTGGTTGTTTGGTTGGTTGGTTGGTTTGGGAGTTTAAGGTTTGTCTTTTATTTTATGGATTTGTTTTTTTTTCTTTCATGTTTTTAGAAGTTCATGGAACCAGTACAGCTTGTTTGATGCTAAAAGCAGAAAAAGAAACTTACAGAAAATTAAATGTCTTCTGAATATGTCCAAGAGGCACCCATGTTCTCCAACAAAATGACACATCATGCTCACTGCAAGGCAGCCTCCCTCCTCCCAAATCCCTGCATCCCTGAACCATTTGTAATAGATATTCAGAAGTCACTGAGGCATTTACCATATGCTGCATCCCCTGGCAGGTTGAGTTGTTGCAGAATGAGTCAGCAGTACCTGAGCTCAGATAGGATTGAGAGAATTTAGAGAAAACATACCTATGGAAAGTTGAACGGCTCCCATTTGGGACTGACTAGTAATACTTTGGGTCCTTAACACAGTCTGCCTCTCAATCCCATCAAATGCAATAGGTTTAAAATTTATGTCTTAGAAAGGGGTTTTGCTGCTGGCAATAACTTTTCTCAGGCTGACATTGAGAATTCAAAGCGTTAGTAGCAAATATTTTTCTCTTCTCTCCTTCTGCATCCTACCCTTCTTGGTTTTTCAACTTTGAATTTCTCATTCTTTAATCTCTATTGAGGGAGTCTCTAGAGGGTGCTGAGAGTGTCTGTTGGAAAGCATGAAGATGACAAGGCTGGTTTAGACTGGTGCGCAATCTAGAAAGTCAGGAGACTAAACCTTCTGGGAGCATGAACCCATCAGAGGTCTTGCTAGAGGGACAAGTTAGGGTTACCAGACCCCACCACCAGTATCGGTTAAGGGTGACTATAACACCATTGCTCTGGCATCCCATTGCCCTGAGATGAATCTTTTAGGATATTGATTATCTAAATAACAAAAAAACCACAAAACATGTTCAGCCCCTGATATTAAAGGTAAAGAAGCACCAGTGAAAGATCTCAAAGGCACACAGTAGAAGCTGTGTTCTACCCTGATGGAATCAAAGAAAAGGGAGTAACTCTACGATTTTGTTCTTGGGCTTTTCTTTTATCCAAAAGCATCATTAATGTCACCACTCTGGCTTTTATCCTCCTCAGGTACGAACCTCCTGCCCCAAATCCAGGCCTGTAGAAGCAGCTGCCGCAGCTTGTCTTCCCCATTTGCATAGCCTTGTCTGAAAACTAGACTGCTGAATACTGAAGGATCAGGTTTCTCATCAAGAAAACTGCATTTTAAATGAATATCTTGTATGTTTATAGGGAAGTTACTAATGTAGTATAAAGAGATGCCTGTCCTCCCCCTCCTTTCTGGATAAGAGATTTTATACTTTCACAAAACGAAAAATTAATGATTTGCAGTGTAGCAAACAGTACTGTTACAGTGGTTAGGGAAACTTTCCCAAAAGCAATCTGGAGTGACATTTCATTCATGTATTCATTTAATGACTATTTATTGAATGCCTACTATGTATAAAGTATTGATTCTACCCTCGAGGAAGTTAGTGGAAATTTTTAAATGTTAGATAAATAAATAGAGATTGATTTTCATATTCACACACATTTAAATAAATAAAACATAGAAAATTGTAAGAACCATAAGAGATAGAATGCTGTGGGTATTCAAAGAGAGAAAATACTTCAGAAAAAGGCGTAATTGAGGAGGTAACATTTGATCTGGTTTCTAAAGGGTAGCTAATTACTCTATCTTTACAAAGTGTGTGAATGTATATGAGTGTTTATAAAATCTGGGTCAAGTTTGAATATACAGAGATTGTAGGGAAGGATGTTCTACACACAGGGTACAGCAAGATCAAAGTTGGGAGAGACTGAGCTATGTACAAAGAATAGCAGTGGTTTTAGTTTGGCTGGACTGTAAAGTGCATGGAGGAGAAGTTGCAAAGAAGATTGGAAACCTGGGTGGGAACCACATCACGGAAGAGCTGGAATTCTTAGCTATGAAAATTTGTACCATATTCTGTAAACATTTTGGGAGCCACTGAAGGTTTTAGAATGAGGGAATCATAAGATCAAAGCTTGCTTGGGAAGATTAACACTCTTCCCAGTAAAGTTTTGGCAACAGCATCTGCTGTTATATTGACATAATGTGGGTAAAGTGGCTGACATAGTATCTGATGCATAGGAGCTCAGTAAGTCATGGAAGCAGATATACTGTAGTGGTTTAGAGCAAAAACTCTGGTGCCTGGATGCCTGGGTTCAAAAACCAGCTCTGCCACTTAATAGCTGTGTGATTTTGTACAGATTTCTTAACCTCTCTGTATGGCAGTTTCCCCATCTGTAAAATAGGATTAAAAATAATACCTGTTATGAATTATTATGAGGGTCAAATGAGTTAAGACATGTAAAATACATAGAACAGTGCTCTATTCTGAATAAAGTTCTCAATAAATGTTAGCTGTTGTCATCATTATTATCATTCTCATTCATGGAGGAGATAAAATTTAAGCTAGCCTTTAAAGAATGGCTGTGATGTAGACATGTAGAAAGGTAACTTTCAGGCACAAGTAAGTACACGACAAAAGGCATACTTGCAAGAAAATACGAGGTGAGTGAGGTGAACAATGGAGAGTTCAGTTTGCCTATAGAATAATATAGGTTAAGGTGTTATTGGAAAATAAGATTTTAAAGGTAGGCCATAGTCAGATTACAAAGCACTTTGGATCATAGCCTAAGAATATTAAGTGTTCTCTAAAGACAATGGAGGGACATTAAAGGTTTTTGAATTAAGAAGTAACTTTATCAAAACTATATCCCTAAGGAAAATTAATTTGATGGTTTTGTGTGTGAAGGATTGGAGAGGGAAGAGACTTGAGGCAGGGAAACTGATTAGGAAGCTATTGGTGTAATCCATGAAGGTGGTCATAAGGGCTAGATTAGAGTACTGCAGTGGAAGTGGAGAGGAAGGAATAGGAGAGAGATTGGTGGAAGACTGGTAATTGGAAAGGAACAGGAAAAGGGAGGAATCTGAAAGGGTGACTTTCAAATTCCTCAGTTTTGAACATGGGTGACTGAAAAGATGGATATCATTAACAGAGTCAGGGAATAGAAGAGGTAAGATGACAGGTTTAGCATAGTCAAAATGGAGCTGTAAATCACAGCTGACTTCTCTTCACAAATTGACATATCTGATCCTAAAATGTATCCAGAAATTCAACCCAGAATAGCAAAAGCAATCTCGAAACAGAAGGACAAAGTTAGAAAACTCAAACTTCTCAACTTTAAAACTTACAACAAAACTACAGTAATCAAAGCTGCATCTTGCTGGCATGAGGACAGACATATAGATTAATGGAAGAGTTCAGAGTCCAGAAATTAACCCCCACAATTATAGTCAATTGATTTTACACAAAGGGGCCAAGACCATTCAATGGGGGAGAGGACAGTCTTTTCAATAAATGATGATAGGACAACTGGATGTATCAATATACAAAAGAATAAAGTTGGGCCGGGCGCGGTGGCTCACGCCTGTAATCCCAGCACTTTGGGAGGCCGAGGCGGGCGGATCACGAGGTCAGGAGATCGAGACCATCCCGGCTAAAACGGTGAAACCCCGTCTCTACTAAAAATACAAAAAATTAGCCGGGCATAGTGGCGGGCGCCTGTAGTCCCAGCTACTTGGGAGGCTGAGGCAGGAGAATGGCGTGAACCCGGGAGGCGGAGCTTGCAGTGAGCCGAGATCCCGCCACTGCACTCCAGCCTGGGCGACAGAGCGAGACTCCGTCTCAAAAAAAAAAAAATAAATAAAATAAAATAAAAAATAAAGTTGGACCCTTACCTCGCACCATATATAAAAATTAATTTAAAATAGATCAAAGACTTAAATGTAAGAGCTAAAACTATAAAACTCTTAGATGAAAACATAGATGTAAATTTTCATGATGTTGAAATAGGAAGTGGTCTCTTGGATATGACACCAAAAACATAAGCAAAAAAAGAAGAAATAGATAAATTGAATTTCGTCAAAATTTAAAACTTTGTGCTGCAAAGGACACTATCAAGAGAGTGCAAAGATAACCCACAGAATGGGAGTAGATATTTGCAAATCATGTGTCTGATAAGAGACATATTTAGAATATTTTAAGAACTCTTACAACTCCATATTAAAAAGACAACCCGGTTTGAAAATGGGCAAAGGGTTGAAATAGATATTATTTCAAAGAAGATACACAAATATCCAATAAGCACATGAAAAGATATTCAACTTTATTACTAATCAGAAAAATGCAAATCAAAACCACAGTGAGATGCTACTTCACACCCACTAAGATGGTTATAATTAATTTAAAATGAAACAAAACAAAAAATAGCAAGTGTTGGTGAAGATGTGGAGAAATTGGAACCTTCATACATTGCTGATGGGGATGTAAAATGGTGTGGCCCACTGTGGAAAACAGTCTAGCTCTTCCTCAAATGGTTAAACATAGAGTTGCCACATGACCCAGCAATTCTACTCCTAGGTATATATCCCCAAGAGAATTGAAAATGTGTCTACACAAAATTTGTACATGTATATCTGTAGTAGTATACTATAGTGGCATTATTAATATCAGCCAAAAAGTGGAAATAACATCAACTGATGAATGGATAAAATGTGGTCTATCCATGCAATTGGATATTATTCAACCATAAAAAGGAATGAAGTACTGATACATGCTACAACACAAATGAACCTTGAAGACAGTCACAAAAGAAAACATTATATGATTCCACTGATATGAAAGGTCAAAATTAGACAAATTCATAGAGACAGAAAGTATATTAGTGGTTGCCAGGGGCTGGGGGTTGGAGAGTGTTGGGAATAGATAGTGACTGGTAATGGGTTCAGGGTTTCTTTTGAGGACAATGAAAATATTCTAAAATTCATTGTGATGTTGTGTGCACAACTCTTTGAATATGCTAAAAGCCATTGAATTGTACACTTTAAATGAGGGAATTGTATAGTATATGAAGATCAATAAACTTATTTTAAAATTACTTTTAAAATATTTTTTTCCTGGAACTGTAGCCCCTGATAACCAGCTGCAGATTTTTTAGTAGAATCAACTGTCAGTTGCTTCTAAGAAGTTTGAAAAAGATAACAGAGAAAAGGCTTTTGGATATGGTAATCGAGAGGTCTCTCTACCTTTAAGAGAGCAATTTCAGGAGAGCAGTAAGATCAGATCCTGGATTGCAAGAAGTATGTATAGGCGGCCAGTATGTGGATAAGTTGGACAATGCTGAGAAGAAAGGGAGGGATAGATGGGCGACTTTTAACTTATAACCTACAGGAACTGAATCAGCAGGAATTCAGGGACTGAAGATGTAAGAAAAGAGCTCATTGGTGATACATGACCCTTAAAGCAACAAAAGAGGATTTAGTGCTCACAGGGATAAATTAAGCTGGAAAGGTAGAAGAAATATGATGGAGGACATTTTCAGGTAGAGAAAAGAGGTAAAGGCACTCATTACACATAGCTTCAACCAGTTCCGTCCAGTATGAGACAGAAAAAGTTTGATCTAGAAAGATACACAACAAACTATGAATCAGCAGTTACCTCTGGGGTGGAAGTTGAGATGGAAATAGGGAGATTTTTCACTTTTATTTGATAGACCTTTATGTTGTATTTATGTATGTATGTATGTATGTATGTATGTATGTATGTATGTATGTATGTATGTATTTGAGACTGTGTCTCACTCTGTGGCCCAGGCTGGAGGGCAGTAGTGCGATCTTGGCTCACTGCAACCTCCGCCTCCCAGGTTCATGCGATTCTCCTGCCTCAGCCTCCCAAGTAGCTGGGATTACAGGTGCCCACCACCACGCCCAGCTAATTTTGTATTTTTAGTAGAGATGAGGTTTCATCATGTTGGCCAGGCTGGTCTCAAACTCCTGACCTCAAGTGATCTGCCCGCCTCGGCCTCCCAAAGTGCTGGATTACAGGTATGAGCCACCGTGACCGGCCATGTTTAATTTTTTATATCAAGAATGTCCTCTCATTATATTTGTATTTTTCAAAAATTAGACTAGCTGCTGTAAGAAATGTAATTCTTCATCACTTGGAGGTAAAGTGAAACGTGGCCAAGCTGTAGAGAGTGTGTGGCCCATATTAATCACTCAATTAATGTTTGTAGAATTTGTTGAATTGAAGTTATAAGCATAAACTCTAATGGAAGCAATTCACTTGATTTCTCAGCTTCCTCCAGCAGAACAGAGAGAAAATTCTGATGGTGTGGTTCATCCAAGGGTTTAAGGACTGACAAGGCAAAAATGGCAAAGGTGTGAGGGAACTAGGGTGCTAAAGTAAGTTTTCAAAATGACTAATCATATTCTCCAGAATAAGTAATGAAGCACATGAAGTCAAAAGATAGGCTGAGCTGGGCATGATGGCTCACGCCTGTAATCCCAGCATTTTGGGAGGCCAAGGTGGGAGGATCGCTTGAGCCCAGGAGTTCGAGTCTAGGCTGGGCAACAAAAAAAATTAAAAATTAGCTGGATGTGGTGGCCTATAGTCCCAGCAACTTGGGAAGCTGAGGTGGGAGGACTGCTTGAACCCAGGAGGTCAAAGCTGTAGTGAACCATGATCATGCCACTGCACTGCAGCCTGGGTGAGAGACTGAGACCCTGTCTCAAAAGACAAAAAATTTATAGGATGGTGTACTTTGAAAATAGGAAAAAAAAAACTAGGGAATAGGAGTTACAGTAAGAATAAAGACCAAATACAATAGGAATTGGAAAGATAGAAAATTGTAGATGGAGAAACTAGTTCAGAGTTCAGGGCCTTAGAAGAAGAGCAATTCCAAGTGCTTCTTTATCAGGCCCCAAAGTGTGTCTATGACAAGGAATAAAGTAGAGTGCAGGTGGACATCACTATTGTTGAAAAGATAAAGGAACTCTGATGTTAGAGAGTTAGAACAGGCAGGGGGAAAAAATAGGTCTCTTGTTCAATACTGTGAACCCATTGCCCAACGTAGTACCTATAACAGGCATTCAATTAACATTTGTTGAATGAATGAATGAATGAAATGAATGAATGAATGAATATTATAGCACTTATCACAGTTACTTGTTTTCCTGTTTTCCTCCCCTAGTGGACCAGAAGCTTCCTGAGTATTGCTTATTTCTGTGTCTCTAGTATTTGAATCAAGGTTTGAGTGAGGGAATGAATATTGAACTGCAGAAAATGATGACAAGGAAAGGCAGAATGAGAAAAATTGTGAACGAGGTGCTAAAACCCCCAAGGGAGGTGAAAGATAAGAACTTTCATAGTATTTGAGTAATATTATCAAATGACATTGACTCAAAAGAGGGAGCGATTGATGAGAGGAAAGAATGTTAGATTTGGAAGTGGCAATAGGAAAAATAATATTCCAATTTTTTTTTCCGTCCTGGGAATTCTGGAGGAATTGGCACAGTGTTTTCTTCTTTGATGCTCCACTCCTACTCTGTCAATTAGCCCTCCCAATGTTTTTCCAAATTTACCTTACCTTGCTTCCTGCTGCCATCATGACTAGAATGCTTCAATACCCTTTTTGCCAACCCCTGTGGGGTTGACTTCGTCACGTTGACCCTACATGCAAGAGCAAAAAGCTAAGTTCCTAAGCATAATTTTTCAGCAACATTAGTACTTACCTCTTACTTCTCCAATGGTTTCCATTTGACTGTCAAATCAAATGAAAACTTCCAGTCTTGAATTTAAAAGTGTTCACAATCCAGCCCTCTGTAAGCTGCCCTTACTTCAGTTGCTTTGAAGTTTGCACTATGTACAAGATGCCCTACCTTTCTGAAAGCTTCTTATCAACCTTTTCAATACCCATCCAGAGCCCTCTTTATCAGAACTCCTTGAGGACTCATTTTCCCTACCTGGCTATAATCAAAACAACTACTCCAGAAACACCTGCCTGCCTTTATCCTTTCCTCTCTCCTAAATACCAAACACTCATAAATGTTATATGTATATGCTTTTCTTGTGTGTCACTCTGTATTACCCGATCAATTCTACCATATAAATTTCTCCCAAATCTATCTCTTCCTCCTTATCCTTGCTGTCACTGGCCTGGATGGTTGCAAAAGCCCTCATCAACCTTCAGGGTATCCTACAATAGAGCTTGAGTATCTTTAAAATGGAAATCTAATTATGCCTTCAAAGCACACACACACAGATGCACACATGCACCCACACAATGTTTGAGACATTTTGTACCCTTTAAGCAAAAGTCCAAACTCATTAGCCTGCCGGGCATATATAGCCCACGTTTACCTCTCTAGCCTCATCCCACCACTCCCGCTGTCAAGCCTTCATGTTTCTGCATGCATACTTCCTTCTCCGGACTTAGTCCCCTACCAGTAACCCCACAATCATCTCTGCCTCCAACTTCCCTATCGTCACCCTACATACCTATAAATTTCTATACTTTTAAAAAAACTTTTATTGCACAATAATCACAGATTCACAGAAGGTTGCAAAAAAATGTACAGGGAAGTCCCATGTACCCTTCTTCCAGCCTCCCCCAATGTTGACATCTTATACAATTATATTACGGCATCAAAATGAAGAAGTTGATATTGGACATTGGTACAAGCCATAGAGCTTATTTAGATTTCACCAGCTATATATGCACGTGTGTGTGTGTGTGTGTGTGTGTGTGTGTGTGTAGCTCTATGCAATTTTATCACACATGTAGCCTTGCATAACTACAACCACAATCAAGATACAGATCAGTACCATCACCACAAGGTTCCCTCATGCTACGCCTTTATAGCTACATCCATCCCTAACCCCTGGCAACCAACTAATCTATTCTCCACCTCTGTAATTATTATTTTGCAAATGTAATATGAATGGGCTCATGCAGCAGATAATCTTTTGAGATTGGCCTTCTTGACCCAGCACAATTCCCTTGAGAGCCACCCAGATTTTTTGCATGTATCAATAGTTTGCTCCTTTTTATTAATGAGCAATATTCCAGTGGCATGGTTGTACCAGTTTGTTTAACCATTTATCTGTTGAAATACATCTGGGTTGTTTCCAATGTTTGGCTATTACAAATTGAGCTGCTACGAACATTCATGTACAAGTTCCTACACAAAAATAAGTCTTAAATTATCTGAAATACATTGCCCAAGAGTACAATTACTAGGTCATATGGTAAGTCTATTTTTAGTCTTAACAGGAACTGCCAAACTATTTTCCAGAGTGGCTACACCATTTTACGTTCCCACCAGCAAGATATGTTTGTGATCTAGTTTCTCCACATCCTTACCAGGAATCGTTGTTACCATTTTTCATTTTAGCCATCTTGAGAGTTGGCTCAGTGTAGTTC
The DNA here is from genome assembly GCF_000001405.40 of Homo sapiens. NCBI lineage: Eukaryota > Metazoa > Chordata > Mammalia > Primates > Hominidae > Homo > Homo sapiens. The sequence goes on along the minus strand of NC_000023.11, from coordinate 72,466,509 downwards.
TCATCTTTTAGGACCTAAGTCAAGAGTTACGTCTGTAGAGCCTTTTTAAAATCCTCAGGAAAAGTTGATTATTCCCTACTCTGTGCCATTTCTGACACTTCATTTGTCGTTGTATTTTAATTATTTATTGACATAGTCTGTGTCTTTCCCTCTATTTCCGGGCTACATGAAGCTAGGGGTTGTGTCATATTCATCTTTATTCCTGCAGCATCTGGTACAGTTACATGCTGGGCACACAGTGGATGCTCAGGAAAATGTGTGGTAAGTGAGGGAAAGAATGAATGAACAGAACATTAGTCTTGTTGCCTCCCCCTCCTCCTCCTTAAGCTAGAAACCTTTTTAGAACAGACATCACGCCTTCCTCTGTATCTCCCAGCAGCAGCTAATAGGGTGCTCTGTACATGTAGATGCTCAATAAATGTCGTCTAAACTATTCAGTTAGCTTATCTTCCCTCTGCACCCAGGAGATAAGCATATGAAAGAGAGAATAGGCCCAAGTATCCTTGTATTAAGGATCATATGTCATTATTTTTATAATATTCTTATAATCTCTATGATCACTCAATATTTTTCTGTGTAGATGAGAAATCAAAACAAAACAGTCCTTTGAGTCAAAGAATGCCTCTGTGGGTGAGCACTATTCAATAATTTCAATACCCTTGTTACATATGGATTTGGGAGAATGGCTTTTTATGTCCCTGAATTCTTTTTGCATTTTCAGAAAGATCTGGGATTTTTCTGGTCTTGCTGCACTGGTGTAATTTGACATGTTGATTATGAAGAGGTCATTAACCTCAACATTTTTTATCACTTTTTGACTCTGGATTTTCTCAACTCTGATGTATCTTAATTTACACTTGTTTATACGTCTCTGTAAGAGTTATTCAGGCCCTTGAGGGCTGGTATATATTCTGTCTGGAAAGTAGATTGTAAGCCCCTTGAGAGCAGGGACTTTATAACTCCTAAAAATGCATTCTGGACACTGCCAGTGTTCAATTAATGATAATACTGAAAGCTTGACTAAGGTCATCTGTCACATTGACATCTTCCTTTTCATCTACAAGGGTTCTATCAAAAAAAAAAAAACAGCTAGGTTGAGTAGGTAGCACTGAATGATTCTATCCAAAATTATGCTCATTGTTACACTACAATTTGTTCTTTAGGGTGCTTTCAGGTTTATAATTTTAGATCAGTTGTTACAGTTACCTTCCCTACAATACCCTGGTTACATATGCATTAGGGAGGATTGCATTTCATAACCCTTTAGTCCTTTTACATAATAAAAACTTACCTGATAACATCTATGCTTGTAAAGCATGTAATTCTTCTCCCCAGCCCCCACTGAGAACCAGGTGATTAAACTCCAAGTATGGTCCTCATCTTAAATAACCAGAAAGAACCCTTAATGACTATTCAATGTATATCTTATTTTCCCAGATTTTAAAATGGACTAAATGTGTATACTGTGTCCTATGGCTGTTGAAGTTAAATTAATATGAATATTTCAAGGAAGTCTGAATTTTAAAACAGAAGGGCAGATGTGTTCATTGATGAGCGTGGAAGTAGAGGGAAATTTTTTTGTAAGTCAGGTTTATTAAGGTATCATTTACATGTAGTCTGATTCACCTCTCTTAAGTGGAAAGTTTGATGAGTTTGACAGGTTGTGTTTTTTTCCCTTAACTATTTGCTAATTCAATTATACCTCCAACTTGCCCTACCACCACCACTACCCCTAGACCAAACTGACCTATATTTTGTATCCTTTCTATTTTATATAGTGTACTAAAGGAAGTATACCAAGCCTTTAATCCCAAAGCAGTGGTCTTACAGCTGGGAGCTGACACAATAGCTGGGGATCCCATGTGCTCCTTTAACATGACTCCAGTGGGAATTGGCAAGTGTCTTAAGTACATCCTTCAATGGCAGTTGGCAACACTCATTTTGGGAGGAGGTGAGTATAAAGGAAGGTTACCAGAATTTGTTGACCTTCCTCCACATTTTGTCCATTGGCACTGAACTTGGAAAACTTGGCTTTCTTGCATTGGATAATACCAACCTACCTGAGGCCCAGAAGCCTGAGTCAATAAAATCTGCCACCTCCACAGTTCAGAATAAGAAAATACTCTGACACACTTCTCAGCTTAGCATGTGCATTGACTTCTTGGCACTCTAAAGTCTAAATTTCAATTCCTGAAGCAAAGATCCTCTGGTTAAAGGTTACCTCGAATCTTAAAAATAGAGGATGTTAACCCCGGTAGACTTTGATCCACCTTCTCTCAGTGTAGTCTTTGATTTTCAGTTCTAATAATCATCTTTTGGGAACATGTCACTGAAATTCCAACTCTACTTGTATGTAAGTAGTAAACACACAGATTAATTAAATAAGCTGAATTCAAGAATGCCTCTTCCCCCAAAAAGCATGGATTTGTTACAGTGAAGCAAAATTGAGAGATCTATAGTCTCTTGGGCATTCTTGCCTTTGGTGTGTGCTGATTATTTGTATTACTTAGCCAAAAGAAAGCCCGGTCTATTCAATAGTAGCATTTAAACATTTGAGAAAAGAACTTGTCACAACATCTACCACCTTTAAAGATGCCTTGCTTAAAATCTTCTGTCTACCTACCTGGCACAATCTTTATTTCATTGGATGAATAGATTGGTGTGTTAAAATAACATGGTCAAGCAGATTGAGCTTAAAATGCATATATTATAGAAGAGCTAATTGTTGGTTGTTTTGTCAACCTGTTAGAGGAAATTGTGGGGAGGCCTTATTAAATGAGTGGGCATTCAACACAAGTACACAAGCCTTGTCCTTTGGCAGCCTCAAACTCTAGAAGGCTCAAAATTAAAGGTACTTACAAGAGACAACCTCTTATGAAAAGCTGGCAAGAAATATATTAACTTCAACTGAAGAAAAAGATAAAATTGATAAGTACTGTGTGACATATTACTTTTCTTGACAGCACTAAGGATGGTGATTATGATACAGGTACAGCTAAGGAGGGGGAAGAGACCTTTCTACCATATACATCAGGTTAGAACCTGACTTTTGTTTGAGGCTATAATCTTTACATTAAAAGCCTGTTAGCATTCTCTAAAGCCTTTTTGTTTTCTCAGCCCAAAGTTTTGACATTTGAATATATAAGTCTTCTTAGGAAATATGTGTATTCCTGAAAACGCTTGTGCATAAATGGAATTTTTGCAAATCAAATCATATTGTATATGTACCAGAGATAGTTTACTACCTAAGCAAAACCTATAGTGACCTTTTTTTGAAATTAAATACTCATGCCGAATAAGTCTATCTTATAAAGTCAGATTTTTCCGTGTCAGGAGTATTTAAAGTAATACCTGTACTATCTAACTGAAATTCTCAGCCCTATTAACACACAATTCGTAGAGGGAGCCACATCCCCAAGCTTCAGTGGACCCCATTGAGACCTAAAAGACATAGTCAAAGCATCCGTGACCTTTCAAATAGTAGAAAAGCTTAAGAAAAGAGTGACCATATGTCCGAGTTTATACATGTTATCCCAGTGTAATGATTAATAGTGCCCTCTTTTACTTTTAAAAGTATACCATTTTGTATGATAATTTATATGGTCACCCTATCTAAAATAGACCAGATTCTGTTTCCCTTAGGCTGCGTTGAGATTAGGAAATCATTCCATTTTACCCTTATACTCTTAGAATTTAGCTAAAGGCCAATGTTCTAATGCTTGCATGGCAGAGCACATCTATTCAGCACAAAAATGTGCTGATTATTAGCCAGTATAATATGGCCGTTGGGTGACTGTGACAGGACCTGACGAGATGGGTCAGAGCATCCATCAACGGTCCCTTCCTCATCTCACTCTCTTTGATCTCTGCCACCAGGCCTATGTTTTGTGGCAAAAAGGAATGCTGACATCAAAAGAAGGAAGTCTGTTTTTGTCAGCATTTTCCTTTTCTCTTTCCTGGGTTTTTA